>NC_000017.11:78738440-79038850 GCF_000001405.40 Homo sapiens | reverse complement strand
ATGATGATCATTTTAGTCACTTTTGGGCAAAGACAGTATTGCCCAACATCTAACCAAACTTGGCTCCAGATCACTGTTAGTGATTTCCAGCAAAAATCCCCCTACAGTAGGGAGGCTGTGTCCCAGCAAGGTTATCTGGAAGAATGTGTTAGGCAGTTCCAGGGAAGTGCCCTGAGCACATCTTGGCCAGTGACGTGAAACCTGTGTGAATCCAGATCCACGTGGCCCAGTCTCCAGGCCTCATCGCAGGCAAGGCAACTGAAGACAGTTCCAGCATGACTCAAGCTCTTTACTTGCCTTTCCCAAATCCTGCAAATATGAGCCAATTTCCATGGTAATTCGGCGACCATTTTCCTTCCCTCCATGTCCCTGAGGACTAGCCGCTCTTCAGCGTCCCTTCCTCAACCCCACATCATCCACCTACACCTGACCTTCTCCCCAACAAGAACACATCCCCCTTTACAGGAGGAGGGAGGCCAGAAAAGAGAAACCAGGCTACACGCAGGACGTAGAGGAGGACAGGAAGCCTGAGGACACATCCTTGTGAATAATTTGTATCCCGGCCGGGCGCGGTGGCTCACGCCTGTAATCCCAACACTTTGGGAGGCCAAGGCAGGTGGATCACCTGAGGTCAGGAGTTCAAGACCAGCCTGGCCAACATGGTGAAACCCCATCTCTACTAAAAATACAAAAATTAGCTGGGCGTGGTGGGGTGCACCTGTAGTCCCAGCTACTCGGGAGGCTGAGGCAGGAGAATTGCTTGAACTCAGGAGGCAGAGGTTGTGGTGAGCCAAGATCGCGCCACTGCACTCCAGCCTGAGCAACAGAGTGAGACTCCGTCTCAAAAAAAAAAAGAAAAAGAAAAAAATTGTATCCCTTGTTTGCTTGTGGTGGCTCACACCTGTCATCCCAGCACTTTGGGAGGCCAAGGTGGGTAGATTGCTTGAGCCTAGGAATTCAAGACCATCCTGGACAACATGGTGAAGCCCCATCTCTACCAAAAACACAAAAATTAGCCAGGCATGGTGGTGTTCGCCTGTAGTCCCAGCAGCTGCTCAAGAGACTGAGGTAGGAGGATCACCTGAGTCCAGGAAGTCAAGGCTGCAGTAAGCCATGATCGCACCACTGCACTCTAGCCTGGGTGACAGAGTGAGACCCTGTGGTAATAATAATAATAATAATTTTTATCCCTCCACAGGCCTCTTAGCTCTGTGGTAGGTCCTTTAAGGAGAGAGTAGTCACATGCAAGTTCACCATTCCTTATATTTGTTTCAAATTGGGCCTTTTGGCTGGGCGCAGTGGCTCACGCCTGTAATCCCAGCACTTTAGGAGGCCGAGGAGGGTGGATCACTTGAAGTCAGGGGTTCGAGACCAGCCTGGCCAACATGGCAAATCCCTGTCTCTAGTAAAAATACCAAAATTGGCCGGGCACAGTGGCTCACACCTGTAATCCCAGCACTTTGGGAGGCCGAGGCGGGTGGATCACGAGGTCGGGAGATTGGAGACCATCCTAGCCAACATGGTGAAACCCTGGCTCTACTAAAAATACAAAAATTAGCTGGGCGTGGTGGCACGTGCCTGTAATCCCAGCTACTTGGGAGGCTGAGGCAGGAGAATCGCTTGAACCAGGGAGTCGGAGGTTGTGCTAAGCCGAGATCATGCCACTGCACTCCAGCCTGGCGACAGAGCGAGACTCCATCTCAAAAAAACAAAAACAAAAACAAAAAAATAGCTGGGCATGGTGAATAAATAAACAAATAAGTGGGTCCTGTTATATTTTTGTTTCACCTCCGTGCTCTCATGCTTGTGTGCTGACAGCGGACCTCTGAAGCTCTGGGACTATGTGCCTGGGTTTTGTCCTTATGCTCCACCCAGCGCAGGGCCTTTTGACAAAAGCATTCTGTAAACACTGTTTTCCTTTTTCTTTAATCCTCATCAGGTGAGCAGCTGTTCTGAGAGGCAAGAAGCCTATAATCTCCTTGAATTGGAAGGAGCCTTGGCAGACATGTCCAAGCTGCCCTCTCAGCTGACCATCTAACACAGGCTGGGTTTACTGAATGCCCATGATTTGCATGGCATTGTGCAAGAGCTTGGGAGGAAGTGATTCAACCAGGAATTAAATCTATTCCCTGACCTCAAGAATATAACAGGCTAGTGAAGGAAACAGACACGTACCCAATTATAGCTCAAGACAGAACAACACATGTTGAATTAAAATGCTAAGTGGGTAACATTCTAGAACTGTGCTGTCCGGTACAGTGGCTGTTATGTGTGGCTATTTAAATTTAAATTAATTAAAATGAAAGAAAATTCAAAATTCAGTTCTTCAGCTACACTAGCCGCATTTCAAGCATTCAATAACTATTAATACATGTAGGCTGGGCACAGTGGTTCATGTCTGTAATCTCAGCACCTTGGGAGGCCAAGGTGGGAGGATCGCCTGAGCCCAGGAGTTCAAGACCAGCCCGGGCAATATATCGAGACCCCATCTCTACAAAAAATGCAAAGATTAGCCAGGCATGGTAGTGTGCACCTGTAGTCCCAGCTACTCTGGAGGCTGAGGCAAGAGGACTGGTTGATCTCAGGGGGTTGAGGCTGCAGTGAGCCACGACTGCACCACTGCGCCCTAGCCTGGGCAACAGGGCAAGACCCTCTCTCAAAACATAAAAATAAAAAGCCACATGTAGCTAGTGGTTACCATGTTGGAAAGTATAGAATAGAACATTTCAATCATTGCAGAAAGTTTTGTTGGACAGCTCTGTTCTAGATTAAAATGAAGTCATCAAGGAGGAAGAGTAACTGTGAACAAACAGCAGGCCAGAAATCTGAGAGGCGTTTAGACCCTTTCCTCTCATGCATCCGCATCTCATCCATCCCCAGCCTGCTTGAATAGATCCTAAAGGTCAACTCTCCCTCCTGCCCTGTGCCTGTATCAGATGCCCTCCAGGGGCTCCGCTGTCCCCCAGACCTCAGTCCACCCAAGACAAGCATCTTCGTCTGCCTTTTCCAGGGTCTAGACATTGCCCCCGCCCCCAGTTTACATTCATCTCCCAAGGAAACTTGGCATAAGATAGGACTTTATCCCACATCTAGTGGTGTCCAGTTCAAGAATTGGATTCAGGCCAGGTATGGTGGCTCACGCCTATAATCCCAGCACTTTGGGAGGCTGAGGTGGGCAGATCACTTGAGGCCAAGAGCTCGAGGCCAGCCTGGCCAACATGGTAAAACCCTGTCTCTACTAAAAATACAAAAATTAGCTGGGTGCAGTGGTGTGTGTCTGTAATCCCAGCTACTCAGGAGGCTAAGACAGGAGAATCGCTTGAACCCAGGAGGCAGAGGTTGCAGTGAGCTGAGATCGCATCACTGCACTCCAACCTGTGCAACAAAGTGAGACTGTCTCAAAAAAAAAAAAAAATACGATTCAGCCCAGAACTCAAACACTCCTGGTTTCTACACAGCCTCAACGGCCCCTTAGCCATCACCACCCCTTCGTGCCATCCCCTCCAGCCACCTTTGGAACATCCCCAGAATCCTCCCAACCAGAAGAGAAGCCCTGAGTCCACTCCCCCTCGGCTCTGACGTCTGGTAGAATTCTCCTGTTGAGAAGCTTAGAGCTCTCCTGTTGCTGCAAGAGGATTCAGGTACTGGGGTGCCAAGAAAGAGGAAGGTGCCACGTTGGGGTGTCCTTCTGACAGGTGACATCTGCTCATAGCCCTTTCCTCCCTGCCAGAAGCCATTCATTCATCACACTAATTGCCCAATGACCAAACTCCTCCGGTGATGGGCAGGAGGCGGGCAGAGTGGCTCCCATTTGATGAGTGATGTGTGTTTACCTCTTCTAGAAGCCCATTTAATAGCTAATATTCCCTGCTCTAACTGCACTGCCCCCACTGGTCTCAGACTCTCCCTCTTTCCCTCAACCTCGTGGTGGATGGGGGTCCCTTATGGAAGGAATTCTCGCCAGATGGAGCCGAGCAGCCCCTTTTCCTGAGAGATGCTGGGGTCCTGGAGCCTATCTCCTCTCTCAATCTCCCTCTCTCCTGTTTCCAAAAAGCTGCCCTCTGTCTTGCAGAAGGAGGGTTTGTTTTTAAGGCTTAGGTGTTTATTTGGTTACTTCCAAAGCCCAAGTCCAGGGATGAATACAGACTCTTCCAGGGTTACTTGCTACTTAATTAGCAACGGTTTCCTCTTCCCTGGAGGGGAATGAGGTCTGGCTTGGGACAAAAAAGTGAAGCGAAGATAGGCCAAGAATTCTCCCATCCTAAAGCATCTCCCTCCCATCTTGGAGCAACTGCACCTTCACCAGGAAGGACTCACCTGGAGCGAAGAGTGGGACTCAGTGTAAATTTTTGCCCAGGCCCTGCAAACAAGGAGGCCGCATGAGCCGTCAGGCATCGGGCCTTCGGGGCGCTTGGCCAGCCCAGCCTCCAGAGCTCCGATTCCGTCCCAGTGGAAACAAAGATTTCCTTGAGTAGAGCAGCTGTCCTCAGCTCACCTCCCAGCTGGAAGGCCTCGGGCGGCAGGCTTGCCCCTGCTTTGAGAACCGTGTGAGAGAGAAGAGGCACCAACAGCTGTCCTGAGCCCACTCTGCAGGTGGCCTGGCCCGCCGCCCACTTCCCTAGCACCAGCAGCGGGGACGCCCTCGGGGACCGACCGCTCCCAAAACAGAGGGAGGAAAGAACCTGGGAATTCTATGGCCTGGTGCCCCGTCGCACCCAGCCCTTTACAAGCAGCACAAACGTATTTGGTTGTCTGGGGCCTGGACAAGCCCCAGCATTTTCCAGGCAGCTCCTGAGGAAGCCTGGCATAAGACAGGGCTTTATCCCCAGCCTGGGGCTTCTAGGTCAGGAATATAATCAGCACAGCATCCCACTGGCCCTCCTCCTGCTGGCCCCGCCCCGACTGCTTGGCTACGATCACCCACGACCCTCGTGGCACCCAACACCCTTCTGCATTCCTCTTTCGTGCGCACTGTAAGCATCTGCCAATGTCGACTGCCCTCTTCTTCAGCCATGGGGTTTGGCCCACACTGTCTCCCAGTGTTTAGCCTTCCTGATCAACCCCCAAAGACAGGTGCTCTCCCAGGCTGTTCCTCAGCTCTCAGCTCCTCTTGCTCCTAATTCTACATTTATTTATTTATTTATTTAGGAGACAGGGTCTCCTGTCACCCAGGCTGGAGTGCAGTGGTACAGTCATGGCTCACTGCAGCTTCAAACCCTTGGACCCAAGTGATCCTCCCATCTCAGCCTCCCGGGTAGCTGGAACTACAAGCACATGCCACCACATCCAGCTAATTAAAAAAAAAAATTTTTTTTTTTTAGAGACAGGATCTCACTATGTTTCCCAGGCTGGTCTCAAGCAATCCTCCAGCCTTGGCCTCCCAAAGCGGGTAGGATTATCAGCGTGAAGCCACCGTGCCTGACCTCTTTCTGCCTGTCCTGGTCCACACCACATCTTCAGCTGACAATGCCCCATTCCATGTCCCCACCACTGACCTGGCTGCTGAGACCTGGGCTTGCAAATGTTTAAGTCAGTACAGTGGCTACGAGCCACATGGAGCTATGTCAGTTAAACAAAATGAAACATCCAGTTCTCGGCCAAGGAGCCACATTTTAAGTGCTCACGTGACTAGCAGCTGCCATACTAGACAGCACAGCTCTTAGCACCTTGCACCACAGCTGAAGGTTCTGCTGGGCAGCGCTGGTCTAGACCCACATATGCAATCATCTGCTGAACACCTCCTCTTTGCTCTGCGCTAAGACTTTTTTTTTTTTTTTTTTTTGAGACAGAGTTTTGCTCTTGTCACCCAGGCAGGAGTACAATGGTACAATCTTGGCTCGCTGCAACCTCCGCCTCCTGGGTTCAAGCAATTCTCCTGCCTCAGCCTCCAAAGTAGCTGGGATTACAGGTGCCCACCACCACGCCCAGCTAATTTTTGTATTTTTAGTAGAGATGGGGTTTTGCCATGTTTGTCAGGCTGGTCTCGAACTCCTAACCTCAAAGCGATCCACCCGCCTCGGCCTCCTAAAGTGCTGGGATTACAGGTGTGAGCCACCGCACCAGGCTGCTCTGCCCTAAGGCTTTTAAGCCCCCAATTAACTCATATCCTTCTCCCCCGTCCTTACCACATTAGCTTCTCCTCCTGTGGCTTGCAGCTTGGTGAAAGCTATGCATGCCATCACGCGGGGTCCCGGGCCAGAAGCCTGCAAGCCACTTGGATGCCACCTTCCTTGCACCCGCCACATCTCATCCATCGCCAGCCCCCTGCAGGTCTCCTCTCCTCTCCATCACTTCTTCCCCAGCCCTGGCTGGTTTTCTGCCTCCCATCTGTCTCCCACGCTGCTTCCAGAGGCAGCTCTGAAAAACGCAAATCTGAATGCCACCCCTGGCTCCAAGGGCTTCCTATGCCAGTAAAGGAGGGAGTAAGCCCTGAGCGTTTCCATCTGGCCCTTCCCCACCCCGCGTGAGTCCCTTTCAGTCCAGCTCCCTGGAGCTACTCAGTCCCTAACAGATCACACTTGAGGTCTCGTCCTCTGGCACCCGCTCTTTCCTCTGTCTGGATGCCTGTTTCTCCTCCACCTTCTCCATCCGTGTATTCTCCAGAGCTCAGCCTGAGGCCACCTCCTCCGGGAAGTTGCCCAGACCTGGGTGTGCTGTAGGTGCCCCTCCCCCAGCATCCGGACGAACCGGTCTACAGTCCTTGGTTTCCTCGTCCTGTCCCCAAGACTCCAAGCCCCTGGGAAATGGGAGCCCCATCTCATTTCTCAGGCATCACCAGCATCCGGTGTCTAACTCTCAACAGGGCTCCAATGCTCTCCTCACCTTCAATCAATCCCAAGTACAGAGCCATCGTCCAAAGATGACATGCCTCAGCCACAAGCCTGTCCAAATCTCTCTCTAATTCCAGCTGGGGACACAGAGATCCAAGGTACATCACTGTCACCAGAGTGCTGACTCCTGGTGTGGCCATGTAGCCATCTTCCCTAGAAACGCTCCTCTTATCTGCACTCAGAAAGTCTATTGCTTCAAAGAGATGAAACCACTGCCTCCATTCACCAAGGTTACAAACCACCTACATGTCCAGGAAGACAGTCTAATGAAATACATGGCTGGGTGCAGTGGCTCACGCCTGTAATCCCAGCACTTTGGGAGGCTGAGGCAGGCAGATCACCTGAGGTCAGGAGTTCAAGACCAGCCTGGCCGACATGGTGAAACTTTGTCTCTACTAAAAATACAAAATTTAGCCAGGCATGGCACATGCCTGTAATCCCAGCTACTCGGGAGGCTGAGGCAGGAGAATTGCTTGAACCTGGGAGGCGAGGATGCAGTGAGGTGAAATAGCACCACTGCACTCCAGCCTGGGTGACAGAGTGAAACTCCATCTCAAAAAAAGAAAACAAAAAATTTACAGTGCATCCATCCATATGATGGAAACTAGAAAAACAAGGTGGTTGATGAGAGTGGTGAAATCAGCAATAGGGAGGGATGGGGATTGTGGTAAACCAGTAAACGCGTTCTTTCTAAAGACATTTAAAGAAATAATATGGGCTGGGCACGGTGGCTCACGCCTGTAATCCCATCACTTTGGGAGGCCGAGGCAGGCAGATCACGAGGTCAGGAGATGGAGACCATCCTGGCTAACATGGTGAAACCCCGTCTCTACTAAAAATACAAAAAATTAGCCGGGCGTGGTGGCAGACACCTGTAGTCCCAGCTACTTGGGAGGCTGAGGCAGGAGAATGGCATGAACCTGTCAGGTGGAGCTTGCAGTGAGCCAAGATCATGCCACTGCACTCCAGCCTGGGCGACAGTGCAAGACTCCATCTCAAAAAAAAAAAAAAAGAAAAGAAAAGAAATAATATGGAGGGACTGGGGAGCAGAATCAGCCAGCAGCACCAGTTAGGCGTCTCTGTAAATAGGTGAATATTTACTGACATGGAAAGATGTTTGGGCCGGGCACAGTAGCTCACGCCTGTAATCCCAGCACTCTGGGAGGCCGAGGCAGGCGGATCGCTTGAGGTCAGGAGTTCAATATCATCCTGACCAACATGGTAAAACCCCGTCTCTACTAAAAAGTACAAAAATTAGCTGGGTGTGGTGGCGTGTGCCTAAAATCCCAGCTAGTCGGAAGGCTGAGGCAGGAGAATCGCTTGAACCCAGGAGATGGAGATTGCAGTGAGCTGAGATCACGCCACTGCCCTCCAGCCCGGACAACATAGCAAGACTCTGTCTCAAAAAAGAAAAAGAAAAGAAAAGAAAAAGAAAGGAAGGAAGGAAAAGAGAGAGAGAAAGAGAGGAAAGAAAGAAAAAGAAAGAAAGAAGAAAGAAAGAAAGAAAGAAAGAAAGAAAGAAAGAAAGAAAGAAAAAGAAAGAAAGAAAGAAAGAAAGAAAAGAAAGAAAGAAGAAAGAGAGAGAAAGTTTGTAAAGCAGTAATGAGTTTTGAAAATGCAGAATGAAAACATGCAGACCCAAACACACGCACATACAGGCACACACATACACATACACACACACACACACACACACACACAAAACCACAAAGACCCAAAGGCCACCCACCAGGCTGCCAACAGCAATTATCTGCGGTGATGAAAATACAGATGCTTACCATTTTCTTATTTTGGCCTCTCTGTTTCTTTCCCCTGTAACAGTCACGTCCTTTTTCACAGTAAGTACACATTATTTTCCACTAGAAAAATGACAAATAAGCCCCACCCTGGGGACTAAGGGAGCATTTTGTTTATTCCAGGAAACTCGACTAGATGCATAGAAGAGTAGGATGGGGAGAAAAGAGAGCTTGTTATATTGCATCGTTTGAGGCTCAAGCGGAACCACGGGGAATACAAGTTGACCTAGTGCTGAAGTCTCACGCTCTTTTGCTCATTTGTTCAACAGGTGTTTATTGAGTGTCTACTACCTACCCAGCAGGGAGCTGGATTCTTGGGACGAACGGAACAAGATGCCCTTTCCCTTGGGCAGTAGAGTCCCTGGCAGCTATGGTATGGGATGTGTTAGGACCAGGAACAGCACAGGTGGTAGGGAGCCCAGCAGGGTGGCACTTCATCCAGGCTGGAATTAGGCGAGCCAGAGAGAACCCGTTTCCTAGCAGTGAGGGGCTTTGTTCGTCTTTGGCCCTTGCTGTTGAAGGAGGCTGCCTGAGTAGGGCCGGTGGCCTGCAGCCGTGAAACAGAAGGAAACGGAGCCCCGTCCTGCAGCCCATCCTGTGCGTGATGTGCAATGGCCAGCATGTTCCTGGACCCAGGAGTAGCCCAATGTTTATCAGAGATTCCTTCTGACAAAGCCCCGCTACCCCTGAAAAGCCACCACTGAGAGCCAGACTCTGGCCATGGTGCCTTCCCTACACCACTGAGCTTGATCCTTAGAAAGCTTGATCCTTAGAATGCCTAATCCTTAGAATACCTGATCCTTAGAATGCGCAAACAGCCTCAGAGCGATGGAGCCGCTTGCCCCAGGTTCCACAGTGGGGAGGTGCTGGAGCTCAGATTAGACCTAGGTGTGTCCGACAGCAAAGCACATTACACTTCACCCCGAGGGGTGGCCAGAAAGATGCCAGAGAGCATAGGCTCCTCCTCCTCCCAAGCCATGGTGCAGCGACCGTTCCCGCCCACTGGGCTCAGGGTTACGGTGCCCACCAATTTGCTTACTTGTTTATAGGTGGAACCGCTGCAGCAGCCTTTGGCTTCGAGGACTGTATCCAGCAGCTGAGCCCTTGCATTCATCATTCAACAGAGGATTACCGAGTGCCCACTACATGCCAGGTATGGTATGGGGTACCAGGGAAACCTGTAACCATCTTCCTTGATGCAATGTGCTAAGATATCCCTGGTGCCAGCCTGCTAGCATCTTAAAATACACCACCGGAGTTTAATTCCTTTGGATTTAGGCACAGGATCACCAGGAACACCCGCGCGTGCATGCACACACACACACACACACACACACACACCTTAAAATGTGAGGGGCTTGGGCAGTGTGGCCCATCGGATGTGCATTTTTAGGGCACTGCTTTTGTAGGGTGAAGAGACACCAGCATGCTGGCAAGCTCTGAAGAAGGGAGGAAAAGACCCATGTGCTGGGGTACAGATGATTTTTCTCTCCCGACCAGTGCCCTCTAATGGGCACAAGCAGACCTGAGCTCTGAGTTGCAAAGGAATCTAAGTTCACGCACCACACGGGGAGGACCCTCAGGACCATGGGCCTTGCCCTCATTGATATCCTTTCATGGAGGAGGGGGCTCCCCTGAATGCCAGAGGACGCAAGAGACCTGTGGTCACCCCCTAACCCACCCAGATCCTTCCATCTCTCACTTTAGATTCTTTACAAGGAGAATGGGTCTAAGCGTTTTCTGAACACACCTCTGTCCCCAGCTCTGAAGACTGGCCCCAGGAACCTGTGGGCAGAGTCAGGGGGCCCTGCCCGCCTTCTGACCTACATCTGCCTCGAACCCACCCAGGGCTGGCAGCTTTCCCAGCAGCTTCCCTGCTCCCCAGGGCAGAGGGTGGCTGTTATCCAGATGTCTTGCTGAGGGGGATGGGTACAACCCAAAGCATAGGGTTTGGGGCATTCCACCAAGTGTGGCTTTAGCCGTGGCCAAGAACAACATTTGACCCAGCACAGGGCACCAAGAACTTGACTTCCCCATGCCCCGCCTGCCTGTCTGCCTCTTCTCCTCCTCCCCTCGACTCCTGCCTCCCTGCCTGCCGTCTCCTGCTCTACTCTGTCTCGTGTCAAGGAAAATTCCTACAGGAGCCAGGGAGATGGGCAGACACCGGCCCGGCCACAGCCGTCCCGACGGCCGTCCTGGACAGGATGGGGGCCCGGGGAGGGGCCTGCAGTCTGTGCCAGCCCCATCTGAAGCTGGAGAACGGCTTAGATCCAGGGGGCCTCAGAGGCAAGATAGCAGTGCCCTGGTGTACAGTGGGGACTGTGGGGGTCCCCGTGCCCCTGCTGGAGACCATCCCCCTTTGAACCACATTCAGATGCCAAGCCCAGCTCTGGAAATCAAATGTAGGCAAGAACAGGCAGCTGGAGGGGTGCTGATTTGCCAAGAGCCACTCATATCACCCCAGCACAAGTGTCACACAGCCGTGACCTTGACAAGGACCCAGAGATAAAGATCCTTCCCACATGGCTCCGAAGCCCCTCCCTTCCTGCTCACACCGCATGCCTCTCCCAGAGAACTAGAGGCTGCAGCGGCAGCAGTTGGAGCATCTCACTGCGGGGCTCGGGAAGGAGGAAAGGAGTGAGCATGTCCTGCTCCTGCATGTCCCTGCTTAAGCTCAGGACTGGCCCTTCCAGGCCAAGGACCCCAGCATAGACCCCAGGACAGGGCCCCAAGGATCCCTGGCTCATGAGAGCGGCTTGCTGGGCTGCCCCAAGAGAGCCTGAAGGAAACACATTGTTGAGCTGAGCTGACGTCGCTGTTTCTTCCAGACTGCTCTCTAAAGTGGGCAGGTGAGTTCTTGCCCTGTATGAAGGGGTCAGGGAGATGGCAGGGTCCTGTCCAGAGAGCTGCCTTGTGCCATTTGACACCAGCAGGCCAATTTCAGCAGGTTAACAGGGGAAATGGCAACCTGTGGCCCATGAGGGAGTGCCCCCACTTGAACATCTCTAGAGGCTACTGATTGTCAGGCAGAGGTGGGATCGTCCAGGGGATGGTGTAACCTGCTACTTCTTCCTGCCCTTCCTGGTGTCCGTCACCCCCACCCCTTCCCTAAGGTTCTGGAGCCTCAGCCACAGCCCCCCCCCGCCCAGGAACAGGGACCCCTGAGGACAAGACACAAATGGGAAGCTCCAGTCCCTGCGCACAACTGTATCTATGAAATTCTTTTCATCTTTGTTTTGATGAGCAAAGTTCAATGCCAGAATATTTGGTTTATGAGTCATGCTAATTACAGCTGGGGGGAGGCACCAGGAAGAAGAACAGAAAGGAGCATGTTCCAAAAACACTCTGTTGTCCTGGTTGCCCTGAAAAGGGGGGTCACTTCCTAGGAACAAGGAGGGAACCCATGGCCTTCCTGGGACAGCTTGGGCTTTCTCTGCTCCTACTTGGGAGGACGTCCCTCGCCAGCTGGCTGCACCTGCCTGGGAGGGGCAGTGGTGTCCTGTAGCCGCACAGCGCCCACCTAGGGCTTCCTGCACCATGCTTCCTGCCTCCCTGAATGAGCTCACTGGGGACACCACCCTTGGCAACACAAGAGGAGGAGAGGGAGGCGGGAGGAGAAGTAGAGAGTCCCTGGGTAGCGGACCTGTGTCCTTCCTGCCCCTGGGCATTCTCTGTTAGCAGCTGGGAGAGAGAAGTTCCCAGCATCAGCTTGGCGAGCTGAGTGCCATGTTCCCAACACCAGATAGGAAGGTTAAAAGTATACGCCCCGGAGGCCAGGCGCGGTGGCTCACCCCTGTAATCCCAGCACTTTGGAAGGTTGAAGCGGGTGGATCACTTGAGGTCAAGAGTTTGAGACCAGCCTGACCAACAGGGTGAAACCCAGTCTCTACTAAAAATACAAAATTAGCCAGGCGTGGTGGTACACACCTCTAATCCAGCTACTTGGGAGGCTGAGGCAGGAGAATCGCTTGAACCTGGGAGGTGGAGGTTGCAGTGAGCCGAGATTTGGCCTTGCACTCCAGCCTGGATGACAAAAGCGAAACTCTGTCTCAAAAAAAAAAAGAAGCATATGACGCACTTGGGATAAAGACACAGATTGGAGTCTTGAGTCCTCCATCCCTGTCTCTGAGACCTCAAGCAAGCCGTGAGCCTCTTGAGCTTTGCAGCTCTGCTCTTTCCACAAGTGAGAGTTCCCTTGATAGAAGTGTTGAGAATTAACTATTATAATAATTATTATAATTATTAATATAATGTTGAGCGCCTGCCATGTGAGAAGCAGACACACAAACCTGTGGCTGACATCATGATGATGATGATGATGGTGATGATGATGATGATGGTGATGATGATTGCCACTGTTGTTGTTGGGTGGACTCTAGGGGCCTCTCCAGCTCTGCAGCTCTAAGAGGGAGGGTGGGGAAGCTTCTGCTTGTCCTCAGACCTCGGCTCCCATCTCCCTGTCTTGGTTCCCTCCTCCCCGGTTGGCAGGTGCTGGAGAGGCCTCCTGGAGCACGTCCTCCCATGTCCTCCCGCTCCCTGCAGCACACACCACAGCCAAGTGCGTCTATCTGTGGCTGTTCATGGCTGCACGGCCTGCCAGGGAGTGTGTACTTTCCTGCACTATAAAAAGCAGAGGCCGGGCAGCCTGTAAGGACATCACATGCTCCCCTGGGGCTGTGAAGTGGCCAGCGGTGGAGAAAACAGTTTCTCACGGCATTTCTCATGTTCAAAGCTCAGGACCAGAAAGCTCCCAGCACGTCATGTTGCCTCCTTTCCTAGAAACTAGGTGGGGTAGAAGAGTCAGGAACACCTCACAGAGGGGGGCGGCTTCCTCCCTCCCTCCCAAGCAGGGATGAGTCGGCCCAAGGGTGCCTGAAGCACGCGGAGGGTCCAGAGAAGATAATCTGGCTTTCTGGGGCTGGAAGAGTGTGGCCCGGGTATTGGCCCCGCGAGGCCCGGGCTAACAGTGGGGACCACACCTGCACCGGTGGAGAAGCCATGGAGGGCTGGGTGGTGGGCGGTGGGTCCACCTGCGAGGTCCAGAAGCCCCAGGGCGGCTCAGAGGCTCCAGCCCCAGGCCGGGGGGGCCACTCCCAGCGGCACAGGCAGCTTCGCTTCCCAGGAGGGCCCCGGGGAAGCAACACCGTTTTTTCCTGCCCAAGCTGGACCCCCTCCAGGACACCAAGGCTGTCAGATGCGGGGGGCCAAAGTCAGCGCTTCCTATTCCGTGAAGGTCCAGGTTGGCCACAGACAGGACTGGACAGACCCGGCGGTCAGGTGGTCCCAGTGATAAGGAGTGGGGTGAGGGCATCCCCGCCAGGTGCAGCCGCGGGCATTAGTACCATTCCTCTTCCTTCCACACCCTCAGAAAGGCACCAGAGAACAGTGAAACAAGATAAACACCCCACAAAAAACTAGGGGGAAGGTGCAATTCCTCCCGTTAGTATCCACGTGCAGAAAAGCCCCGCTCCTCCACAGTCAGGGAGACCCGGGACCATTATGACCCCCGCGCAAAGGCGCCTATGGCGGGGGCTGAGCCAGAGCCAGACGCCAGGGCTGCCCCCGAAAACCCGGGTCTTTCCGCCCCTGCGCCGCCACCGCCAACCGGCCCCTCCCACGGCGCTCTCCGTCCGTCCCGGCCCAGGTGTCTGCCATCCCCGCCCTGGCCACCAGGCTGAAGCCACGAGGATGGGGCGGGGCAGCGCTGGGTCCCCCGGCCCGGCCACCTACCTCCGTCCCGCCGGCCGCTCCTCCCGCGCCGCCCCTAGAGCATCTCCCGCCGGCCAAGCCTCCTCCCGGCCAGGTCCGGGGCGATGCACAGACTCGGTGAAGGAAACAGAGCAGGGGAAAAGGTCTTCCGGAGGACGGCAGTGCAGAAGAGGAGGGTGGGGGGCGGTACGAGCAGCCACAGGTCCCCCCCACCCACAGCACCTCCGTCTCCCCGGCGCGGTCTCCGAGGTCTCTGCGACCAGAAGCGGAAGCGCGGTTTCTCGAAAGTAAAGGAAGAGAGGGAGAAAGTGGGACAGACGCGCAAGGAGCGAAGCCCAGCCAGATGTGAGCAGCGAGGAGCCTCCAACACCCCCAGCGCTTTTCGTCCAAACAGCAGCCGCGGAGGATTAACCGTGTGTGCCCCGCGCCGCGCCTCAGGGAAATCCAGCGGCCGCCTCCTCCCGGCCCCCTGGGGAGCCCGCCAGGCTGAGAGTGGGGGTGGGGCAGATTCCGTGAGTCTGGAGGTCCGTCCAGAGGCGGAGGGGCTGCGAGCCCCGGACGAGAATGCCCCCCGCAGGATGGGGGTGCCCAGCAAGGCTGAGCGCTCCTAGTCACTTGGTAGCAGAGGGATGAGCCCCAAGGCCTCCGGGATCCGCTGTGGCCAACCCTGAGGGGTCAGGTCTCCAAACAGTGGCAGACCTGAGACGCCCTGTGCATTATCGGGGACTCAGACAGGTTTGGGGGAATCTGTGAACCCCCTATAACAAAATGCCAAACTGTGTGTGTGTGTGTGTGTGTGTGTGTGTGTGTGCGCGCGCGCGCATCACCTTTGGAAGGTGATGGTCCACTGTTTTGTTCAGAGTCTTGAGAGCTCTGTGATCTAAAGGTTAGGAAGGAGCCCCTGCCGGGAAGATTTCCATTTTCTAGAGAACAGCACGAGTACAGTGGTGAGCCCAGGATGGCTGGAAGCACTCCTCAGTCTCTATCAGGCCTCTCATTCCTTGATATGAAAACCTGACATTTTCTCAGTCATACACAAATATTTTTTCTGAACAAGGCCCGTAGGCTGCCCTCCCATCCTGATCCCTGATCCAGGCTGCTCCAGAGCCGGCCCTGGTTGGGACCCAGTCTCCATCCCTAGACTCTGCGTCAGCCCAGCTTGCTCTGGAAACTTACCATATCACTAGCAGGGGAAGGATTTGGCCAGAGAAGCAGAAGCCAGCTCTGATGATAACAGCATTCCCCCTTTTTTTGCTTCTTTTTTCCCCCCTCTGCCCTGTTCTCTCCGAGCTGCCCCTCACCTCGATGTTGCAGCTGGATTTTTTTGTTTTGTTATCCCTCCTGTGAGGGTCTGTCTCTGGACAAACAGGAGATGCGAAAATGGGGATGCTGGTTGGGACATTCAGAGCAAAACTAAGAGGCCTCACCTTTCCCTGCCTGGAGTGTCCTCCCATCCGCCGCACCAACAACTGGACAGATGAAAAGAATCAAAAAGGAGAGGAAGAAGAGGGTGCAAGCACAATGCCCACTGCCTTGCCCCAGGCTGGGCGAGGCCAGCACTCAGGTAGAGCTGAGGACAAATGGAGATGAGAACAGAAGGGGAGGCTTCCGGGCAGGCGAGGCGCCCAAAAGCCACTCCACAGAGGCCCTGACTGCATGCGTCAACCCCTCCTGTGAGTACAGGGAGAAAGGCTGCCAGGCCTCCAGCACCCAGGGGGAACTCAGAGGACACGATGGGGATATGAAGTCAACACTACTTAACCAACTAGAGATGCAGCCTCCGCTAGGCTTAGAAGATCAGGGGTTGCTTGTGTTCTTGGCATACGTGTCTGAGGCTTGGCAAAACCTACATCCCTGGTTGCTTATTGATACAGGAAAAGCCAGAGATAAGCTTGTCTCCATTCCTGTAAGTGACATGAGGAAGTTTCCCAGTCACCAGGAGCAAGGCTTAGCACACGGACTGACCTTTCCTTAGTTACTCTGTCCTCAAATAGCCCTTGGTGCAGGGATACCAGAGAAAACAACAGCATTTTTTGCAGCCCTTATGAGACCTTCGTCCATACTTCAGAGAATCTGGGACTTTCTAGAACTCTTACGAGCTAGGAAATCCCTCAGTGCAATGAGAAGGCTTCTTGTTGCCCTGCCTGGGAGCCTCAGACTCAGGAAAGTCGTGGGCAGATACCAGAATTCACAAAGCGGGACACACAGCTTGAAAGAGAAAGAGATGCAGATGATGGGCTGGGTGTGGTGGCTCACACCTTTAATCCCAGCACTTTGGGAGGCTGAGGCGGGAGGATCACTTGAGCCCAGGAGTTTAAAACCAGCCTGGGCAACATAGTGAGACCTTGTCTCTACAAAATATAAAACAATTAGCTGGGCTTGGCAGCACACACCTGTAATCCCAGCTACTCAGGAGGCTGAGGTGAGAGGATCCCTTGAGCCCAGGAGGTCAAGGCTGCAGTGAGCCCTAATCATGGCATTGCATTCCAGCCTGGGCAACAGAGCAAGACCCCCATCTCAAAAAAAAAAAAAAAAGTTGTGGATGATGGAATATTTATTCTTTCTCTTTACCCCATCCAAGATGGCTTTGGTGTTGAAGAACTGGAAAACAGTTATCTTTAACACAATTCCAAGACAGAACTCAGAGGCCCAATATAGTGCAAAGTTCTAGAAAGACAGCTGAAGGCTGGTCATCTCTTCCAGGTGCACCTGGCTCATCCTACTAGGAGGTCTTGTCCCGGCTCTGTCCTACCTTGAGGCAGCCTGGGGATGCTACCAAACTTCAGTGGGCCTTAGCTTCCTTATCTACAAAGCAGAGATAGGTCCAGGGTCTCTTATCTGGAACCAAGGAGGTCAGATATGTTCAGAGTCAGATGCAAATATCCCACAAAGCATCTTACCCAGTGGGCTTCGGGCAGCGCCCCTTCGTTAAACACTTGAATATTCGGCAGTGGGATGAAGGCATCCATAGTCTCAGGATAGTTCAAGCCACATTGTTCTGTCAAATTTGTGTGTGCCAACTTTAGGGAAAAACTAAGGTTTCAGATTTTTTGCATTTCAGGGATTTTGGAGAAGTGATTGTGAACCTGTAGCTTCTCACATGATTAATAAAAAGGTTGGTGGAACAGACACATTGTTCATTGCAACTACCATTATTACAAGTATAATCTTCCTTCCATCCTCTTGGGAAGAGGAGGGAAGGAGGAGATTAGAAAAGGGATTACTCATTTTCCTTGAGGCAGAAACTGGGGATAGGGAGGAGTGGTATCAAACGGTAACAAAGAGAGCCTGGGGTTTCCCAAGATCTTGTGTGAGACCCAAGGCTCGGAGGCATGGGAACTTCCAAAGAATAGGAGTTGAGGTCTGAGCACATGTCTTAGGTGCCACCATCATGGCTCACAACTCAAGGCAGCAGGCAATGGGCAAAGACTCACAAGGCCAGCTCCCAGAGAATACAAGCTTGTCCTCAATAAAGTGAAAAAAAAAATCCAAAATAGAGAGCATGCCAGGTTCCTAATGCTCTTTGTCATCAACTTCACTTCTGCTTTGTAATTTTAAGTAGGAAAGATGGAAACTTTGGCAAGCAAGGGATGTCCTTGCAGAGTGGCTGATTTTCTTCCTTCTCAGCCTTAGGTGCCCCCAAGCAACAAGAGGCAGAGTGTTTTCCCTTTGGCAAAATCCTTTCCTGTTGGGCAACAACAACAGAAATCAAAAATAAAAATCAGCCACAGTGCCTGGGGGATTTCATCAGCCCTGAGATTATGGGTCAGAAGTCAAAGCCAACTTCCAGAAAGACTGAGTCCCCTCCCCAAGGTCTCTCTCTTAGCCCCCACAAACCCATCCTAAAACTCCCTAGGAGCTCACATCTACACAAGGTGTCTGGGTCAAAACCCCTAAAGGCTTCCTGAATATTCCCAAATCATCCCATATTCTTAGTCAAGGGTAGATCCTAGAATGGGAAGAAATATTTCCTGGAACCCCTGGCAGGGAAGGCAGCACGTTCTGTGCCCTCCCTGATTTGGTAATTCTTTCTCTCTCCCTGGGCCTGTCACCACCACTCGCTGGGTCTGTTTACTTATTGCTGGAAAAAGCAATGTGATCTCAGTTAAAGTCTGCAAGACACTCGGTTCCAGATAAGCACAGCATGTCATTAGCAGCACTGTGAGTTTTCCCACCGCGGCCCTAACATCCCGCCTTTCCCAGCTATTTTGGGTCGGGCTGCCCAGTCATCCCACAAGGGCAGAGATTGGTATTGCAAACTTTGAATTCTGTTCCCAAGGGTAGCGACCGGCCGGCTCCGATGGTGACGTCCCACTGCCAAGGGGTGGGAGTGGGGAGAGTCTCCACAGAGCTTCGGAGAAGCTGCTAAGATGGAAAAGTGGAAACTTGGCAGACAGATCCAGCCTCCCTGGCCACTGGCCCATGCTCGTGGCTCCTGGATGGCGCTGCCACGTTCTGAGCAGCTTGGGACAGGTGGAGATCAGGACTGGCAGCTGCAAGGACACACCAGGTGAATAGGTTTCTTTATGGTCCTCACACCTGCAGAAAACCAGGAGGGTAAGGGCGTTCCCTCTTCCAGGAAGCCATGCCTTTCCACAGAAGTCTCCCCTGAGGCCATGTACACGTGTGCCTTGCAACTCTATCAAGCCATTTAATTTCCCTATGCCTCAGTTTCCTCACCTCTGAATATTTACTCTCCTGTTTTGGCAATGAATGTTTTCAGTTACATGGAGACAGGCATATACTGATCGACTAGGCAATATTTTACTTGATAAATAAGATGGGAGGGCCCCCTGGTGGACTCCCCAGTTCCAAGCACTTAACTATGAAATGAGTGAGTAAATGCATGTCAACATATGAATGAATGATTCAATAAAGAATGTCTTGTCCTTTATGCAGAGCCACAGAAACTAAAGAGAATTTCCAAAAGGAGTCTATGGTGAAGTCTCTGAGGATGCAAAGAAGACAAGGAGAATGAAAATCCAATGAAAGCCTGATTGTATTTGTTGACCTTAAGGAAAGTGATTTTATGGTACAGCCTCTCTGGAAGGGAGGGTGTGTTCGCTCACAGAATGCAAATACCCTTTGACCCCCTAATCTTTCTTCTAGGAGTTTCTCCTACAGATAAACTTAGAAGGGTGCTCAAATAAGTAAGTTCAAGGATATCCTCTGAAGCATTGCCGTAGTATAAAAAAAGCACAGATACCCTCAAAGGACATCATTAGGGGCCTGGTAAAATAAATTCCACACAGTGGAACACCGTGTAGCTCTTTAGAGAATAAACAGCTCTCTATATGTGATCTGGAACAATCTCCAAGCTATATTGTGAAGTGAAAATTACAAACCCTTACTGAAAAGCACTAAAGAAAATCCAAAGAAATGGAAAAGCAAAGCGTGGTCTTAGATAGAAGACTCAATATCATTAAAAAAAAAAAAAAACTCAGTTCTCGCTCAATTAAGCTATAGATTCCAAGCAATTCCATTCAAAATCCCAGAAGGTTGAAGGTGGGTGAGGTAGGAGGGGACTTGTCCTACATCATAGGAAGGCTTATTATAAAGACATAATAATGAAGATACTGGTATTGGAACAGATGTGATCAAGTATATTAGTTCAACATGATAGAAGGCCCACCCGACAAAGACCCATGTGTGTATGAAAACTTGATCTATGACAAAATTGGCATTGCACGTATATCAATGGGGATGGGATGGATCAATTCCTAAAAACACACAAGATGATGGGGAATCCACAGAAAAAGAAACGTAAACAGCCAAAAAGTGTAAGAAAAGATATACAACCTCACAGTAATCAGGCAAGGAGAAGACACTGATTACCATCAGATTGGCAAAATTAAGCCATCTGATGATGTCTGTGGAGCTGTTACTGGAAAGGGTCCCAAACCAGACCCCAAGAGAGGGTTCTTTGATCTTGAGCAAGAAAGAATTTGGGATAAGTCCACAGGGTAAAATACAAGCAAGTTTATCAAGAGAGTAAAGGAGGCCGGACGCAGTGGCTCATGCCTGTAATGCCAACACTTCAGAAGGCCGAGACAGGCAGACCACCTGAGATCAGTTCAAGACCACCCTGGCCAACATGGTGAACCCCCATCTCTACTAAAAATATAATTACCCCTATTTACCCCTATTCCTGCCTAACCTCCCAGGAATACAGCCCAGCAGGTCTCAGCCTTATTTTACCCAGCCCCTGTTCAAGTAGCATGCCTGTAATCCCAGCTACTCAGAAGGCTGTGGCATGAGAATCACTTGAACGTGGGAGATGGAGGTTGCAGAGAGCCAAGATTGCGCCATTGCACTCCAACCTGGGCAATAGAGCAACACTGTGCCAAAAAAAAAAAAAAAAAAAAGAAAGAAAAGAAAAGAAAAATGGCTATTCCATAGGCAGAGCACCCCCAAAGGCTGCTGGTTGGCTATTTTTATGGTTATGTCTTGATCATATGCTAAACAAGGGGTGGATTATTCATGAGCTTTCTGGGAAAGGGGCAAGAATTTCTTGTAATTGAGGGTTTCTCCCCGTCATAGGCCATACAGGGTAACTTCCAGACGTTCCCATGGCCTTTGTAAACTGCCACGGTGCTGGTGGGAGTGTTTTTTTAGCATGCTAATGTATTATAATTAGCATATAATGAGCAGTTGGGACAACTAGAGGTCACTTTTGTTGCCATCTTGGTTTTGGCAGGTTTTGGCCAGCCTTTATACTGCATCCTGTTATATGAGCAGGGTCATTGTGGCCTGTATCTTGTGACCTCCTATCTCATCTCAGATCCCGGGAGGTTAAAATGCCTTAACCTCCCAGGAATGTGGCCCAGCAGGTCTCAGCATCATTTTACCCAGCCCCTATTCAAGTTAAAGTTGCTCTGCTTCCAATGCCTCTGACATATTTCCCCCCTCCTTTTTACAAGAGGACCACTAATCCTAAGGGTTGTAGAGGTAGGAAGATTCCCCTTCTGTAGCTTCTTCAGGCTAAATAGGAGTAATGATATTCTCATCTAACTATTAAGGTCTTTTGTATTCAGGGTAGAGAGGAACTCAGTCAGAAAGCATCAGCATACTGACGGCCATTCATAACTCTGAGTTCCAACAAAAGGTGATATCTGGAAGACTGGCAAATGTTCAATTTAAGAAAACGGCGAGTAAGCTTATTCTGCATTCCTACACAACGA
This sequence comes from Homo sapiens, assembly GCF_000001405.40. Classification (NCBI taxonomy): domain Eukaryota; kingdom Metazoa; phylum Chordata; class Mammalia; order Primates; family Hominidae; genus Homo; species Homo sapiens. The sequence goes on along the minus strand of NC_000017.11, from coordinate 79,017,334 downwards.
GTACAACAGGAATATATTCCACAATAGTAAAGCAAAATAAGTAAAATTATCTGATATGGTTTGCATCTGTGTCCCCACCAAATCTCATGTCCGATTATAGTCCCCAAAGTTGGAGGTAGGGCCTGATGGGAGGTGACTGGATCACTGGGGCAGTTTCTCATGAATGGTTTGGCCCCATCCCCCTTGGTCATGATAGTGGGTGAGTTCTCGTGAGATCTGGTTGTTTAAAAGTGTATGGTACCTCCTCGCTCTCTCTCTTTCTCCTGCTCCTGTCATGTAAGAGGCCTCTCCCCCTTTGCCTTAGGCCATGACTAAAAGCTCCCTGAGGCCTCCCCAGAAGCAGATGCTGCCATGCTTCCTGTACAGCCTGCAGAACCGTGAGCCATTAAATCTTGTTGCTTTATAAGTTACCCAGTCTTGGGTATTTCTCTATAGCAGTGTGAGAATGGATTAATACTTTATCCCAAATAAATTAAATAAGGCATTCCATCAACTGGGCAACTGTTGGAACTAAGCTGATATGGGGTTGCTAACAGATTCCAATATGTGCCCTGAATTAGAATACTGATCCAGATATTTCTTATGTTACCCATCCCTATTATTTGTTCTGAGCCATGGCCAGAGATCACTGGTTGGTTCACAGAAATAAGCAGGGTCAGTCTAGACTGCAGAAAAAAAAAAAAAAAACAATGAATGAGACTAGAATCTAATAACAGGTGTACCATAGTTTTTGAAACCTAATTTTTCTCTCTCCAGTCCCCATTTTTATTAAAAACAAATAATGGTAGGACTTATTTGTTTGAAAAATAAACCTTAGTCTTATTATACTTGGCATGATCATTTGCATGAAGTGCAGTAAGAATAATTATTCACCATATAGGCTCTTTTTACAAAAAAATGGCTTTGATGGAATCTTGTTCCATAAGGAATCTTATATTTGACTTTTTAAAGCCTTGCCCAGCCATGGGTTTATGCCTTCAAATACCTGTATGAGTTAGGTAAATTTCTCTCGTCTCAAAGTCCCAATATAACTTAGGGCTCCTGAACCTGTCACAAAGTGACATTCTTTACTTACCACATGGCAGGAACCCTGTACAGGGACTGCATAGACAAGGTATAAAGCCAGTTTTTCCAAGGGCCTTTTATTAGCTCTATAAGTCAACTTTGATTCCTTAAGGCAGTTTTTTTTATATTTGAAAGCACGCCATTCCATTCAAAGCCTTAGTAAAACCCAATTTCTCCAATTGTGTCCTGTTACAAAAGAAAACAGATTCTTACTGCACTTATGCAAATAACTATTAATATATAGCCATAAGTTAAGAATACTCACAAATAGTTTTCAATTTTTGGAGAAATCAGGTAGAGAGAAAGAAATATGCTCCAAATTTTGTTTACAGGAGTGTATTTTACTCAACTGTTAAAAGCTGTAAAGAGTTCAAAAGAAAAGTTTGGCCGGGCACGGTGGCTCACGCCTGTAATCCCAGCACTTTGGGAGGCCGAGGCGGGCGGATCAAGAGGTAAGGAGATCGAGACCATCCTCACTAACAGGGTGAAACCCTGTCTCTACTAAAAATACAAAAAATTAGCCAGTTGTGGTGGCGGGCTCTTGTAGTCCCAGCTACTTGGGAGGCTGAGGCAGGAGAATGGCATGAACCCGGGAGGCGGAGCTTGCAGTGAGCCGAGATCACGCCACTGCACTCCAGCCTGGGCGACAGAGCGAGACTCCATCTCAAAATAAAAAAAATAAAAAATAAAAAAGTTTGCTCGACTTGGAAAACAAAACAGAAAGGAACAGCAATATTTTATGCAAAAAGTCGTAAAAAGATTATTTCAGTCTTTCATTAGTCTATACAATTAATTTCTGTTTTGCTCAATATTTAAGAACACATTAGCTTTCCAAAAGAGTCTTGGAAGCTTTTTTTTCCTCTCTATTTTAATGGCACACTTTCCAAAGTTATCAGACACTCGCATTTAAGAGTAATTGTCAGCATCCTATAGCTGGTTATAAACCTTCTTTTGAAGAGGATTAAAACAAGACAATAATTGTCTCTGAATGACAAAAAAGTCTTAGGATAGCCACAGTCAAAGATGCAATTGACAAGGAAATTTCATTACTTCTGTAGCATACAATTTTACATAACAATTATAATTATTACTGATAACATACACTAAGTCACCAATAACATACACCTAGGTCATTATAGGAATTTCCCATAATTTTAGAATGCATACCAATAATATATTTATACAAATATGGTCTAAAGAAAGCCAAACACCATTTCATACTTGATAATGCTTCCTGTATGATTTTAATATACCAAATAAGCCAAATAAGTCTCTTTTGGACTTTAGGGTTTTTACCATCTAAAATGATTAATCAGGTCAGAAAAAGACATATTTAGAATCTGATTTTGGAAAGTTCGTCAAATATCAAAAGTTTAAAACACTTGATATTATAACATAAAATTCCAGGTCACTGTAAGTCATTTATTTAGCCAAAATGTTAACTCAACAATTTAAAAAAGGCAAAAGGCTTTACTCATTGATAGAGGGAAGATTTAGCTCTTCAAACAATCTTTTCTTTCCCTTCTTTCTCCTGTAGTTTATTTAAAAGGTAAACAAAAATCTTTCATTATCTTTTAATATTACATGAAAATCTTGTTCAAGAGAGAAAGCCAAATTTCATCTTTGCATGAGTGTACTATTGATGTCAAATTCAATTCCTAGTAAAACTTTACAGACAAATTTTCCTAACTTCAATCAGTTTGACCATAATGTAAGATTTTCATAAAGCTTTTATAACCCTTTACAATTTTTTTTGTTAAAGAGTAGACCAATGCTCTAAGAAAACCCTGTTGTGCTTTTATTCCAATGTTCAATTTATGGAAAAACCAAATAATACTCCTTTAACTTTAGCCAATATGTTAACACAGAGAATTGCTTTTACAAGATTAGACTTTCACAAACCTTCCACGACTTGCTTAGACCTTCCGCTTTCTCCTATCTAAGAACAACTCTTTAAACTTCCAAACCAGGCAAAAACACCCTGCCTTCCCATGCCTTCTTATAATCTTTTACCAAACACACATTATACTTTCCTTACACACTGTGCATGTAAAAGTGTTCCTCCAGTAACCTCAGTTACATATGGTACAATGTTAACTCTTAGCAACTTTTATTTTTGGCGAAAAATTTGGTAAGTGATTTTATTTGTGTACCAGGTGTAGAGCTTGGGGCACCAGACAAAAGTGCAGATAAGGTCTGACCCCTTCCAGCATAGCTAGGGGCATGGCTAACTCCATATGTTCCCAGGCCTTACATAGACGCTAATGGCTCCAAAGAAGGTAAATTGAACAATTATCAAAAGTCAGAGAAGTAGTTTAGTAAACCTAGTATCTGACCTGCCTAATTTAGACCAAATGTCTAAATTTCAAAGACATTTTTATTTTACCAATAATCTTTAAAACTGCCTTGCTTTTCCAAAGATGACTAAAGTCATGTGAACAAAAAGGCATTAGCATTTTAATTTTTCTGGCAAAATATTTTATTTAAGTGCTTATTTTTATTTAAGCCAATTAAATAGAGCTCTTTTATATATTTTGGTTGTAAAACATGACTCACAGGGATGGTACAGACCAAGAGAAAATACCCCTCCATGGTCACAAGTCAAGCTCCCAAGGACATAAAACAAGACGAGGGGGAATCCTCATCCAGTTTTTGTTTCAGTGACCTGAAGCAAAGTTGTCAACTGACCAGTTTGCTGGGCCAGCTTGAATAGTGGGCTTACAGGGGTCCTAGGGCCACATTCTATCCTATGATACCCCTTTTATGACAGAATGACACAGAAAGCCAAATTCATAGCACAAAGTACACCAGATTCATCACAGCCTAAGACTAGCCTCACAAATCCTTTTTCCCATTCATCAAAACCTTGCAGAGGAGACAGTGATTTTTACCATTCACTCAACTGGTTTGCATAGAGAGAGAGAGACCAAAGGCCTGACTGGTAAGAAATTCTTACCCTTTTGCCAGCATGCCAGGTTTCTGGGATCCCTTTCCCTAAGCAGCCCTCGTGACCCTGCTCACAGCACCATAACTGTGGGGGCCAAGCCACATCGCAAAGCAAAAATCACCCTTTTCCATTTCATGGAACCATAGGAAAAGCCTCTCAATTTTGCAAGATGCTACACAACAAGTTGCATGGAGGAATCGAATCAACATTTTCCATTCTGGCCAGAACAAAGTGCACTTGACAAAACACAGACACTAGCCACCCCCCTCAGCACCCAATATCGACCTGGCAAGGCTCAAAACTTCCCCCATTGGCCCCTGTAGTGTTTAATCCATTCAAAGTGGGGGCGGAATGACTGCCAACCAGGAGTTTCAACAGGTGGTTTTTGGGCAAGATGGAAGAGTAGATCATCACCCAGAGTGACAGAGAAGACAGACAAGGGAAAGGCGAGAACGAGAGAGAGGAAAGGGAAGGGAGAAGAGTGTTGCCTGTGGTGGGTTGCAGAGGTGAGGAGCTCACAGAAGCCAGAGAAAGACCCATCCATCACAGTGACACTGAATCAAAAGTTCAGACAGCTGCTTGTCAAAAAGGGATCTTTTCCAGCAGTCCCATCAGCTCTCAAGTTTTCCCCTTTGGGGGAGGAAAAAAAGCTCCCCAGGTCCCATGATCCTGCACATGCCTAATCTTGTCACCCACAGCCATCAGCAAAGAGGGCATGGCAAATTAATCCAAATAGAATGGCGGTTAACATCCTGCAGTGCTGAATCCATTTTTAACCAAGAGGGCTCTTACTAAGGGTGGCCTCTAACATTCTGAAGTTGAGCCTTCAACCCAAGTTTGAACAAGCATTCTTGTTCTTTACAAAGAGGGGCCTCTAACTCCCTGTGTCTTAGGAGGGACTCTAACTCTCCTAATTTGGGCCTCTAACCCAATTCCATCCATTACCCTGGATAAAATACCCCACCATGTACCCAAAGTTGGTCAACTGGTGCTGAAGTCTATTTCCCTTGGGTCAGAGGTCTCTCCAGTGTTGTCCCTTCATGGTTTCTCAGCAAGATGTTATCAGAAAGGGGTTCCAGTCCAGGCCCCAAGAGAGGGTTCTTGGATTTTCCACAAGAAAGAATCTGGGGCAAGTCCGCAGAGTAAAGTGAAAGCAAGTTTATGAAGAAAGTAAAGCAATAAAAGAATGGCTACTCCATGGGCACAGCAGCCACAAGGGCTGCTGGTTGGCTATTTTTATGGTTATTTCTCGCTCATATGATAAACAAGGGGTGGATTATTCATGAGTTTTCTGGGAAAGGGGAGGAGATTTCCTTGGAACTGAGGGTTCTTCCCCGTTAGAACATCTAGGGTAACTTCCTGACGTTGCCATGGCATTTGTAAATCATCATGGTGCTGGTGGGAGTGTCTTTCAGCATGCTAATACATTATAATTAGGGTATAATTAGCAGCAAGGACAGCCAGAGGTCACTTTCATTGCCATCCTGGATTTGGAGGGTTTTGACCAGCTTCTTTACTGCATCCTGTTTCATCAGCAGGGTCTCTGTGACCCGTATCTTGTAACCTCCTATCTCATCCTGTGACTAAGAATGCCTAATTTCCTGGGAATGCAGCCCAGCAGGTCTCATTTACCCAGCCCTTATTCAAGATGGTGTTGCTCTGGTTCGAAGGCCTCTGAGAGAGCCACTGGATCTCTCAATTATTGCATACAGTTTTATTTCATTTTATAAAGGTTAAAATAGACAGAATTAAACAATATATTGTTTAGGGATACATACCTATGTGCTAAAATTATAAAGTAAGGCAACAGAATGATTAACACAACATTCAGTATTGTGGCTACCACCTCTTGGGGGTAGCAGGGAGTACAGAACAGGAAGAACCTGGAGAGTTTTAAAGATGCAGGAATAATGTGTTATTTCTTAAGCTGGAAGGCACATGTGGATCTTTTAGAAAATAAAAGATTCAAATATAATTGTCACATGCGTCCATGTGAAGAGATTCCACCAACGGGCCTTGTGTGAGCAACAAGACTGTTTATTTCACCTGGGTGCAAGTGGGCGGAGTCCGAGAAAGGAGTCAGCAAAGAGTAGTGGGATTATCATTAGTTCTTATAGGTTTGGGATAGGTGGTGGAGTTAGGAGCAATTTTTTGTGGGCAGGGGGTGGATCTCACAAAGTACATTCTCAAGGGTGGGAAAAATATTACAAAGTACCTTCTTAAGGGTGAGGGAATATCACGAAGTACATTATCCTAAGGGTGGGGAGGGTGTATTGTCATAAGGTCAATTGATCAGTGAGGGTGGGGCAGGAACAGATCACAATGGTGGAATGTCATCTTTTGTGGTTCTTCAGTTGCTTCAGGCCATCTGGATGTATATGTGCAGGTCACAGGGGATATGATGGCTTAGCTTGGGCTCAGAGGCCTGACAATAATGAGTATTATGTGAGACATGGTTGGGACTCAGTTTAGCATGACAAGAAACATTAATGAATTCAAGAAAGGTTTGTCTCCTCTCCAAAATCAAAAACCAAAAGTGCATAACAGTGTTTAGCACATTTCTATTTAGTTAAAGGTAATTTAAGATACGTGTTTATGACTTGTTTGGATACCATATAACATCTAGTGATCGCCTCTGGGCAGGGAATACAGAACGGCAATGGGAGGCTTATTTTTCATTGCGTACCATTTATATAATTTGAATTCCTCCTCTTGTGTATCTTTTACTGAACGGAAGGTTTTGAGAGAGCTGGGGGAAGTAGCTGGTATCAAGCAGGAAAGCTGAAGGTGCAGATGGGCAGGGGGCTGGTGCACCCTTCTGCCAAGCTCTCCTGCCAGAGGCTCCACGGCCACCAGGCCTTTCTCAGAACTTTGGGATGGAGGAGGGCGGGGCCGGGGAAGCCTTTTAACAGAGTGCCCTAAAATATCTCGGGGGCTAGGGCTACGGAGGGGAAAGGAGAAATCAGAGACCCTTGTTTGGCAGGTTTGTCAACTGCAGATTTTTTGCAGGGAAACACCCCACCGTCCCCACCCCAGGACACTACAGCCTTAGACCTCCCTGATCCTGGCTTTGGCAACTGGTCAGCAGCACTCTGGAGGCGGCTGTTTTGAAGGGCCAAGGAGAGGGGCTGCCTGAGAATGAGGATGGCAGAAAGGGGCCCACGGTTTTCCGCCTCCCAAGACTACGAGGGTCGGGAGGCCCATGTAAGGGGGCCCTCGCTCGGAGAATGAGAACTTCCCTCCCTAGTAGCCTTCACCCCCCTCAATGCCTCCCACCCCAAAAGATCTGCTGGGCCCACGTTCCAGCGCAACGCGGTGGAAGACGGCCCTCATGTGCCAGTGCGGACCCTCGCGCCCCTCCAGCCTGCAGCCAGCCGGCCGCTCCTCCAGCGCGCAGGCGCAGGACGGAAAAAAAAAACACAAAAAAACAACAAAAAAAAAACCCAAAAAAACACAAACCACAGCTCCCAGCAGCCCTCGCGCCGTCCGCGCGCAGCCGCAGAGCAGAGGCTGCCGGGAACGCGGGCCCAGAGGCGGGGCGAGCGCGCGCGGGGCGGAAGTCGGCCACCTTCCTCCGTCCCGGCCGTTAGCCCAGCCAAGCCCAGCCAAGCCCAGCCAAGCCCCGCCGATCGCGGGCACCGGAGCCAGCCCCGCAGCGGGTGAGTGACTGCGCCCGCGGCCGCCGGCGCCCTGCCCCAGCCACGGGCCCGGACCCCCGTCCCGGAGCCTGCCGCCGCCCTCCGACCCTGCCGCGTCCCGCCCCCTGACCCGTCAGGCCCCCTTCCCGTCCCACCCGTGCGGGATCTCTGCCCCCTGACTCGCAGACTGGGCTGGGACTCTGCCCTCTGACCTGTGGGAAAGTCCCCTTCTTCCGACAGGCGGTGGACACCACCCCCTCTGACTTTTGGGACACCTCATCCCTGGGACTAGCGTGGGGACCATTACCCTCTGGTTAGTGTGGGCACCCCTCCTCTCTAATTAGTGTGGGGACCATTCCCCTCTGATTAGTGTGGGCACCTCCCCCCTCTGATTATGTGACTCCTCCCCGCTCTGATTAGTGTGGGACACCCCCCTTCTAATTAGTTTGGGGACCATCCCCCTCTGATTACTGTGGGGCACCTCCCCGCTCTGATTAGTGTGGGGACCACCCCCCTCTGATTCATGTGGGGCACCTCCCCCTCTGGTTAGTGTGGGGACCATCCCCCTCTGATTAGTGTGGGACGCCTCCCCGCTCTGGCTAGTGTGGGGCACCCCTCCTGGGAATGACCCCCTCCCACCACCTTCTGACTTCAAATACCCCTCCTCTGGTCTATGCAGGGTCTCCTTGGACTGATAAGGGAATTTTCTCCCTCTGACTGGCACTTGGTCAAACCTGTAACAGGCCAACCTTCCCCACCCCATCCCAGTCCTTGCTCTCCCTGCCCTCATCCAATTTGGAGCCTTCCTCCAGGCACACAGCTCACTCTCATCTTCCTGCATGCAAATGATTCGCCCTCCCCACCATACCTGTCTCACACCCCTACTGCCATCCGGTCTGGATTCTCTCATCCTTGGAGACTGGTACCTCCTTGCCAGTCCATGTTGCCTGGTGCCTTTGCTTCTCCCTCCGAATGGTCTTTCCCTTGCCCTCTGTGTACCCTAGGCTTGGCACAGAGCACCTGTGACCACTCTTCCATCAGCAGACACATCTCTCTCCCAAACACCTTTCCCCCTTAGTGACCCCTGGAAAAGCCGTCTCTTAGTGTCCCAGCTCCATTTCTTATTTTATTCTTGAGGTTGTATGCCCTATGGCCTTTCCTACCACATTTTCAACAAAGCAGAGGTTTGGAAATGTGAGGCTCTTGGTGTCAAGTGAATCCGGCTAGCTCTCCAGTGTAAGGGCCCAAACTTGAAACAAGTGTCAGGTCGTAGAAGGCTCCTAAAAGGAAGCGGGTGCCGCAGCCCTTCAGGATCCGCTATCTCCCAGCTCTTCCTCCCTCTCCCTCTGAGGAGCTTTGCTGAGAAAGGTCCCTCCAGGCCTGGACCACAGACCCTCCCTGCAGCCCCACCGCAGGCCTCTCAGCAGGACAGTCTGGCTGGAGCCTGTGGAACGGCAGTGGGGCTCCTCCCAGGTGCTCCTCCCTGCTGGCCTCAATGAGCCCTCTATCCTAGCACACGCCCCTGCTGAAAGGCACACTGAAGGAGCCAACCCTCTCCCCTCTGGACGTGGCAAGGGTTTCCTGTCGGGGCAGCCCCAGGCATCTTCACGGCCAGGACTCAGGTGAAGCATGGATTTGTCCAGGCACTGTCATGAGGCCACCGCAGCAGTGTGGGGACCAACTTCTAGTGTCACTTTTTCATGTCCAAATTAACGTGATCACAAAAGAGAATGACATGTCACAAGGTGGTAGAGGGAACCCTCCACTCGCAGCGGGATAGGACCCCTGGACCCTGGGACACCTCGCTGGAGGGGCACATCTGAGGCTTGACGCTTCTGATTGCCAGAGGTCTCCTTTCTTCCCCTTAGGCTATAACCATATTTTCCTAGCCCATGGCAGCTTAGTAAATGTGTTGGTGTAAAAGCTCTTGGTACTCCAGAACGTTTTCACTCACCCGTCACTGTGCACCTGGTCTGCAGGACCCCCCTGAGCTGCAGAGTACGTGAGGAGACCCAGGGTGTGGTAGCAGCAGTTCTCCTGGCCCTGTGGGTGTTTTTACCCTGCCACCTGGATGTGGCTTTCGAGGTGTGTGTGCCTGTGCAGGCTCCCCCAAGTACATATGGCCCGTCCTCGGAGTCTCGGTACTTTCTGGCAACCGTATAGGTAGATAGGTAGATGTATAAATGCTGTAGTGTTTTCTCTTTCAAAAACAGAAGATCTGAGACTTGGAACTATTGTCCAGGTCCTGAAATGGGTCAGTACTATCACAAGGAGGTCATTTTTCTATTGTTTGTTGAATGGTACCAGGGATGCCAAGGACACACAGCATTCATTCTTTTCACTCAGTGCACTCTGAACTATCGAGATTTCCTGGAAAGCTCTTATGAAATGCCAATATCAAGGGAATTAGAAACTTTTATATTAATTCTTAAGAATGTTCATGTTGATTTTCCTTTTACTTTAATCAAGATGGTTAATTAGGAAAAAATCATCCTGGCAGTAGAGAAGTCTGTTTGGGGAGACGTTCTGTTTTTTGTTTTGGACCCTGCTCGTCTTTGTCATGCGTGCAGTGGTCATGTGGAGCGCCTGGTTCCCAGGCAGGACGCTGCTCCCCGCGTTCCTCTGGGATGGTTTTATGGGAAGTGAAGAAGGCGTTGAAGTCTGGCTTAAGACTTAAGACAGTGCGTGATGCCACCATGTGGGAGTGGGGCAGAGGTGAGACTGGGACCCCCCAGAATGGCTCTGAGGGTGTTGCCGGGTTGAGTGAAAGTCCTGGCGATTCGGCCTTTGTGTCCCGGGAGCCGAGCCTGGAGGAAAGCGTGAGGAGAGAAGGTGGCAGTAAGCAGGTGGGCTCGTGCAGGTGCCACCGCGGTGTGGAAGGCAGCCCTGATCCAGGTCCATGGGGCGATGATCCCATCCCGTTATTTTCACACACTCTGGAAAAGGACACCTTCCCAGATGTGTGGTGCCATTTGGAATGTGCCTTTCAACTGAGAAGGTCGCCTTTTGGCTAAAATTCCTCCAGGTGTAACATCGATGATACAAATTAAGCAGACACAGCCTCTTTACAAGGCAGTAACTGCAAACCGTAGAGGGTTCTGAAGCTGTGCGCCCACACCATAGACAGTGACTGGTCCTGGCCCTTGGAAAAACCTGGAGGCTCTTTCCCCTCTTCCTCCTGTGATTGGTGGAGGAACAGCTCCCCGAGATGTCCACGTCCTACCTTCTGAGCCTGTGAATATGTTACATTACATGGCAAAGGGGAATTAAGGTTGCTGATCAGCCGGCCTTAAAGTAGTGAGATGATCCTGGATTTTCCCAGGGAGCCCAGTGTAATCACAGGGTCCTTAAGAACAGAAGAGGGAAGCAGAAGAGCCGGAGGGAGATGATGGCCAAGAGCCTTGGGGAAGTGCAGTGGGCGGGCTTTGGAGGGGGAGGAGGGGCCACCAGGCAGGGAATGTGGGTGCCTCCAGAAGCTGGAAGAGGCATGAGAATGGAGCCATGGCCCGTGTGAGGCTTCTGTCCCACAGGACGGTGCCTGCTGCCTGCCGTGTGCTGGATACTAGGGGCGGGGACAGGTGCAGAAGTCAGTCAGATCCTGAGCTTGACCTTTAAGGAGCGTGCTGTCTGTGGAGGCAGGATGGCCTAACCAGACTCCCTGTGACCTTCTTCCTTTCTGGTTTCCTTGTACTGCCCACCCCCGAGGAGATTTGCCGTGGAATTTGCAGGTACAATAGTTAGCCTTGCAAGTGCCAAAGCAGGAATCAGGTAACGTTTTCAAGGAGTCTGGCCCATAGCAGGCATTAATAAGTGTTTCTTTGAGATGCGCCACCCGTGTTCTCTCAGGCGCTGTTAGCATGAGTGTGTGAAGGCCTTGGCTTCTGCCTTGGCTGTGCTGAAGAGTCTGTAGGTCAGTGGGGTTTGCTCTTTACCATGGCAGTGAACACAGTGGGCACTCTGAGGCCTGCCTGCCTGCTCTCTGGGTGTGGGAAGGGAAAGGAAGGTAGCTCTTCTCCAGAGATAAGGGGTTGGCGCACCTGCCACCTGCCTACCCGTCCCTTCCAAGGAGGTGGGGGCTAGGATGTGGCGGCCTCTTAACAGGATGATGTGGCTTCCTGCCCTGCCTGGATCCTGAAAGGGAGGAGCCTGGCAGCCCTCAGTAAACCTGCTGGTTCTGCCACCTGTCCTATTCCACTCCTGCAGGAAGCTGGAGAAACAAACCCTCTTGGCTGTCTGCTGTCCAGGGAGTCGCCACTCCCTTCATTATAGCCTTGCTCAGAGTGCAGCGGCAGGCCTGGGGATGGCCTCGGGAGGTAGGTGGCCCCTGAGCCCTTCTCCTGGGAAAGGGCAGCAGCAGGGAGACGCCTCCTGGGTGTGCACAGAGAAAAGCACAGTTTCCCTAACTCCCCGCTCCCTAACTCCTCGCTCTTTAACTCTCACCTCCCTAACTCCCCCCTCCCTAACTCCCTTCTCCCTAACTCCCCTCTCCCTAACTCCCTTCCCTAACTCCCCTCTCCTTAACTCCTCTCCCTAACTCCCCCCTCCCTAAATCCCCTCTCCCTAACTCCCTTCTCCCTAACCCCCCTCTCCCTAACTCCCCTCCCTAACTCCCCCTTCCCTAACCCCCCTCTCCCTAGCTCCCCTCTCCCTAACTCCCTTCTCCCTAACTCCCCTCCCTAACTCCCCTCTCCCTAACCCCCCTCTCCCTAACTCCCATCTCCCTAACTCCCCCCTCCCTAACTCCTTGCTCCATAACTCCCCCCCAGCTCCCCTCTCCCTAACTCCCCTCCCTAACTCCCCTCTCCTTAACTCCTCTCCCTAACTCCCCCCTCCCTAAATCCCCTCTCCCTAACTCCCCTCCCTAACTCCCCTCCCTAACTCCCCCTTCCCTAACCCCCCTCTCCCTAGCTCCCCTCTCCCTAACTCCCTTCTCCCTAACTCCCCTCCCTAACTCCCCTCTCCCTAACCCCCCTCTCCCTAACTCCCATCTCCCTAACTCCCCCCTCCCTAACTCCTTGCTCCATAACTCCCCCCCAGCTCCCCTCTCCCTAACTCCCCTCTCCCTAACTCCCCTCCCTAACTCCCCTCTCCTTAACTCCTCTCCCTAACTCCCCCCTCCCTAACTCCCCTCTCCCTAACTCCCCTCCCTAACTCCCTTCTCCCTAACCCCCCTCTCCCTAACTCCCCCCTCCCTAACTCCCCTCTCCCTAACTCCCCTCCCTAACTCCCCTCTCCTTAACTCCTCTCCCTAACTCCCCCCTCCCTAACTCCCCTCTCCCTAACTCCCCTCCCTAACTCCCTTCTCCCTAACCCCCCTCTCCCTAACCCCCCTCTCCCTAACTCCCCTCCCTAACCTCCCTCTCCCTAACTCCCCTCTCCCTAACTCCCCTCCCTAACTCCCCCCTCCCTAACTCCTCTCCCTAACTGTCCTCTCCCTAGCTCCCCTCTCCCTAACTCTCCTCTCCCTAACTCCCCTCCCTAACCTCCCTCTCCCTAACTCCCCTCTCCCTAACCCCCCTCTCCCTAACACCCCTCCCTAACTCCCCCCCAACTCCTCTCCCTAACTCCCCTCTCCCTAACTCCCCTCCCTAACTCCCCTCCCTAACTCCCCTCTCCCTAACTCCCCCTCCCTAACTCCCCACTCACTAACTCCCCTCTCCCTAACTCCCCTCTTCCTAACTCCCCTCCCCAATTCCCCCCTCCCTAACTCCCCCCCAACTCCCTACTCCCTAACTCCCCGCTCCCTAACTCCCAGCTCCCTCACTGGTGGCTCCCCTGCGCTCTGGGAGTGTCCTGTGGGATGGACAGATGCCTCCGTGGTGCCTTGCAAGCCTTGCAGGTGGTTATTCCTCCTGTGAGTGCTCCTGTGAGTGCTCTCCAGGCAGCAGCAGGGGTCCTGTCCCTGTAGGCCCCTGAGTCTGGGAGATAGCTGGTTTGCAGCCCCACTGAACAGGAGAGCCTGGCTGGCCACAGAACCCATGACTTTGCTGTAGTCCCTGAGTCCTCTTGTTGCTGATTATCTAAAATCAAACCATTACTCTGCAGGCACTGGGTTTGTCAATCTTTTCACAATAAAGCGAGCATTTAAACTGCTTAAGCTTTGAGGGGTGTAGGGAGAAGCCTCACACGAGCCCCTTCTGGAAAGGACTTTGTCCATCTTGTGTCTTACCCTCGCCGGTTCATTTCTGTTGTTTCTGGCTGGCAACAAACAAAAGAGCCCCCCCACCCCCCACCCCCGAAAAAGAACCCAGCTTTTTAAAGAACATGCAAACTCTTGCCTGCAGCAGGCGCCGGCAGCCAGGCACCCCGGCAGCCAGTGGTAGCTCATACACCAGCATGGGCTGTGGCAAAGGCATCTGATTTGAAATTTTTTTGCAAAATAAAATAATTCCTTGGGGTCCTGAAGGAGAGATGAAGCCCAAGGGAAGGTGTTCTGGTGCTGAAGTTAAAGGAATTTTCTGGAAGGTACACAGAGTTCTCTTGTCACTAGAAGCAGTCCCTTGTTTAACCAAAGGTGGCTGAGGCCCTGGCGTCTCTGCCCCTCTGTTAGCTCTGGGGAATCAGCGTGACCTCGAGGTAACACTGACCACACGGGACTGTTCAAAGTCTGTCTCCCCAACTGTGCTGAGCTCCTGGAGGAAAGGCCCCTGCCTCCGTCACACTGATTCCCCAGAGGGGCAGAGACGCCGGGACTCAGACACCTCTGGTTCCATGTGGTCAGAGGACATGAGCCTCCCGGGTGGGGAGCGTGTGCCACGGTGTAGATGCCAGGAGTCTGGAATAGGAAGGCGTGCAGTGTTGCACAGCGACCTGGGAGAGGTCCTGCTCCTGGGAGTGCAGGGGGAAAAACCCACTGAGGCTTTCTCTGCAGGCTGAGACGTTTGTCCTTCAGATGGAAGGCATTGGGATCTACTAGACTTGGAATCCAGACTTGCTTTTTGGAAAAATTATTCTGTCAGTTTTGTGGAGGGTGATTTGAGATGGTCTTGACCAGGGATCTGTCGAGGGACAGGGAGTCAGTATTTTCAGCCTCCACAGTCTGTTGCGACCACTCAACGGTGCAGCCAGACTCAGCATGCCAGGGAGGAGTCCTAGCTGGCTTTAATCAGCCACATCTACACACCAGGACGTGACTACACAGCAGGCCGCGTCTACGCAGGCCGCGTCTACACACCAGGCAGAGTCTACACACCAAGCTGCAACCACATACCAGGCCACACAGGCCGCATCTACACACTAGGCGGGAGACTGCATTTGGCCCACGGGTGGTAGTTTGCAACCCTCCCAGCAGGCGAGAGGGTACTTGTAGAGTGAGTGAGAAGCAGTAGCAGTCAGCCCCTGTGCACAGTTCTCTAACCCCATCAGCATGGCTCCGGGAAGTAAACTGAGGCCAAGGGAAGTCCCTTGGCTGAGCCCAGATGGTCTATATCAGGGGTGTCCAATCTTTTGGCTTCCCTGGGCCACATTGGAAGAAGAATTGTCTTGGGCCACACATAAAATCCATTGATAGCTGATGAGCTTAACAAAAAATCTCATCTCATCATGTTTTAAGAAAGTTTACGAATTTGTGTTGGACCACATGTTGGACAAGCTTGGTCTAGATCATTAGACCAAGACTCTGAGAGTCATCAGGGTGAGATGGAACTGGAGCCGAGGCTGTGTGGATGGGGAGAAGGGAAGCGAGTCTCAAGCTGGGTGGGACACGTGGGGCTGGGGAGGGAGGAGGGTTAGGACGAATTGCTTCCTGGGATGGCTCCTGAGGGCCGGCACTGCCAGGACAGGGAGTTCCTGAGGAGGACCTGGTTTGCGGTGCCTGTGGGTATCGGATGAGGAGGCTCAGAGACTAGGTCAGGCTAGAAAGGCGTGGGGGTCTTCACCTTAGAGGGCAGGCCCTGGGAGAGGTCAGTGGGCTGCCAGCAGTGGGGGCCGAGAAGACCTGCCTGGGAGGAGGCCCACAGAGAGTGCCCCCCTGCCTCGAGGAGGGACACTGACAATGTGCTCACTGGGTTTGCCACTGGTGAAGGCTTCAGGTGGCTGCTTCTGAGGATTAGCCAGAGGGAAGGAGAGGGTGTAGGTGTGGGTGCTCTTGTACCATGGTGGGCGAGGGGGCCTGGGCGGGGGTGGGAAGGGACAGAGGTGCCGGGGACTCAGGGAAGGGTTTTCCTTCATTAACAGATTCGCCATTTATTCAGCAGCAGTTGAGTGTCTGTGGGAGTGTGGGGTCTGGAGGTAAAATGGTGACAAGGTGGGCGACTTGGGGCAGCCTGTGGATGGAAGGGAGGAACCAGAAGAGCAGGTGCCCGGCGGCTGGGGGGACTGACCTGAGTGGCAGGTGTGAGCCCCACCCAGGGGCCTCGGCTGCTGAAGTTGGCCACAGAGTGGTCTCCTGGGAGAAGTGGGCCGGAGATTTGACAGGAATGGTGAAGGTGAGGACAGTGGCTCTCCGGAGTGCTGAGGGAGTTGAACAGGGAAGAACATGGGGGTTCCAGGGGCTGGTGACGACGACACCTCACGATGTCTGACAGCAGTCTATGCAGGCACCGTTGTTCTGTGCTGGCAAGCACCGTCTTCCCGGGCCTGCAGCTCAGATGTGGCAGCTGAGCAGCTCGATCTTTGGGGTGCTTGATCCAGGTTGTGGGTTCATAATATGCCTAAGGTGGGGCCCCCGGTAGAGTGCAGAGGGGCTGTTGAAGAAGTGGCTAATGGCTCACCTGGCATCTCTTTCCCTTCAGCCAATGCGTGCAGACTGTCTGCTCCCTGCCTGGCAGTGCGTCAGGTGCTGGGGCTGTGACAGTGGCCAGATCCCTGCCCCAGGAGCAGAAATAATCACCTAGCCAGGCAGGGACGGTGGGAGAGCCGGAGCGGCATGGGAGGGAGGGCGAGTGGGCAAGTCTTCCCAGGGAGCTGATGCCCCGTAGGAGAGACCGAGCTGCTGGTGCGAAGAGCAGGCCCGACTGTTCCAGGCAGGGGGAACTGCAGGCTCTGCCAGGGCCAGTGTGGTCAGGGGACAGAAGGAGGTCTATGTAGCCAGCCGGCAGGCAGAGGAGATGGTACAGTGTGAGGGCTGAGCGGGAGCAGAGTGGGTTCACCCCAGGACCTGAGGAAGCCGCTGAAGCTGGGAGTGTGCCATCTGATGGATGCTACTTCATGGCAGGTGGCGAGGGAGTGTCAGGGGATGTTGGTGGGGGGCAGCTGGCAGGGCAACTTCATGGCGGGGGGTATGGGAGTGTCAGGGGCGGAGAGGCAGGAGGGGTGGAGGGAGGCAGCCGGCATGGCATGGTGAGGAAGGGCCATGGAAGAGGACAGAACCTGTCCACGGAGTCAATGCTGAGGAAGGAAGACGGAGGATGAGGCCAGTCAGGTTTTTCGTGGTGGCAGTGCCTTATGTTTTTATCGAAGTGTATATTCACACAGAAAAGCACATCTCCCAGGATCCTGAGAGAGCTTGAACCAGACCACTGTGGACACGGTGGCCACCCGTCACCACTACCCTTCCCAAGGGGAGACGAGGAGCAAGTAGGCTTGAGGGAAAAGCTGCACAGGACTCGTGTCTTGAAATGTCTAAGACGCATGTCAGAAATGCAGGTAAGGGGGGGTGCGGGTGCTCGCACCTGTGATCCCAGCACTTTGGGAGGCTGAGGCAGGAGGATCACTTGAGCCCAGGAGTTCAAGACTGGCCTGGACAATATAACGAGGCCTCATCTCTATAAAAAAAATTAAAAATTAGCTGTGCCCCAGGTGTGTTGGCTCACACCTGTAATCCTGGCACTTTGGGAGGCCAAGGCAGGTGGATCACCTGAGGTCAGGAGTTCAAGACCAGCCTGACCAACATGGAGAAACTGCATCTCTACTAAAAATACAAAATTAGACGGGCGTGGTGGTGCATGCCTGTAATCCCAGCTACTAGGGAATCTGAGGCAGGAGAATCACTTGAACCCAGGAGGCGGAGGTTGCAGTGAGCCGAGATCGTGCCATTGCACTCCAGCCTAGGCAATAAGAGGAAAACTCTGTCTCCAAAAAAAAAAAAAAAAAAAAAAAAAAATTCGCTGTGCGTGGTGGCACACGCCTGTAGTCCCAGCTACTTGGGAGGCTGAGGTGGGAGGATCGCTTGAGCCTCAGAGGTTGAGGCTGCAGTGAGCGTGATCACTGTTGCCTGGGCAACAGAGCGAGGCCCTATCTCAGAAAAACAAAAAAAGAAATGTAGGCGGGATTGGCATAGCAGGTAAGATAGAGTAATTCGAGCTCAGTGGAGACTTCTTGGGCCTGGCTGGGGTTTTGAGGCCTTGGGACTAGAAAAGGGGCAGGGCCTGGATGCAGTCAGAGGAGGATGTCCAGCACGGGGAACCCCAGCCCTGCTGCCGGGAAGGCCCCGGTGATCAGCCCTGTGACCACCTCAGGGGGTCCTGAGAGGCCTGCCCCTTAAAGGGAGCATGGAGTCTTCCCTGCGGGCCTGGAGGAACTGCTGGCAGCCCCCCTGTGCTGTTAGGAGGATCACTCTGAGCAGCAGGTTCCACGTATGTGCCTTGTTCACTCCTTGAACCTCACCCTGGGGCTAAAACCTAGGACTGTCCGAAAGTTCCATGTGGAATTGTCACCCTGTTTTTGTATCTTCTCAGCCCAGCAGGCTGCGGCGTGGAGAAGGGGGTGTCTCTGGTGGGGGTGTCTGTTGCTGGCTGCCGTGCACCAGGGCCTCGTGGTCCACATATTTGGGGCCCAGAATTGCACGGAGCCACTGGAGTCCCCAAGCCCTTCCCAGGCGCCCTGGCAGGGAGGACAGCGTCTGCCCATAAAGGCACATGTTTGCTGCTTTGTTGTTTTCTCAAGGAGGACCCAGCCAGGGAAGCTTCTCAGGCCGGGATTCACTGAGCTATAGTTGGAGGGCAGAGATATGGAACCTCTGCCCAGGGCCAGTGTTCTCGATCGAAGCACCGGGAGCTGTCTCCCCACGCCCCACTGTGGCACTTGGCGGCTGTCCAGAGACAGGCAGCTCTCACCAAGGCGGCGCAGACGTGGGCCTGGTGCCCCATGGCTGCACTGAGCCATCATGCTGTATGCCCGGGAAGTGGGCTTGGCGACAGCAGTGAAGGGCTGCAGTTCCTGGCCGCCACCAGCACCCTGACCCTGGGGCTCTGCCACAGAGCCACGCCTGGGGTGGAGGGTGAGCTGGGAGAGGCCTGCGGCCGAGCC
The DNA here is from genome assembly GCF_000001405.40 of Homo sapiens. NCBI lineage: Eukaryota > Metazoa > Chordata > Mammalia > Primates > Hominidae > Homo > Homo sapiens. The sequence goes on along the minus strand of NC_000017.11, from coordinate 78,998,497 downwards.
AGGCCCCGCAGTGAGCCGAGCAGTTCTTTGGCGCCAAGGCACAGACACGCTGGCCTCCAGGCAGTCAGGGCAGCGCAGACTCTGGTCCCTGCAGTCATTTGCATTAATAGAAAGGCGCCAGGGGACAGACACTGCCAAAAACAACAACAGATACGAAAAAGAAGGAGTGTTTTTATTTGGTTTGGATGTGTTTGGTATTCCAATGCTGCAGGAGCCTAACCCAGAGGAAGTGGAGACTCCTTTACTGCACATCTGTCTGCTCCAGGCCAGGCACTGTTCTAGGAGCCAGGATACAGAGGTGGAGACAGAAACAAACAAACCGATAACTGTATACAATACTCTAACGTCAGGTGGGGACAAGGGCCAAGGACCCAGGGACGGAGGGTGATGTCTGCAGCAGGGCAGTCAGGGAGGGCTTCCTGGATGAGGTGGCATTTGAGTAAAATACAGACCTGTACCCTGTCTATGATCCTATCCCACTTCACCCCGTCAGCCTTCCCCTCCCACCTGACTCTCCTGCGCTTCTCTCTTTAGAGGGACCACAGAGCACCAGCCTGCATGGAACTTCCTTCCTCACTCAGCTTCCCACGTTGCCAGCTGGGACAGGGGAGATGGAGTAATTTTGCTGTGGAAAGACTTCACGTCTTGCCGAATGAAAGTAAGCAAAGATACTGCTAGAGTCGGGAATCTAGAGTCGGGAATTCATTAAGCCAAGGGAGTAAGAATGGCCACAGAGTAGTGAAATACTGTTTCTTCTGGAAAAGTCAGCCTCCAGCGCCTGCAGCTTCCGGAACTAAGATGTGACTGGGCTTGCGGAGGCGCTGACTCCTCTCCTCCCTCCCTGGCTGTGCAGGTCCCGCCTGTCTGTCACGCTGATGCCCGTGCAGCTGTCTGAGCACCCGGAATGGAATGAGTCTATGCACTCCCTCCGGATCAGTGTGGGGGGCCTTCCTGTGCTGGCGTCCATGACCAAGGCCGCGGACCCCCGCTTCCGCCCCCGCTGGAAGGTGATCCTGACGTTCTTTGTGGGTGCTGCCATCCTCTGGCTGCTCTGCTCCCACCGCCCGGCCCCCGGCAGGCCCCCCACCCACAATGCACACAACTGGAGGCTCGGCCAGGCGCCCGCCAACTGGTACAATGACACCTACCCCCTGTCTCCCCCACAAAGGACACCGGCTGGGATTCGGTATCGAATCGCAGTTATCGCAGACCTGGACACAGAGTCAAGGGCCCAAGAGGAAAACACCTGGTTCAGTTACCTGAAAAAGGGCTACCTGACCCTGTCAGACAGTGGGGACAAGGTGGCCGTGGAATGGGACAAAGACCATGGGGTCCTGGAGTCCCACCTGGCGGAGAAGGGGAGAGGCATGGAGCTATCCGACCTGATTGTTTTCAATGGGAAACTCTACTCCGTGGATGACCGGACGGGGGTCGTCTACCAGATCGAAGGCAGCAAAGCCGTGCCCTGGGTGATTCTGTCCGACGGCGACGGCACCGTGGAGAAAGGTAACTGGACCCTGAGGTTTTATGGAGGTGTGGGTGGGGAGTGGGAGCTCAGGGCCTGGCTGGCAAACACAGGCACATGGTAAAGAATTCACACACCTAGAAGCCAGGGATGTGGTGAGGGAGCACGTCTCCCTCTTGCTCTGACCTGCGGCCCCCTTACCCTTAGCCAGGAGCATAGCCTACTGTCACTTCACACTGAGCAGTTTCTAGGAGGAAGAGCTTATCGCTAGAGGCCTGTGGGAGACGTGGGGAATCTCTCCAAGATGTTTTCGGCTGTATCCGCTGCTGCTCTCGGAGCCTCTGGGAACACGCCCTTTTTACACCTTCAAAGGTTCTCAAGACCACGCTAGGATGTGCCTACCAGGAGCCTTGCCCTGAAAGCCATGGGGACAGATGGTTCTCACTCAAAACCCAGACTTTGGTTTCATGTTACTGAAGGGTAAACTGCTGCCCAGCCCTCCTCTCCCTGAACCCCAGCAGGGGGAGGGCATGTGTGAGCTGTGCCAACCCCCCTGGAGTGGAGCCTGATGCCAGCCTTTTTGTTCACCAGAAAGGAGGTGCTGCTTCCACAGGGCAGGGACAGGCTTTGGGGAGGCACGGTGGCCAGTGTCTTCCTCCAGAGAGGAGCTGGGGAGGTGCCAAGGACGCTGGCAGAGGAGCTGCCAGCTCCTCTGAGCTCCGTTTGTCTGAGCTGGCGGTGGATCCCCACCTTCTAGAAAGCTAAATGCCACCGCAGGCTTTCTGAGGTCAAGGAGGAACTGCACTAAACAACGGCCCACACAGTTCATGGCCGGCCAGGCCCTCCCCACACCCGGTGATAAAATCTTCAGTGTTTGCCCAGGGCTGGGCAGGGGACGGACCTCACCTGAGGTATCAACTGAGGCGTTGGTCGCCTACTTCCTGCCTCGCACTTGTCAGGGTTTTAGGCAACCCTAGTGTAGTTCTGTCCTTCCCTTGGATAGGGAGGAAAGCGGGGTACAGGGAGCTCTGGGGTTGGGCTGTACTCAGGTCATCCGGGAGGGATGGAAGACCCTGGCATGGAGAATGTCTCATCGCACAAGCAGACCAGGAGACCGCAGGTCCCTCCAGGGCCCTGCAGAGAAGCTACTACAGTCTCGGGCAGTTCAGAGGGCACAGCTCCAGCTCTCAGGGGCAAGAAGCTGGCAAAATTTGGGGAAAGCAAACAGAAGTTAGAACACCAGGGTGTAGGGATGATAAGAATACACGGTAGAACACAGGCTCCCACACAGCCTGAACTGTGGCAGCCTTCAAAGTTAGGCTTATTTTAAATAAATCAGTTTAAAAAAAGCAAAAACAGCTTCTGAACAAATCCATTGAAAGGAAGACTGGGAGCCCCAGCACCAAGCCCCTCTCCGGCCACTGGAGTTAGAGTGATGCTCGGTGAGACCTCAGGTGTGGCCGAGGGCAGCACCCGCACTCCCCTGGGACACACGTGCCCCTTCAGAGTGCTGTCACTTTTCAGCTTTTCTAGCCTTTAAGGATAATCCTAAGGTTGGGGTTACAGCTTGAGGAGCGGGGAGTTGGGGATCAGAGGAGACTTGAGAGTGGTCACTGAACCTTCAGGAGCTGAGGGGAGGGCAGCCGGCCGGCCCTGGGCGGGAGCCAGGTGCGGGCCGGAGGGGAGGCAGGTGTGGAGCCGGGCGGGAGTCAGGTGCGGGGTCTAAGGACAGGTGCGGGGCCGGGTGGGAGCCAGGTGCAGGGGTGCGGCGGGAGCTGGGTGCGGGGCCTAAGGACACTCTGCTTGGCCAGGCTTCAAGGCCGAATGGCTGGCAGTGAAGGACGAGCGTCTGTACGTGGGCGGCCTGGGCAAGGAGTGGACGACCACTACGGGTGATGTGGTGAACGAGAACCCGGAGTGGGTGAAGGTGGTGGGCTACAAGGGCAGCGTGGACCACGAGAACTGGGTGTCCAACTACAACGCCCTGCGGGCTGCTGCCGGCATCCAGCCGCCAGGTAAGAGACGCCTGCCCCAGCCCACAGTGTGGCTTCCACAGCCCAGTCGCTGGGAACCTGCTTCCTCCTGCATTTGCCTCCAAAACCGTTTTTTATTTTAGACATAGTCTTGCTCTGTCACCCCGGTTAGAGTGCAGTGGCACGATCTCAGCTCACTGCAACCTCCACCTCCTGGGTTCAAACGATTTTTCTGCCTCAGCCTCCCCAGTAGCTGGGACTACAGGTGTGCACCACCACGCCCAGCTAATTGTATTTTTAGTGGAGACAGGGTTTCACCATGTTGCCCAGGATGGTCTCGAACTCCTGACTTCGGGTGATCTGGTGATCCACCTGCCTCGGCCTCCCAAAGTGCTGGCATTACGGGCGCGAGCCACCACACCCAGCCTCCAAGGCCGTTTCTTGCTTGATTTTAGTGATTTTGGTTGCCTCTGATGGTGGCTTCCCTCAGGCCAGTGGATTCTGGCGGCAAATGAGCTGTTTTCTCTTTCCTGCCCCACTCGCCCTGGCAGCTGGCCTCCTAGCATCCCAGCCTGTGGCCCGGTTGTCTGCACTGGTGGGTCAGGCCCTGTCCCTACCCCTGGCGCTGGGCCGTGGTGTTCCACACCAACATAGGGCCAGCAGCACTTTGGCCTCCCCCTAGTCAGGATGGAGTAGGCCTTAGGTGCCTGAGGTTCAGGAGGAAGTGACTGAGTCTGTGCCTGGGGCCCCAGACGCTGTCTCCTCTTCCTTGCAGCCTCAAGGCAGCCTCCCCGCCGATGCCTCCCCACATCCAATGGGGGTTTGTTCCCTTTCCTTGGGTTCCTCTGGATCAGCCCCGAGGAGGCTCCGATGAGCCCAAATCCCTGATGCAGCTCACAGGCAGCTCTCGGTGGAACGGGAGGAGGCTTCAAGGGAGCGGGTGCTGCAGGTTCCCTGCATGGGATAACCGAGAACACAGAACCTTCCAGAATCCTGGAGAGCAGGGAGGGGCGGGTTGCTGTGAGCTGGTGGGCCCTGGTGGTCGCAGCCCCTTGCCTGCTACTGCGCACGGCCTGATGGTGTGGGGCTGGGCACACCAGGCCGCATGCGTGTCTGACCCGCGGTCACCCGGTTCCCAGGCTACCTCATCCATGAGTCTGCCTGCTGGAGTGACACGCTGCAGCGCTGGTTCTTCCTGCCGCGCCGCGCCAGCCAGGAGCGCTACAGCGAGAAGGACGACGAGCGCAAGGGCGCCAACCTGCTGCTGAGCGCCTCCCCTGACTTCGGCGACATCGCTGTGAGCCACGTCGGGGCGGTGGTCCCCACTCACGGCTTCTCGTCCTTCAAGTTCATCCCCAACACCGACGACCAGATCATTGTGGCCCTCAAATCCGAGGAGGACAGCGGCAGAGTCGCCTCCTACATCATGGCCTTCACGCTGGACGGGCGCTTCCTGTTGCCGGAGACCAAGATCGGAAGCGTGAAATACGAAGGCATCGAGTTCATTTAACTCAAAACGGAAACACTGAGCAAGGCCATCAGGACTCAGCTTTTATAAAAACAAGAGGAGTGCACTTTTGTTTTGTTTTGTTCTTTTTGGAACTGTGCCTGGGTTGGAGGTCTGGACAGGGAGCCCAGTCCCGGGCCCCATAGTGGTGCGGGCACTGGACCCCCGGGCCCCACGGAGGCCGCGGTCTGAACTGCTTTCCATGCTGCCATCTGGTGGTGATTTCGGTCACTTCAGGCATTGACTCAAGGCCTGCCTAACTGGCTGGGTCGTTTCTTCCATCCGACCTCGTTTCTTTTCTTTCCTATGTTCTTTTGTTCAGTGAATATCCCTAGAGCTCCTACCATATGTCAGGCCCTATGCCTCACCCTGAGAACGCAGTGAGCATGAGGTGGACCTGTTTGCTGGGAACCCCAGGTCACCCCCTTTTCTTCCTACTCTGTGCCTGGAGCATCATGTCCACCCCTGCAGATCCTTGGAAAAGAAAATGTTTATGTTGCAGGGTATTGCATGGTCACGAGTGAGGGCAGGCCCCTGGGGACACATCTGCCCACAGCTGCACAGGCCAGGGCGCAGGCACATCTGTTGGTTCTCAGGCCTCAGATAAAACCATCTCCGCATCATATGGCCAGTGACCGCTTTCTCCCTTCAAGAAAATTCTGTGGCTGTGCAGTACTTTGAAGTTTTAATTATTAACCTGCTTTAATTAAAGCAGTTTCCTTTCTTATAAAGTGGAATCACCAAATCTTATCACACAGAGCACAGTCCTGTAGTTACCCAGCCCGCTCCAGCAGTGCGGGAGATTGTAAGGAAGCGGTGGCGGCTGGTGAAGCAAGTCTCACATGTCGGCGTTCTTGGCCAATGGATACAAAGATAAAGAAAATGTTGCCTTTTTCTAGGAACTGTCAGAAATCCTCATGCCTTTCAAGACTTCTGTGAATGACTTGAATTTTTTATTCCCTGCCTAGGGTCTGTGAACGAGGCCTGTCTCTTCCCTGGGGTTTCTTTCCATGGCCTTTATTTCTCCTCTTCCAGTGGGAGTTTTGCAGGCTCTTCTCTGTGGAAACTTCACGAGCGTTGGCTGGGCCTCGGCTTCGCTGGAGTGTACTCCAGGGTGAAGGCAGAGTGGGATTTGAGACCCAGGTTAGGCACGACCCAGGCTGAGAAGGGACGTTTCCATCATTCACAGTGCCCTCCCCACAGCACTACCTCACCCCGACCCCCACCCTCACTCCTACCCCACCCCGCGATCGTCAGGGGTGCCACGGTGGGCCGGAGGGTGCCGGCTCTGGCTGTCCCTGTGCCGGTCCCTCACAAACCTCTCCCCCTTTGAAACTCAAGCACAGCTGCGAGGAGGGCAGCGAGGAGGGACCCCTCTCTCATGGTTGTCTCTTTCCCCCGCTATGTCATAGGTAGTGGAGGAAGCGAAGGAAGTGAACGCTGAATGTGACGCATTTCTGAAGAGCTCAGCTGTCACCGGGCATAGCCTGGAAGCCCCAAGTCTGTTCTGACTTTGCCTGGCTGTCTCCTTGACCCGCCTCCTAGATCATTGTCCTTGATGTCCAGGCTGGGTCATTTAAAATAGAGATGCAATCAGGAAGGTTGGGGGACTTGGGACTGTGGCTGAATTGAGACCTTGCTGATGTATTCATGTCAGCACCTGAGTCACAGCCCAGGTGCCCGGAAGCAGCCTCTTCGCATAGGCAGTGATTTGCGATTACTTTAAAGCTCACCTTTTTTCTTCCCCTCTCTGTTCGCTGCTGTCAGCATAATGATTGTGTTCCTTCCCTATGGGATCCATCTGTTTTGTAAACAATAAAGCGTCTGAGGGAGTGTAGTTTTCTGTCTCCCGGTCTGTGCTGACTGTTTGCAGAGGCCTGGCCACGAGAGCGCCTGCGCAGGATGCTGGGCATGCGCACGGGAGTCGCCCGCCAGGGCATCCCATCTGGAAACTGCGTCCTCCAGTCCGCCTTGTCCCACTATCTCAAGGCGCTCCAAGAGCACGAGCGCTGTGGTCAGAAAGGTGGGGTCTGAAGCCACTGCAAGCCCGATCCTGGCTCTGTCCCCATCCAGCTGCATGTCCTTAGGCAAATGACCTAACTTTCCTGTGCTTCAGTGTCCTCGTCTGCAAAAGGATGCTCATCGCAGAGCTCATCCCGGGGCTGCAGTGAACGGTAAGTGACTGGGTACGCGCAAGGGGCTTAGAACATCACCTGACGTGTGCTGGGCACCCACGTGCCCGTTTTGTTGCTGCTCATCCCTGGGGAGCCATCTGGATGACTTGGTAAGGAGGCGCTCAGGTGAGAGGTCAGGGCTGAGCTGGTGTCTTTAGTGTGTCAGTGAGTCCACAGGAACAGACGAGGTCGCTCCAAGTGACGCATGGAAGAATCCCCATCACTGAAACCACAGGCGCCAGGGAGGCAGGCACTGGCCAAGAAAGACCTCAACTAGAGACAGGACAGGGGCGGCCAGAGAGGGACAGAAAACCGGGAGAGCGGAATCAGAAAGGGCAATTGCACCCACATCGACCCCTTACCCTTCAGACCCACTCTCCTTCCCCGCCTCCTCCGGGTCCCAGACCCAGTGAACCTCCTCAGTGCCCTCTGGGATGGCCCCTGGGGAGTCCCTGACTCTCTCTGGCACTCGCCTCTCAAGGCAGCCCCCTGGTGCCACTCCCAGTGTCTGGGCTGAGTCCCCTCCCCTGGTCTCTTCTGGCCTGGGAGTGTGACATGGGAGTGACAGCTCCACTGTTAGCAGCTCCAGATGCTACAGCGGCCCCTCGTGCCGCCCGCACGCCCTGCTGTCTCATCCGTGGTAAATGGTCCCTTCACTGAAGCCTCCTTAGATGATCTTCATTCGGGTGTCGTCTTTTCCTGCTGGGAGCCTGACCAAGACAGCGCTGCAGGGAGGCGGCCTCTGCAGAAGGACCAGCGCGGCAGCGGGGTCCCCAGAGAGACTCCATGACTGAGCAGCAAGGAGAACTGGGCGTTCTCGGCGAGGATCCACAGAACAACAGTTCCAGAAAAAGCCAGGGCGCATCGGGCCGCGGCGGGTTGGGATAAGGAACCGCATGTAAGCTCTTGACCATCTGTTTAAGAAGCTGTGACATGCGGGACTCGTGGGGCAGTGACTGCCGGCTCCACACTCATGGGTCCGGCACACAGCTCATCTGCAAATGGAAGACTCTCCAGTCACCTCAACTGGACAAAAAAACGAGATTCAGTTTCTTTCATTCCACGTGTTAATCCTGTATTCCAGTATACTTTTTTTCTTTTCTTTTTTTTATTTTGGGGGGATGGAGTCTTGCTCTGTCTCCCAGGCTGAAGTGCAGGGACACGATCTTGGCTCACTGTAACCTCCATCTCCCAGGTTCAAGCAATTCTTCTGCCTCAGCCTCCCAAGTAGCTGGGATTACAGGCGTGCGCCACCACGCCCGGCTAATTTTTGTGTTTTTAGTAGAGATGGGGTTTCTCCATATTGGCCAGGCTGGTCTCAAACTCCTGATCTCAAGTGATCCATCCGCCTTGACCTCCCAAAGCGTTGGGATTACAGGCGTGAGCCACTGCACCCAGCCATGGTACACTATTTTATTTTATTTTATTATTTTATTTTATTTTATTTATTTTATTTTATTTTATTTATTTTATTTTATTTATTTTATTTTATTTTATTTTAAGACGGAGTCTCGCTCTTTCGCCCAGGCCAGACTGCAGTGGCACTATCTCGGCTCACTGCAAGCTCCGCCTCCCGGGTTCACGCCATTCTCCTGCCTCAGCCTCACGAGTAGCTGGGACTACAGGCTCCCGCCACCGTGCCCGGCAAATTTTTTGTATTTTTAGTAGAGACGGGGTTTCACCATGTTAGCCAGTTTGGTCTCGATCTCCTGACCTTGTGATCTGCCCGCCTCGGCCTCCCAAAGTGCTGGGATTACAGGTGTGAGCCACCGCGCCCGGCCCACGGTACACTTTAAATTGATAAATCTCAAGGTAAGTTATCCCTTCATGCTGTTAAAAGAGTTAAAGCAAAAATAAAATACCGTCACACTGTGAAAACCCCTGGCCCAGATGGCTTCACTTTTGAATTGTACCAAACATGTAAGGGAGAAATAATACGAAAGCAACACAAAATCTTCCATGATTCTGGGAGTTGGGAAACTTTTCCAACTCATTTTATGAGGGCACCACTATACTGATACCAAAACCAGAAAAATACATTACAAAAAAAAAAAATACAGACCAGTATCCCTCATGAACATAGATGTAAAAATCCTGGCCAGGAGCAGTGGCTCACGCCTGTAATCCCAGCACTTTGGGAGGCCGAGGCGGGTAGATCACGAGGTCAGGAGATTGAGAGCATCCTGGCTAACACAGTGAAACCCCATCTCTACTAAAAAATACAAAAAAGTTAGCCGGGCACAGTGGCGGGCACCTGTAGTCCCAGCTACTCGGGAGGCTGAGGCAGGAGAATGGCATGAACCCAGGAGGCAGAGCTTACAGTGAGTCGAGATCGCGCCACTGCACTCCAGCCTGGGTGACAGAGCGAGACTCCGTCTCAAAAAAAAAAAATAAATAAAAATAAAAAATAAAAAAAGAATCCTTAGCACAGATTAGCAAGCCAAATTCAGCAATAATCAAAAATTAGAATGTTACCGGAAAGGGGTCTGATTCAGGTCACCAAGAGAGGGTTCTTGGAGCTCACACAAGAAATAATTCTGGGCACGTCCATAGAGTAAAGTGACAGCAAGTTTATTAAGAAAGTAGGCCAGGTGCGGTGGCTCACGCCTGTAATCCCAACACTTTGGGAGGCTGAGGCAGGCAAATCACGAGATCAGGAGTTGGAGACCAGCCTGACCACATGGTGAAACCCCATCTCTACTAAAAATATAAAAATCAGCTGGGCGTGGCGGTGCATGTCTGTAATCCCAGCTACTCAGGAGGCTGAGGCAGGAGAATCGCTTGAACCTGGGAGATGGAGGTTACAGTGAGCCGAGATCGCGCCACTGCACTCCAGCCTGTGCGATGGAGTGAGACTCCATCTCAAAAAAAAAAGTAAAGGAATAAAGAATAGCAACTCTAAAGGCAGAGTAGCTCCAGGGCTGCTGACTGTCCCTTTTTATGGTTATTTCTTGAGGATATGCTAAACAAGGGGTGGATTCTTCATGCCTCCCGTTTTTAGACCATAGAGGGTAACTTCCTCATGTTGCCATGGCATTTATCATGGTGCTTGCAGGAGCATAGCAGTGAGGACAGCCAGAGGTCACTCTCATCGCCGCTTGATTTTGGTGGGTTTTAGCCGGCTTTACTGCAGCCTGTTTTGTTGTTGTTGTTGTTTTTGAGATGGAGTCTCATTCTGTTGCCCAGGCTGGAGTGCAGTGGCACAATCTCAGCGCACTGCATCCTCCGACTCCCAGGTTCAAGCGATTCTCCTGCCTCAGCCTCCCGAGTAGCTGGGATTACAGTCGTGCGCCACAACACCCTGCTAATTTGTATATTTTTAGTAGAGATGGGGTTTCACCATGTTGGCCAGGCTGGTCTCAAACTCCTGACTTCGCGATTCGCCTGCCTCGGCCTCCCAAAGTGCTGGGATTACAGGTGTGAGCCACTGCGCCCGGCCAGCCTGTTTTATCAGCAAGGTATGACCTGTATCTTGTGCCAACCTTCTGTCTCCAGTGACTAAGAATGCCTTAACCTCCTGGGAATGCAGCCCAGCAGGTCTCAGCCGTAATTTACCCAGACCTGGTTCAAGATGGAGTGGCTCTGGTTCAAACGTCTCTGACAAGAATACTTCACGATAGGTGTGGTTTATTCTAGGAATACAGGGTTAGTTCAGTATTCTGAAATCAATCAATGAAATTCATATGAAGACTAAAAAGGGGCAGGGTGTGGTGGCTCATGCCTGTAATCCCAGCACTTTGGGAGGCTGAGGTGGGCATTTGAGGTCAGGAGTTCGAGACCAGCCTGGCCAACATGGTGAAACCCCGTCTCTACTAAAAACACGAAAAATTAGCTGGGGGTGGTGGGGCGCACCTATAGTCCCAGCTACTTGGGAGGCTGAGGCAGGAGAATCGCTTGAACCTGAGAGGCGGAGGTTGCAGTGAACCGACATCATCCCATTGCTCTCCAGCCTGGGCGACAGAGCGAGACTCCATCTCAAAAAAAAAAAAAAAAAAAAAAAAGACTAAAAAGGGGGAAAAGCATGATAATCTCAAAAGATAGAGAAAAAGCATTTGACAGAATCTAACAGCCATTCACCCAATCCAATTCTAAACAAAAAGCCAAAAAACCCGTTAGGGAACATCCTTAACCCGATGAAGGGCTCCGGTGAGAAGTCCACAGCTAAGCTCCTACTTCACGGTCAGACACTGAATGCCTTCCCCCTGAGGAACAACGCAAGAGTGTCTGCTTTCACCACTTTCTTCCCCACCATTTTTTCCTTTGAAATAAAATTTTGAACCACACAGAAGTTGCAAAAATACAGTAGGTCCTATGAAAGGAAAATAAAAACCGCAATGCACCCTTCCAATAGGAAAAAACAGGAAGCTGAGAGCTGAGTCATGCAAGCAGCTGCCTTTCCTCTTGTTCCTAAGCAGAGAGCGACAGAGGAAAGGCTAAAGACCTCGGCAGGTAGCTACTGTGCTCACCTTATCTTATGTGAAGTGCCAATTTACTGAGCACCAGATGAATACACGATTGACTGTTCCCCTGCCTGCTTCTCTTCTCTTGCAACCCGTGGCGGCAGCACTAGGACCGGACCCTCCCACTTCCCCCTCCAGCCTGCTTTTCCCCTTTAAATATGGAAGCCCTCAAAGTCACCTTTGGAGAAAGGCACAGACCACAGACTGTTTCAGCGATTCCGTGTTTTGTCACGTTTTGTTTTGCCTCCCTGGCCTTATCCTTGACCTTGGCAAAATTAACTGGTTGAGAACAGTCTCAGATACTTTTTGGTTCATATCCCCCTTCTGTGGGGGATACATTCCAAGACCCGCAGTGGATGCCTGAAACCATAGATAATGTGGAATTTACTGTTCTACATTCATACCTGCGATAAAGCTTAATTCATAAATTAGGCACAGTAAGAGATTAACAGTAACATAGTAAATAGAACAATTAGAACAATAGTCTAAAATAAGAGTTATGTGCATGTGGTCTCTCTCTAAATATCTTAGTGTACTGTACTCGCCCTTGTGATGAAGAAGGGAAAGAGCAGGATGACACAATATTTCATCCCACTAGGAACAGTATGCAATTTAAAACTTATGAATTATTTCTGGAATCTTCCATTTAATATTTTCAGACCTCAGTTGACCGTGGGTAACTGAAACTGCAGTAAGTGAAACTGCAGATAAGCGGGGCCAGCAGTCGTGTTTCTGTGCAGCATTCATGTGGCTCCCTCCAGTGTACTGATTACCTAAGCACAGTACATTTACCAAACCCAGGAAACTGACATTGCTCTCATCACTTTTATTCCTCATCCTATTGGTGCAAAAGAAAAAAAAAGGAAGTTATTCAGATTTGAAAAGAAGGAATAGAACTATCTTTATTCGCCAGTGACAAGCTTTGACTAGCTAGACAAGCCTAAGAAATCTTCAAAAAATAACTACGAGGCTAGGCATGGTGGCTCACGCCTTTAGTAATCCCAGCACTTTGGGAGGCTCAGGCAAGAGAATCACTTAAGCCCAGGAGTTCAAGACCAGCCTGAGCAACATAGCAAGACCCTGTCTCTACAAAAAAATGTAAAGATTAGCTGGATGTGGTCACGCCTGCCTGTGGTCCCAGCTACATGGGAGGCTGAAGTGGGAGGATCACTTGAGCCCAGGAGATTGGGGCTGCAGTTAGCAGTATTTGTACGACTATACTCCAGCCTGGGTAACAGAGCGAGACTCTGTCTCAAAAAAACCACGAAACTACACATACTAAATTTAATATATTAATATTTAATATATATTAATATGTTAAATTTAATACATTAATATTTAACATATTAATATATTAATTCCACATACAAAATTTAACTTTATTATAACTGCAGTGAACAACTAGAAATTGTAAAATTTTTAAACATTGTCAATTACAGTAGCACCAAAAATCGGGAAATAGTTACGTATAAGTCTAACAAAAGATGTGTGACATCTACATCCTGAAACTACAAAACACTGATGAAAGAAATCAGAGACTCAAAAGAACAAAACAGTATACGTCTTCATGGGTCTACAGACTTGATTTTGAAAAAGAAAAGCAAAGTTGAAGGACTTATACTATCTGGCTTCAAGACTTAATATAATGCTGTAAGTAATCAAAACAGTGTAGTATTGCCATAAGAAAAACAGACACCGACAAGTGAGACAGAATAGGGTCCAGAAATAGACCCTTATGGATGTGGCCCATTGACTTTTGACAAAAGAGCCAGGGTAATTCACCTGAAATACAAAAGACTGTCTTCCCACCATGGTGCTGGGACAACCCTGTGAACCCTGAAAATTTGAGACAGGCCTCAGTTAATTTACTTTATTTTATTTATTTATTTATTTATTTGGGACAGAATCTCTCTCCTGACAGGCTGTAGTGCAGTGGTGTGATCTTGGCTCACTGCAACCTCTACCTCCCAGGTTTAAGTGATTTTCCTGCCTCAGCCTTCCGAGTAGCTGGGATTACAGGTGTGCACCACCACACCCAGCTCATTTTTTATATTTTCGGTATTGATGGGGTTTCACCATGTTGGCCAGGCGGGTCTTGAACTCCTGACCTCAAGTGATCTGCCCTCCTCACCCTCCCAAAGTGCTGGGATTACAGGCGTGAGCCACCGCGCCCAGCCGGGCTCAGTTAATTTAGAGTTTATTTTGCCAAGGTTGAGGACGTGGGCGCCCCTGACACAGCCTCAGGAGGGCCTGGCAGTGTGTGCCCAAGGTGGTCAGGGCACAGCTTGGTTTTATACATTTTAGGGAGATATAAGACATCAATCAACACATGTAAAATGAACATTGGTTCAGTCTGGAAAGGCAGGACAACTCCAAGTGGGGAGGGGGCTTCCAGGTCACAGGTAGATGAGAGACAAATGGATACATTCTTTTTTTTTTCTTTTGACGGAGTCTCTCTCTGTCGCCCTGGCTGGAGTGCAGTGGCGCAATCTCGGCTCACTGCAACCTCTGCCTGCCGGGTGCACACCATTCTCCTGCCTTAAAGTTGAAGTCATTTGTTCCCACAGAGAACAGAGTTGTGAAAGGAAAATATCTTGGGCCCCAAAATCACCAGCTAAAGGGAAAAGTCAAGCTGGGACTGATTAGGGCCATCCTGCCTCCCATTCTATTCAGTCACCCTCTGCTCACCAGGCGTGGTGGCTCACGCCTATAATCCCAGCACTTTGTGGGGCGGAGGTGGGTGGATCACGAGGTCAAGAGATCGAGAACATCCTGGCCAACATGGTGAAACCCCGTCTCTACTTAAAAAAATACAAAAAATTAGCCGGCATGGTGGCGGGCGCCTGTAGTCCCAGCTACTCGGGAGGCTGAGGCAAGAGAATGGCTTGAACCCGGGAGGCGGAGCTTGCAATGAGCCGAGATCGCACCACTGCACTCCAGCCTGGGCGACAGAACGAGACTCTGTCTCAAAAAAAAGAAAAAAAAAAAAAGATAATGAAAAGCAAGCTTTTCATTAAAAATAAAAGTGCAAATCATATATCTGCTACAGGAACAGAATATATATAAAGAACTTACACAACAAACAAGCCAGTTTTCAAACGTGCATAAGATTTGAACAGACGCTTTGCCAAAGAGGATGTGTGAATGACAGAGAAGCATAAAGATGCTCAACATCATTCGTCTTTTTTTTTTTTTTCTGTTTTTTTGAGACGGAGTTTCACTCTTGTTGCCCAGGCTGGAGTGCAATGGCACGATCTCGGCTCACTGCAACCTCTGCCTTCCAGGTTCTAGTGATTCTCCTGCCTCAGCCTGCCAAGTAGCTGGGATTACAGGCATGCGCCACCACGCCCGGCTAATTTTTTTGTATTTTTTAGTTGAGATGGGGTTTCTCCATGTTGATCAGGCTAGTCTCAAACTCCTGACCTCAGGTGATCTGCCCACCTCAGCTTCCCAAAGTGCTGGGATTACAGGCGTGAGCCACAGCACCCGGCCTATCATTCGTCATTATAACCACAATGAAACTTCACTACATGCCCACCAGAATGGATGAAATTTAAAGACTGACAATACCAAGTATTGGTGACGATTTAAACCACTGGAACATGAAGAAATTACTAGCAAGAATGCAAAATGTTTCAGCAACTTTGGAAAACAGTTTCTTTTCTTTTTTTTTTTTTTGAGACGGCATCTCGCTCTGTTGCCCAGGCTGGAGTACCGTGGTGTGATCTCGGCTCACTGCAACCTCTGCCTCCTGGGTTCAAGCGATTCTCCTGCCTCAGCCTCCCGAATAGCTGGGATTACAGGCGCCTACCACCATGTTTGGCTAATTTTTGTATTTTTTTGTAGACACGGGGTTTCACCATCTTGACCAGGCTGGTCTTGAACTCCTGACCTCGTGATCTACCCACCTCAGCCTCCTGAAGTGCTGGGTAGTTTCTTAAAAAGGTAAACATATATCTACCATATGACCCAGTAATCCTGCTCCTAGGTATTTACACAAAATAAATACTTATTTTCACACAAAGACTTGTATCCAAATGTTTCCAGCAGCTTTATGCATAATAGTGGAAGATGGAATGACCCAAATGTCCATCAGTGCAAACATGTATTAACAGTGGTGTTCTGTCCATACAGTGGGCCGCCACCCAGCAAAACCAGGAGCCAGTTACTGATTGTTGAGATAGCATGGATGGATCTCAGAAGCACTGTGGTAAGTAAAAGAAGCCACATGCAAAATATTAAATACTGTATGATTCCATTTAGAGGGAATTCTAGGGTCCAGGAGTGGTGCCTCATGCCTGTAATCCCAGCACTTTGGGAGGCAGAGGCAGGCGGATCACCTGAGTTCAGGGGTTCGAGGCCAGCCTGGCCAATGTGGAGAAACCCCTTCTCTACTAAAAATACAAAAATTAGCTGGGCGTGGTGGTGGGCGCACCTGTAATCCCAGCTACTCGGGAGGCCGAGGCAGGAGAATCACTTGGACCTGAGAGGCAGAGATTGCAGTGAGCCGAGATTGTTCCACTGCACTCCAGCCTGGGCAATGGAGGGAGACTGTGTCTTAAAAAAGAAGACAAAATAGAGGGAATTCTAGGAAAGGCAACCAGCAGTGGCAGAAGCTGAGAGGTGGTTGCTGGGAAGGGGCTGGGGGGAGGGGTGGCTGCAGAGGGGCATAAGAGAATTCTTAGGGGTGATTGAAACGCCCTAGGTAATGATTGTTGTCATGATACCATCGCTACACATTTGCCAAAACTTTGCACGTAAATTATATGCCAAGAAAGCCAATTTTTAAAAAGAAGGAAAGGATGGGTTTGAAACCCCAGTTCTTCCCCTACCAGCTGCACAACTTTAGCCGATTACGTCGCCTCACTGAGCCTCTGTTTTCTCATCTGTAACAGGGAATATAAGAGCAGCTGCTTCCCATCATGGCTGGAAGTATTAAATGCATTCATTTGTGGCAAGGCTTATAGTAATGCCTGGCGAAATCCATATTAGCTATTATAGGGAGCGTTCCTCAATTTGCGGAGAGGTTTGGGGTAGAGGCACAAAAGATGACCTTACAGGCCAGTTAACCATTCTCATCTCTGAAATGCCCCGCACTTTCCCTACCATGTCTTGGGAGCGGCTTCCTGATGACAGCAGTTCTGTCCACACGAATCTGAGGCTTTCACCCAGCTGTCTTCTCAGAGCCGAGCCGCTGCCCCTTCCCCTGCCTGTCCCCTGTCAGCGCTTCCCTCCACCCCATGGTCATCGCACACCGGAAAGGCCTTGCGAGCCCCAGGGGAGCAGATGTTGGTGCTCCGATTCCACGAGGAGGCCTCTGGGTTTTCCATTTTACCTGCCTGGATGGCTTAGGACTTTCCCGGACTCTGGGGCTAAAGATTCGGCACCTGAGTTTTAAAACCTTTCCCAGCACTTCCCAGAGATGCCCTCCCGTCCTCTGCACTCCTGTCCTTCCCTGGCCACTTGGGCAGAAGTCATTAGCACTGCTGAGAAGGGATGATGCTGGGGTTTCTGTGCACTCAGGCCCTTAATCCAGATGAGATTTTTTTAAACTCCCCACAGCCAGTTCTATTTCCAGCTGCACCTGCCCCTGGATCTTCACAGTTCCTCTGGAGGGGATTAGGCAAACCGTGCAGCTGCCTAAAACCTCACACCTTGAAGGAAATAGTCATTGAATGTCTGACCTCTGGGCTGGCTGTCTCGGACTCTAAGCTGCCAGGGAACCAGGGCCTTCCACCCAGTGGGACTGCCTGGGGGCTTTTAAATGCCCCTGCCTGTCCCCTACTCCCAGAGATGGTGACTTCCTGGGTCTAGGCATTAGGAGTTTGTAAAACTCCCTGATGATTCTTCTGTCCAGCCCAGGCTGAGAACCACTGGTCAGAGGCCTGGGCACATCCCAAGGCTCATCCAGAACCATGGGGTGCAAGTGACAGAAACAAGAGCGGCTGCTGATTGCCTCACTGAGCGGTGAAGCCCAGCCTTGACCATGGATTAGGCCAGCTGGACCCAGGAGCTCAGGCCGGAGGATGCCTGCTTCCCTCTGCTCTGCCCCACCGGCCCCAGCAGCCTGGGCCCACATCCTCTCAGTCAGAAGCTGGCTCTCACCGGCTGGCTGGGCTCACAGCCCCACCCTGAAACCAGCAGTGTGGCCCGGGGCCCCCGCAGGGCTCAGACAGCCAGGCCTTGGGTGGTTGAAGGCCAAGAGCTGGGGGCCCTCTGGGAACCACACAGCCGGGAATGGGAGGGGGTGCTCCCCAAGGGACAGTTGAGGTGCCGGCTTTCAGTGGGAGGAAAGGGAATGGGTATGAGCTGGACAGAGCCATTATGTCACCCAGAGAGGCTCTGTCCCCCGCCCCGCTGAGGGGGAGACAGTAGGAGAGTGGCCACAGGTCCAGCAGTGGCGAGCACAGGCTCTGGGGTCAGGTGTTGGAGCAGGGTCCAGCTCCTCCACTGGCCAGCTGCATACCTGGTTCTCAGTGCCTCCCTCCCCTGGGGACAGGGGACAGTGCCATGCAACCTTGTGGGGCACAGGCCCTCTGTGTGGTCAGCATGCCAAGAGCACAGAGAGGGTGGATTTGCACATAAGCAGCCCCCTGTGTGGTGTTCACCCAGCCAGCAACGTGCTAGACCCAGGAAAAGACTCGGAGCGCTCTGTCAGAGTCCACAGCCACACCACCAGGTGCAGACTGTCTGGGCCCAGAGCCTCTGCTTCTTCCCCTCCCGTCCACCAAACGCCAGCCCCTGACCAGCCTGGCGGCCTTTCCAACTGAGTGTGGCTGTTAGTCCTCTTGCAGGCCTTGCTCCAGCCAGACTCCCACCTTGGGCCTCTGCCAGCCTGGCACTGATAGCCACAGGCAGAGCTGAGACAAAAGAGAGGGGCCCTGGGGAGTATCAGCAGCAGCCAATCCCGGAAGACATCTATGTCAGGTGGTTTCTGGAAATCGAAAGTAGACTCTTTTCTGAAGCATTTCCTGGGATCAGCCTGACCACGCTCCATACTGGGAGAGGCTTCTGGGTCAAAGGACCAGTCTGCAGAGGGATCCTGTGGCTGGAAGCGAGGAGGCTCCACACGGCCGTTGCAGCTACCGCAGCCAGGTAAGCTCCTGCCTCTAGCTCTCAGGTGGGCACCCCTCTCAGTCTCTCTCTCTTTTTTATTTTTATTTTTTTTGAGACAGGGTCTCACTCTGTCACCCAGGCTGGAGTACAGTGATGCAATGTCCGCTCACTGCAGCCTCTGCCTCCTGGGTTCAAACGATTCTCCTGCCTCGGCCTCCCAAGTAGCTGGGATTACAGGCGCGTGCCACCACGCCCAGCTAATTTTTGTATTTTTAGTAGAGACAGGGTTTCGCCATCTTGGCCAGGCTGGTCTCAAACTCCTGACCTCTGGTGATCCACCCGCCTCGGCCTCCCAAAGTGTAGGGATTACAGGTGTGAGCCACCGCGCCCGGCCAGGGCACCCCTCTCTCTACACAGGCAAGTGGGGGTCATGCCTCCCTGTTTGCACATAGGCCTGGAGCTGGGGATCCAGGGCTCCTGAGTCCAGCAACAATCATTGCTGCTCCCAGGCCCACAGGGCCTCTGTGTACAGTTGGGCAGATTACTCACTGCACAAGGATACCAGCCAAAGGGCAAGTGGGTTAGAATTCAGCTTGGCCCTCTCTCAGACCTGTGCATTTGGCCTAGGCCTGCACCCACTCCAAGGAAGAGCACCTTTTTTTCTGATTTGCACGAAGGGGCCAACACAGGCAGCCGGGTCTCAACTGTATGAAGGAATCAGGCAAAAATAGCCGCTGCCACACAAAGGGCAGCGACGCCACCTGCCAGGTGCTTCGTTGCCCCCCCCCCTTTTTTTTTTGAGACAGAGTCTTGCTCTGTCACCCAGGCTGGAGTGCAGCGGCTCACTACAATCTCTGCCTGCCGGATTCAAGCAATTCTGTTGCCTCAGCCTCCTGAGTAGCTGGGACTACAGGTGCACACCACCATGCCCAGCTTATTATTATTATTATTTTGTATTTTTAGTAGAGCCGGGGTTTCACCATGTTGGCCAGGCTGGTCTTGAACTCCTGACCTCAAGTGATCCACCTGCCCCAGCCTCCCAAAGTTCTGGGATTACAGGCGTGAGCCATCGCGCCTGGCCAGTTGGCCATTTTTCCAAGGCCCTGAGTTACTCTCCCAGGACGGACAAACCTAGTGGCTGCAGCAGAGTGAAGTGGCTGGGGGCAGAAGTGGAGAGGGCGTCCACCCATACCGGCGTGCCTGGGACTGAGGGGTTTCCCAGGACACAGGGAAACTTCAGTGCTAAAACCAGCACAGTCCCCAGCACACAGGACAGGCGGTCACACCCTGGCCCCTTTAGCCATCTACTGACATTGACACAGGGAGGAGAGGTGGGCTCCCCCGAGCAGACCCCCTGCCTGTGGCTCACTGACTGTGGATGTGGAGCCCATTTGCCTCTCTGGGTGTCAGCTCATTCACTTGTAAGGTGAGGTGTAACTAAGGTGGTTCTCAGGGTCACGGTAAGGCCTCCAGTGGTGCCCGGGGAGCCCCGACAAGGGGTGGCTGCACAGTGCCAGCGAGCACGAGTCCCAGAGCAAAGCTGCTCACCAGCCAGTGCACCCAGCTCCCAGGGCGCTTGTTCATGCAGACTCCCATGCAGAGGGGCTAGGGCAAGGCCAGCCATGACTGCATTTCCGACAAGCTCTGGGGATGCCATTGCAGCCGTCCACCAGGCCCCCTCCAAGCAGCCTCAAGGTCACCAGGCCCAGACTCCCAGCCGGTGCCCACAGCAGTGCCACCCAGAGGCCTGCCCCAGGCTTGCTGAACTGAGGGGACAGTGTCAGGTATCACAGGATTCTTACCGAGCCAGAGAAACCATAACTGTCTCTCCATTGGCAGGGTGTGGGGGAGGGAGGCAGACGAAGACAAAAGCGTGGAAATTACACGGAGGCAAGAACACCAGGCCAGAAGGTGGAGACCCGGACCTCCCCAGTCCTGGCCTGAGTGTCAGTGTCTTGGGGATACTTCAGCATTTCCTCCCTGTTCTTCCCCCAGCCTGGCCCACCCTGGGCTGCAGCCCTGACCCTTTTCATCTATCTTCCCCATCGGAACACCACGGAGCCCCGATATATCTCCCTGCCACTTATCTCTGTCACCCCTCGCCCGGATTCTGTGCCCTCTCCTGACGAGTCCCCTCCCATCCACTCTCCAGGCTGCAGCCTCGTCTCTGCCTGCTGAGACCCTCTGGGACAGTCCCTGCAGGGGTCTGTTGCCTGAAGCTTAAGGCCGAGATCTTAACCAGGCTCACCCGGCCTCCCGACCTGGGCCCACGCCTGTGGCCTCCTCCATCTCCCCGCCCATGCCCGTGTGGCAGCCTTGCCCGGGGCCTGGTTTTTTGAGATGAGCTCACTTGCCTCTAGTCACCAATTCTTGCTGCCCTTACTGCCAGGGGGTGCCCCCAGCCCACGCTTCATCTAGCCAAGTGTTACACATCCTTCCAGGACCACACTGCAGACCAGGTGAGGGGCCCCCGCGGGGGCATCCACAGCACACGTCACACTTACTGGGATCATAGTGGGCTCTGCAAGAGAGGGACCCCGCCTGCCACACAGCCCAGGTTGGGCTGAAGGGTGAATGGGCAGGCCAGTCCCTGGGGCCTCGGGCCATCTGGCTCCCGTGCCTCACCCCTCCGCTTCTGTCTGCTGCAGGATCTGGGCATCCAGGCACGGCCATGACCCCTCCGAGGCTCTTCTGGGTGTGGCTGCTGGTTGCAGGAACCCAAGGTGAGCTGAGCCCCTGGGAAATACCAAAAGCAGAAGTGTGGAAGGCTGGTGCACCCTGGGGCTGCTCAGAGCTTCAAGGAGATATTCTGCCTGGGGCCCGGGGCCCAGCGGTTAGCCAGATCTTCTCTCCTGCTTGAAGCACCAGGTATCCCCAGTGATGATGACTTGGAGGTTCCCGGGGGCTCACCTGGGTTCAGGTGAGATGCAGGTTATAGAGAGGACACTAGGGAATCCTCCATTCCGTCCAGAGGGAACCAGAGGGGCTGATCAAACCAGCAGTCACAGGGGCCGTTGTGAGGTCAGTGGCCTTGGACGCAGGTCAGTCTTCCAGAGGGTCCTGGCTGCTTTTCCTCACATTCTTTACACTGTGAGCCCCTGGAAGCTCATGCTCATCCTGGGGGCCCCATGGAAGCCAGATGTACCCCCGACTGGATTCAGGCACCCAGCTCCTGCCCGGCTCTGTCAGCTCCTGTAGGGGCTGGAGTGTTGGTGGACTGAGTCCCAGAAGGACATGTGGGGCGGGGGAATCCCATTATCTGCCCTGGAAACATTCTGCCTGTGCTCCCAGGGGTCCCTAGGCCTGCTGCCCCCATAGGCCAGCACCCCCAAACTGCAGACACCCTCTGCAGGGCGGGTCAGCACGGGGCCTCCGTTCCCCTCCTATCCTTCCCTCAGGGTCTTGCCACCTCCACTCCCAGTGCTGGAGAACTCAGGGCTTCTCTGCCCCTGTTCTGTCTATGGAGTGAAGGGCTGAGACCCCTAAAACAAGGAAAGGCGAGTTTGGCCTCCTTGCGGGGTAGGGGGGGCTGTATGTATCTTCCACTCCTCCCTCATGGAGGTGCCCCTCATGGAGAGGCCAGGGGACCTTGAAGCCCTGAAATACAAGCTCAGCAGGGGAGACCCAGGACAGCATATGGGGCCTGGAGGTGTGGGCGGTGGGTGCTGCAGGCCCCAGCCTCGCCCTCGCTGGTCTCTGCCTGCAGGCGTGAACGATGGTGACATGCGGCTGGCCGATGGGGGCGCCACCAACCAGGGCCGCGTGGAGATCTTCTACAGAGGCCAGTGGGGCACTGTGTGTGACAACCTGTGGGACCTGACTGATGCCAGCGTCGTCTGCCGGGCCCTGGGCTTCGAGAACGCCACCCAGGCTCTGGGCAGAGCTGCCTTCGGGCAAGGTAGGGCCTGCTGTCCCCTTCCACTGAGGCTGAGACCCACAGCACAGCCAGCTCCCAGGAGGGGCAAATCCCCTAAGACGAAACAGTCAGGTTTCAAAGACATGCAAATTGGATTCCTATTAATTTAGCAAGAGCAAACACTTTTTTTTTTTTTTTTTTTTTTTTTTTTTTTTGAGATGGAGTCTCGCTCTGTTGCCCAGGCTGGAGTGCAGTGGCACAATCTCGGCTCACTGCAACCTCCGCCTCCTGAGTTCAAGTGATTCTCCTGTCTCAGCCTTCTGAGTAGCTGGGATTACAGGTACCTGCCACCATGCCCGGCTGATTTTTGTATTTTTTAGTAGAGACAGAGTTTCACCATGTTGGCCAGGCTGGTTTTTAAACTTCCGGTGTCAAGTGATCCGCCCGCCTCAGCCTCCCAAAGTGCTGGGATTACCACACCCGGCCTATGAGCAAACATTTTCAATGGTGCTGAAGGCCTGCGGATCAAGTTCTGATGGGACTGCTCCACCCACACTTGGCCAGTGATGGTGGCGGGTGCTTGGGCAGGTTCAAGAGCTCGGCTGGGCTCGTTCCCTCCGGCCCAGAAACTCCACTCCAGGGAGTTTATCCCATTGAAACAATTTCTCCTCAAAAGAAAAGTCTGCAGGAAGATTTCCACTGACACAGCAGTTGCGATTCTGGAAAAAAAAGAAACAATCCATAAACTATTTAGCAGCAGGGATAGTCACACAATTACAGTATGTGAACCTGATGTTGCAGGGATAGTCACACAATTACAATATGTGAACCTGATGTTGCAGGGATAGTCACACAATTACAGTATGTGAACCTGATGTTGCAGGGATAGTCACACAATTACAGTATGTGAAACTGATGTTGCAGGGATAGTCACACAATTACTATACATGAATGTGATGTCGCTGAAGCAGCCGGTAAGCTTTATAAGCATGAAGGCTAAGTTTATGGCCTGACATTGCAATCACAAATCCAGCCCATGCTGGAATATCCTCCGTGGTTCGCTGGTGAAGGACCTGTAAGCAGATGGACCCACACGGCCGGGGCGGAGAACAAAGGGCTGAGTCGCGCTGTGGGACTCCTGGGTGCAGTCGTCACGCCCCCAGCCCTGCCATCTGCTGTGTCCACAGGATCAGGCCCCATCATGCTGGATGAGGTCCAGTGCACGGGAACCGAGGCCTCACTGGCCGACTGCAAGTCCCTGGGCTGGCTGAAGAGCAACTGCAGGCACGAGAGAGACGCTGGTGTGGTCTGCACCAATGGTGAGCGGGGGCGCACCTCCCTGCGGAGGCCCCAGTGTGCCCTGGGGTCCCGTGGCCCCTGCCCCTCCCAGCACCACCCCCCCACGCACATGAAGCACACAAAGGTTCCTTCCACTACCGCCTGCCCACTCCGCATGGAGAGGCCCAGACGTCCCAAGAGCCCACCAGCTCCCAGTCCCACAGTCCCAGACTCCTCCCCAGCCCCTTCTGGAGAAACACCCAGAACCACCAAGTCTCCATGCAGAACCCGAGTGTGGGGCAGTGAGCCACAGTTTCAGTGAGCATGACACCTGGCTCCAGCCTGACCTGAAATGCCAGCGTCCGCTCAGAAATACACTTCACAGCACGCGACAGGCTCAAGCCCGTCCTGGCGGAGGGAGTCCCGGCTACTCGCAGCCTCAGCCTGCTTCCCCCAACCTGGCCCAGTTTGGAGGGAACCCAGGCTGCTCTGCAGGTTGGAGCCTCTGGATCTGAGTTTCTTGTTTTTCTTTCATGCCGAGGTGGCTCTTCCTGGGCTTGCACGTGACAACCTGGGCATTTCCTGCCCACTGCCCTTTGCCAGGAGTTGGAGGCCCCTAAGGCAGGACGGGTCGAATCCCAGGGAGCCCCTGTGCCCACATGGGATGGACAAGTGGCTGGAGCTGAGCCTGGACTCACAGTGGGGGAAGCCCAGGAGACGCCATGGGGCTGTCGGGGGCCAGGGGAGGCGGCGGGGAGCACACGGGGCCATGGGCGCACGGCCAAAGCTCCTGGGGCAGGAGAGCTGTGGTAAGGCGTGCAGGTGGGAGGGAGCTGGGGGTCCTGCGGTGGCTCAGGTTTTAGGAGGCCCAGGGCAAGCCCACCTGGTTGAAAGGTCACAGTTACTTCAAAACTACTATATTTGTGGCGAAGAAAAACCTATGGGATTTCATTTTGAGTTAGGCTTTGAGAGGGGCTCAAAGAAGGGGAGAGGGTGCACCACACTGACCCCCGAGCCGGGAGCCTCCCATGACTTCTGCAGGCCTTCTCCCCGACAGGAAGCTGCTCGAGGACCCCCGGAGTTCTAAAATGGGGTTGCCACAGGACCCTAACTTTTCAGGCCATCTAAGCAGGCAGTGGTTTTGGTGTTAGTGGTGATTGGTGACCAAGGCTGGGGAGTGGGGGCTCCGGAGTCAGTACCACCAAGTCTCCATGCGGAGCTGCTGCCTGAGTCGGGGGAGCAGCACAGAGCAGAGGGCCTAAAGCGGGGGCCTGGACAGGCTTGGCCAGGTCCTAGCTGCTCTTGTTCCCCAGGGCTGGAAGGGGCGGGGCCTCAGGGTCCAGGAATCCGACACTTCCGGTCTCTCTTGTCCCTCGTCTTCCCAGGAGCCTTCCAGAGTGAATGAGGCAGCCACAAATCCCTCACTTTCAGATGAAGACACTGACCCCAGAGAGTGGCAGTGCCCCGGCTCCTAACGCAGCCCACTTCCCTCCCGCCCCTTCTTAGAAACCAGGAGCACCCACACCCTGGACCTCTCCAGGGAGCTCTCGGAGGCCCTTGGCCAGATCTTTGACAGCCAGCGGGGCTGCGACCTGTCCATCAGCGTGAATGTGCAGGGCGAGGACGCCCTGGGCTTCTGTGGCCACACGGTCATCCTGACTGCCAACCTGGAGGCCCAGGCCCTGTGGAAGGAGCCGGGCAGCAATGTCACCATGAGTGTGGATGCTGAGTGTGTGCCCATGGTCAGGGACCTTCTCAGGTGAGCCGTCTCGTCCTCAGGCTCTGGGGCCGCCAGGGGCTTTGTCCTCCTCCCCTCTTCAAAAGCACAGCCCCCCACACACACACCTGCACATACTCATGCATGCACATGTACACACGCAGTCACACATGCACTCACGCAGTTGCACACACACGCATGCTCACTCCCACACTGTGTGCACTCAGGTGGCTGTGTTGGACAGTTGGGCCCAGGGCTCCCCTGCTGTCCTGTGGGGCCGGCATCTGCTCTCCTTCTTTCTCCCCAGGTACTTCTACTCCCGAAGGATTGACATCACCCTGTCGTCAGTCAAGTGCTTCCACAAGCTGGCCTCTGCCTATGGGGCCAGGCAGCTGCAGGGCTACTGCGCAAGCCTCTTTGCCATCCTCCTCCCCCAGGACCCCTCGTTCCAGATGCCCCTGGACCTGTATGCCTATGCAGTGGCCACAGGGGACGCCCTGCTGGAGAAGCTCTGCCTACAGTTCCTGGCCTGGAACTTCGAGGCCTTGACGCAGGCCGAGGCCTGGCCCAGTGTCCCCACAGACCTGCTCCAACTGCTGCTGCCCAGGAGCGACCTGGCGGTGCCCAGCGAGCTGGCCCTACTGAAGGCCGTGGACACCTGGAGCTGGGGGGAGCGTGCCTCCCATGAGGAGGTGGAGGGCTTGGTGGAGAAGATCCGCTTCCCCATGATGCTCCCTGAGGAGCTCTTTGAGCTGCAGTTCAACCTGTCCCTGTACTGGAGCCACGAGGCCCTGTTCCAGAAGAAGACTCTGCAGGCCCTGGAATTCCACACTGTGCCCTTCCAGTTGCTGGCCCGGTACAAAGGCCTGAACCTCACCGAGGATACCTACAAGCCCCGGATTTACACCTCGCCCACCTGGAGTGCCTTTGTGACAGACAGTTCCTGGAGTGCACGGAAGTCACAACTGGTCTATCAGTCCAGACGGGGGCCTTTGGTCAAATATTCTTCTGATTACTTCCAAGCCCCCTCTGACTACAGATACTACCCCTACCAGTCCTTCCAGACTCCACAACACCCCAGCTTCCTCTTCCAGGACAAGAGGGTGTCCTGGTCCCTGGTCTACCTCCCCACCATCCAGAGCTGCTGGAACTACGGCTTCTCCTGCTCCTCGGACGAGCTCCCTGTCCTGGGCCTCACCAAGTCTGGCGGCTCAGATCGCACCATTGCCTACGAAAACAAAGCCCTGATGCTCTGCGAAGGGCTCTTCGTGGCAGACGTCACCGATTTCGAGGGCTGGAAGGCTGCGATTCCCAGTGCCCTGGACACCAACAGCTCGAAGAGCACCTCCTCCTTCCCCTGCCCGGCAGGGCACTTCAACGGCTTCCGCACGGTCATCCGCCCCTTCTACCTGACCAACTCCTCAGGTGTGGACTAGACGGCGTGGCCCAAGGGTGGTGAGAACCGGAGAACCCCAGGACGCCCTCACTGCAGGCTCCCCTCCTCGGCTTCCTTCCTCTCTGCAATGACCTTCAACAACCGGCCACCAGATGTCGCCCTACTCACCTGAGCGCTCAGCTTCAAGAAATTACTGGAAGGCTTCCACTAGGGTCCACCAGGAGTTCTCCCACCACCTCACCAGTTTCCAGGTGGTAAGCACCAGGACGCCCTCGAGGTTGCTCTGGGATCCCCCCACAGCCCCTGGTCAGTCTGCCCTTGTCACTGGTCTGAGGTCATTAAAATTACATTGAGGTTCCTACATTTGTTTGTACAGAAAGTGTTGTTGGGTCCACACCGTGTTTAGACATCAGGTGTGCCAGGCTCTGGGGGACAGGTCATGAGGCAGAGTCCCTGTCCTTGTGAAGCTACAGGCTAACGGGGAAGACAGGGAACAGGAAGCACACCTCCCAGCCCGGAGCAATGACACAGTGGGACACGAGCAGGAGGGTGCGTGCCACTGCATGCGTGCACGTGGGTGTGTGATTGCATGTGCACAGGCGTGTGTGTGCTCATGAAAGTCTGGCTGTGACGGGTGCCCTCACCCCTTATCTGGGTAGGTGTGCTCTTAAAATTTTATTTACTTTTGAGACAGAATCTTGTTCTGTCGCCCAGGCTGGAGCTCAGTGGTGTGATCTTGGCTCACTGCAACCTCCACCTCCCGGTTTCAAGTGCTTCTCCCGCCTCAGCCTCCTGAGTAGCTGGGACTACAGGCACCTGCCATCGTACCTGGCTAACTTTTGTATTTTTGTAGAGACAGGGTTTCACCATGTGGGCCAGGCTGGTCTTGAACTCTTGACCTCAGGGGATCCACCCACCTCAGCCTCCCAAAGTGCTGGGATTACAGGCGTGAGCCACCGTGCCTGGCCTATGGGTGGGTGTGCTTTTGCCAGCACTACCTCCTGCTCACGTCCGACCGGAAGGAGAGGGTGCTGAGGTGGCAAGGTCAGGGCTGCACCTCCGGCGGGGCGATCGGGTCTCTGGAAGACGTGACCGGGCTGGGTCATGGAGAGCAGCAGACAGCAGACTGTGGAAGCTGGGAGGAGGGAGAACGAACAGCAGGAGTTAGGAACCTTCGCTCTGGAAATCCTGGTCCACAGGGACAGGGGACAGAGATTCTCATCTCAGCCTTGTAAGAGTGAAGAATTGGAAACGACGTCAATACCCACCAACAGGTGCTTGACTACAAATAAAAGGCACCTCCCCTGGGCTGAGTGAGGCGGGTAGAGGTGCGCTGGAAGATCCTGGGAACCACAGAGTCTCAGGGGAGGCTGGGGGACCCATTGGATGCCGGGGGGACATCCGTGACAATGCCACAGCAGGTTCTGGGCACAGAACGTCGCTCACCACCAACAGGAATTCAAAACTGCCCCTGCTTCTCCATGGCCCGTTGCAGGCACAGAGTCCCCAGGGAGGCACCTGCTGGGCCGAGCTCAGGCTGGCACCTGCCGCTGTGCCACGGTCTGGGAGGACAACAGTGTGGCCTCTGGAACAGGAGGTGGCACAGGGGCTCCCCTAATGGGAGGGAGGTTCAGGTGCTGAACAGCCAAGATGGCAGCAGACGCCCCACCCACCCTCTCCCCACAGGTGCCACAAGGAACAAAAGCAGTCTCACAAAACCTCCTGCCTGTGAAGGCAGCTGCTCCCTGTACTGGATGGAGGCCTCTGCTCCCCCAACCCCCCCACCTCCAGATCCTGCGTCCAGCCCAGGTCCACCATCCTGGCAGGACATCCCCTCCTCCACATGTTTTTTGTTTGTTTTGAGACAGTGTCTTACTCTGTCGCCCAGGCTGGAGTGCAGTGGCACGATCTTGGCTCACTGCACACTCTGCTTCCTGGGCCCAAGTGATTCTCCCGCCTCAGCCTCTGGGACTACAAAGTACTTGGGACTATAGATGTGCGCCAGCAGGCCTGGCTAATTTTTTTTTCTTTTTTTGTATTTTTAGTAGAGTCGGGGTTTTGCCATGTTGCCCAGGCTGGTCTCGAACTCCTGGGCTCAAGCAATTTGCTCGCCTTAGCCTCCCAGAGTTCTGGGATTGCAGGGATGAGCCACTCTGCCCGGCCTATCTCCTCCACCTCTATTTTGATCCTATTGACATTTTAGCAACCGAGGGGCCACGTCGCCACGGACCACTGCCAAGACCAGTGTTGGGGACAAACCACAATGAGATCAGGAGGAAGAAGGAAAAGCGATGTCACGGTAGAGGCGTGGCAGACATGGCAAAGACCAGAATCACAGCCTCCATTTCTCGAGTCAGTCCCAGGACCACAGCAGCTCTCTTCTCTCCCGCTCCGTGCTCCCTGGCATCTCACGGCCAGGGAAGGTAACTGGAGTCTTCCTTCCAGGGAACTCTGAGCCCCGTGGGTCCTGCCTGCAAGGGAGGCCATAGCCCTGTGTGGGGCTGGGAGATGCAGGAGTTTGAGAAGTCACTGGAGTTCTTCCGTGCTGCTTGCAGTTTTGAGCGGCAGCCCTGTTCCCCCGGGACAGTCAGGACCGACCATCCCAGCCTCCGAAACACTCCTCCCTTCTTCACCTGTTCACCCACAGGCACCGTGGTCCCAGAGGCGAATCCCCATCTTCACTGCCAATTTGAAGGAACGTGGAGATGTCTCATCGTGGAAACGTTCCTCTCTTGGGTGCAAAACCCCTGTGTCGGCTTGGTGTGGTGGCTCACACCTGTAATCCCAGCACTTTGGGAGGCCAAGGAGGACGGATCACGAGGTCAAGAGATCGAGACCATCCTGGCCAACATGGTGAAAACCCCCCCACCCCGATACAAAAATTAGCTGGCGTGATGACACGCACCTGTAATCCCAGCTACTCAAGAGGCTGAGGCAGGAGAATTGCTTGAACCCGGGAGGTAGAGGTTGCAGTGAACCGAAATCATGCCACTGCACTCCAGCCTGGTGACAGAGCAAGACTCTGTCTCAAAAAAAACAAAACAAAACAAAAAACAAACAAAAAAACAGAACCCAGGTTTCAGGACTAGAAGCAGAACCTTTGCACTAGGTGATGGGCGCCCTGCTCAGGGCCCCATGGCTCACTGCTGTGCATTCTGAACAAGGAGAAATGCAGATGGGCTCCTTGAGCTGGTGCGTCCACAGGTGGAGGGCAGCATTTTCTTGTCTACAGGGAGGGAGGAAAGGATGATTTGGGGGACCTGGAGGCAGGGACTTCCGGGGCTGTCTCATCTGCCGCCCAGCACGTCCGCAGAGCCAGGCTCTTGCATTTTTCCCTTCACTGGCCTCCTGAGCCTGAGGTTTCATCCCAGCCTTCCTGTTTCGTGAGCCCTTGAATGTGTGATAGGTGACACATGTGACCATGAGCCCACGGCCTGACTGCAGCTCCTGAGTCACCTGCATGTCTGTGGGTGGCCAACAGGGTGGGAAAGGTGTTGAGTCAGTGAAGGGCTGGTGGCACTGAGGGCCGTGTAGGATGGGGGCATTCAGATCTAGAGTAAGTGTCGATTCCTGGGGAGCAAGCGGCTGCCTCCTCCGATGGAAGGGGTCGGCTGCAAGCCACGGCCTTCAGGAAGCCGGAGCTCCCCATGGGCATCGAGGCGCCGAGCGAAGGCCCAGGAGCGCCAGGTCCGCTCCCATCAGCCTTGGTGACATGGCAGTGGTGAGCCCGTGCAAAGCCTCCCTCCCCACAGGCCACCTCTCAGCAGAGGAGGCCCTGGAGGCTGTAGAGGTGCAGAGTGACACTCTGTGACACCTGTCCCCACACCCCGGGGTAGGCACCCCAGCATAGGACTGCAGTGGGGCCTTTCAGGGAACAGTCAGGGGACAGAAGCATCCTCATCTCTGTGGCCATCCCAAGACGCCGGTCCCTGCTCTCTTCCCAAAGCTCACGGCTACTCATTCTTCCATCCTCCTCCCTCCAGCCCTGGCATCTCTGATCAAACCCTGAGCTGCTTCCACAGGTCACGTGGCCAAGGCCGGCTTCCCTCCATCCACACGGAAACTGAGATTGGCCACTCCGGGTTCTGCCCAAAGCGAGGTCCCCTTTCTGCTGGGCAACAGGCCACTCCCACCTGGAATTAGCCCGCAGTGCAATCTGAAACAGGCTTGCGTTTCTCCCACCTCCGTCACCTCCGTCACCTCCGTCACCGGTATTAGGGAATGCACCATAAGGCCCTGGGGGAAGCCCCAGGTGCCCTGGGTGGAGGGTGGGGCAGCCTTGGCACAGATGAAAATCACCCATGTCTCCAGAGACTGCCCGCGCTCCTGAGGGCCACGTCCACCTGTGTCCTTCCAGCTCATGGAGGGCAGCTCATGACCCATGCTCGAATGTTTGGGCCAAAGCTGGTTGTGCTGGAAGGAGTGAATCTCCCTGCCAAAGAGGGCCCTGCTCAGCTCCAAACCGCTGGATGCTCCTGGGTGGTCCTCCCAGCGGGCCTGCCGCGGGCCCCTCACGCCCATCAGCATAGCTTCCTGCATCTCAAGCCCCACGTCCTGGCCTAACGGATCTTAAGGTCACAGGCAAGGCAGCTGCACCAGCAGACAGTGGCCTCGTGCTCTGACACCAGACTTGGGTCTCTAGTAAAGAGGCAGGAGCCACTCCCCAAGTAAGGCATGTGTCCCCTCAAAAGTCCACAGAGATCTAGCCAAGGTTGGGCCCGTTTCTAAGGCACCAAGGGGTACACACATAGGGCACCCACTGGGGTTCACTTTGGTCCAGTGTGATGACTGTAGCATCATGAGTTGGCAGGAAGCAGAACGAGACAGCCGGTGTACTCCTGAGGCAGGACACGTGTGTGTGCATGTGTGTGCACGCATGTGTGTGTGTGGACGCAGGAGAGACAGACCGAGATAGGGAGAGGGGGAGGGAGCTGCCGTCAGCCACTGCTGCATCCACGTGCGGGGTGTGCTCATTTACTCCAATCAGCCACATCTGAAACAGTGGCAGCGCCGTCTTCATCTGGTGTAACTCACGAGAAGCTACTCACCAAGTCCTCGGGACAGCTGCCGAACCCCTGCCCTGGAGCTCGGTCGCCGGGTTCACGGCCAAGAGCCTCTTTGGGGAAGGCCAGGAAGCGGATTCTTGGTACTGTAAGTCCTTGTCATTTTATTACAGGGTCCTTTCTGTAAGAGATTTGACCACCCTTCCTTCCAAGGGGCTCTGGGTGATCCAGGAAATGGGTGAGAGGCTACGACTCTGTCGTGATGGCACAAGGTGCCTCTGTTCACCAGATCTGGAGCTTTTCTTTCTTTCTTTCTTTCTTTTTTTTGAGGTGGAGTCTCACTCTGTCCCCCAGGCTGGAGTGCAGTGGCACAATCTCAGCTCACTGCAAGCTCCACCTCCTGGATTCAAGCGACTCTCCTGCCTCAGCTTCCCGAGTAGCTGGGACTACCAGCACGCACCACCACGCCCGGCTAATTTTTTGTATTTTTAGTAGAGACGGTGTTTCACCATGTTGACCAGGCTGGTTTTGAACTCCTGACCTCAGGTGATCCACCTGCCTCAGCCTCCCAGAGTGTTTGGGATTACAGGCATGAGCCACCGCGCCCATCCCGGATCTTGAGCTTTTCTAACACTACAGATCATGTGAGGGTTTTGCAAGCTCCCTGCCTGTTTTGGTCCTGTGCACCTCCACCTTATGGCCATCACGAAGCATTTCAATTGCAGCATCTCCAGAGGGCCTCTCTGACCTACACAGAGCAGCCGCAGGGAATTTTCTAGGAGACTGGTTCCTCCTTCCCTGCACATTTCCCTGGGCGGGCTTTTGGGGGAGGAGAGCTTCCTGGGTCTGTCCAGAGTCAAGGCCAGCAATTGACTGCACACGGCACACACTCCAGGGCACCTGGCTCCTCGATGCCTTGGATTCTTTTCTCTACAACACACTGAGGAATTCACGGGCCATCCGTGACTCCAGTTTTCAGTCAAGCAATTGAGAAGATAATTAGCACTGCTCCCAGCTGCTCAAGCTAGCGCACAAAGCCAGAATCTCTCATGCATGCACCTGTACTAGATATTTTTAGCTTCAGCTTCCTATCATGAAAGCCCAACATAGCAGGGACTCTATATGACATTTTTTGTTATTTTCTGACACATAAAAGGGAGAAGGCACCCTTTCTGGAGGTAGACTTCTTCCATTTGTACACCATTATTGTATGCCTGCCACCCTCAAGGCTACCCTCATGATCTACAATGGCTGCTGAGATTCCAGCCATCACTTCTGCCTTTCAGGCAGCAAGAAGAAGGTAGCAGAAAAGGACAAAACTTTTCTCAGTTGTCTATCCCGAGACTGAGCTCCTCTTTATTTTTATTTTTTTGAGACAGTGTCTCACTCTGTCACCCAGGCTGGAGTGCAATGGCGTGATCATAGTTCACTGCCGCCTTGACCTCCTGGGCTCAAGCGATCCTCCCACCTCAGCCTCCTGAGTAGCTGGGACCACAGGTATGTGCCACCATGCCCAGCTAATTTTTGAGTTTTTCTAGAGATGGGGTCTTGCTACTTTGCCCAGGCTGATCTCAAATGCCTCAGCTCAAGCAATCCTCCCGTATGGGCCTCCCAAAGTGCTGGGATTACAGGCGTGAGCCACAGCACCCTGCCTGCCAGTGAGATTTTTAAAAACCATTTTATTGGTATATTACACACACACATGTGGGAAGCGTAGAGCTTGGTTAATTGTTGTGTTACATGTAAACACTGCTGGCACCACCCCTCGGATAGAGATACCGAACCTTTCCCTCACCCCAGAAGGCTCTCTAGGTCAGAACCTCCACCATGGAACCACTAAATCTGATTTCTGTCGACACAGAGTAGTTGTTCCTGCTCTTGAACTTCATGTAAATGGAATCGTACCTGAGTACCCACTCCCTAGTGTCGTGTCAGGCTTTTTGGCTTCCATACAATGCCTATGAGATTCACGCACGTTGTTCTTTGTAGCTGAAGTGAACCCCGTTACGTGACTATACCACAGGTTATCAACCCAGTCTACAGGGGATGGGCATTTGGGTTGTTTTCAGAGGGTGGTTTTTGTTGTTGTTCTTGTTGTTATTTTGAGTAAAGCTCCTATGAACTTTTATTTTTTGAGACAGAATTTTGCTCTTGTTGCCCAGGCTGGAGTGCGGTGGCACGATCTTGCCTCACAGCAACCTCTGCCTCCTGGGTCCAAGAGATTCTCCTGCCTCAGCCTCCCAAGTAGCTGGGATTACAGGTGTGCACCAGCACGCCCAGCTAATTTTTGTATTTTTAGTAGACGGGGTTTTACCGTGAGACCAGGCTGGTCTCAAACTCCTGACCTCAGGTGATCCACCTGCCTCAGCCTCCCACAGTGCTGGGATTACAGGTGTGAGCCACTGTGCCTGGCCTTGTACTAATTTTTTTTTTTTTTTTTTTTTTTTTGAGATGGAGTCTTGCTCTGTCGCCCAGCCTGGAGTGCAGTGGCACGATCTCGGCTCACTGCAAGCTCCCAGGTTCACGCCATTCTGCCTCAGCCTCCCGAGTAGCTGGGACTACAGGCACTCGCAACCACGCCCAGCTAATTTTTTTTATTATTATTTTTAGTAGAGACGGGGTTTCACCATATTAACCAGGATGCTCTCGATTCCTGACCTCGTGATCCACCCACCTCGGCCTCCTAAAGTGCTGGGATTACAGGTGTGAGCCACTGCGCCCGGCCAGCCTCATACTAATTTTTATACCAGCCAGTGTTCTTAGTTTCAACCAACAGAAACCACCTCTGGTTAACTTCAACAGAAAAAAGATTTATGGAAAAAATTATGAAGGTCACAGAATTGATAGGAAGGCTAGGAGTTGAGCGGGAATTAAGTAAGGTGGCTGTGCGGTTAACTTTTGCTTAGTAACAAACTGCTCCAAAACTCGGTGGCTAAAAACCATGAGAACAATAACCATTCATCCGCCTTGACCCTGTGGGTTGTCATTTCAGCTGGGCTCACCTGGGAGGGCTCACCTTTGCTCCCCATGGTGTTGGCTGGGCTCACTTATGTCAGAGGCCTCACCTGGGGTGGCTGGAAGAGCTGGGAAGGTGGGGCCCCTCTCTCCATAGGGTCTCATTCTGGTGGACGCTAAGCCAGGCCTGGTCCCATGGTAGCAGTGTTCCATGATGTGGAATGCAGAACCTTTTTTTGTTTTGTTTTGTTTCTGGTTGGGAGTGGGGCTCACGCCTGTAATCCCAGCATTTTGGGAGGCCAAGGTGCGCAGATCACTTGAGGCCAGGAGTTTGAGACCAGCCTGGCCAACATGGTGAAACCCTGTCAAAAATTAGCCTCACGTGATGGCACGTGCCAGTAATCCCAGCTACTGGGGAGGCTGAGGCAGGAGAATCACTTGAACCTGGGAGGCGGAGGTTGCAGTGAGCTGAGGCGGAGGTTGCAGTGAGCTGAGGCGGAGGTTGCAGTGAGCTGAGGCGGAGGTTGCAGTGAGCTGAGATTGTGCCACTGCACTCCAGCCTAGGCAACAGAGCGAGACTCTGTCTCAAAAAAAAAAACCTTTTTTTTTTTTTTTTTTTTTTAGAGCCTCGCTCTGTTGCCCAGGCTGAAGTGCAAGTGGCATGATCATGGCTGTGGCCCGAACATGACTCACTGCAGCCTTGACCTCCTGGGCTCAAGCAATCCTCCCCACTCCGTCCCCTAGCCTCCTGAGTAGCTGGGACTACAGGCACACGCCACCACACCTGGCTAATTTTTAAATTTTCTGTGGAGACCCGGTCTTGCTATGTTGCCCGGGCTGGTCTTAAACTCCTGAGCTCAAGCAATATGCCCGCCTTGGCCTCCCGAAGTGCTGGGATTACAAGCGTGACCCGCCACGCCCAGCCTAACATGCGAGGCTTCTTGAGGTCCAGGCTTAGACACACACATCACAAGGTCAGCGTCGATCCAAAGGTGGAAAATAAACTCCACCTCCTGATGAGGGTCGCTTTGAAGAATTTATGACCATTTGTAATTGGCCATAACCAGGAAGCTGAGGACCTCTGAACCCGGAGTAATCTGGCTGGAATTGACACAGACTTGCTCACCGCCCTCAGGGGACACTGGGTTCAGGCTGTGGCTGATGTCACCACCCACAGCAAGCATTTGAACCACTCCTGCCTTACTGAGAGCCCTGTTCCAGGCTCAAAGCCCCGCGAGGCCACTTGAGAGCAGCGACCTGGGCCTTGCAGGTCACATGGAGGCAGGCTTCACAAAGGCAGAAGGAGATTCCACGCATTGAGGGACAGCTCAGTTCATTCCGGGCATCCGGAGAGTGGACTATTGTAGAGCTACTCAGAAGGATTTTGTGGCCCCCATATGTACTGACATAAAGGATCTTCATGATACAACATCAAGTGTTTTTTTGTCGTTGTTGTTTTTTGTTTTAAGATGGAGTCTCGCTCTGTCGCCCAGGCCAGAGTGCAGTGGTGCGATCTTGACTCACTGCAACCTCCGCCTCCCGGGTTGAAGCAATTCTCCCACCTCAGCCTCTCAAGTAGCTGAGATTACAGGCACCCGCCACCACGCCCGGCTAATTTTTGTATTTTTAGTAGAGAATGGTTTCACCATGTTGGCTAGTAGTCTGGTCTCAAACTCCTGACCTCAAGCCATACGCCCGCTTCAGCCTCCCAAAGTGCTGGATTACAGGTGTGAGCCACTGTGCCTGGCCCAAGTTTTTCAAAAGAGCAACGTGCAGAACAATCCTGTATAGAACATTCACTGGTTGTCTGTTGAGTCTCCATTCCCCACTCTTCCTCATTCCCCAGATGACCTATATGTTCCTTCAGGGAACCATCCCACTGGGCAGCAGCCTGGGGCGATCTGAGGGAGGGACTATGGGAAATTCCATCCTCTTTGCTGTGGGAATTGGTTTGGGATGGATTTGGCTAGGAGGGAGAAGAGCATGTGACCTGTGTTAGCACCTTTGTTGGGGAGGGGATTCATGGATGACTCTTTTTTTTTTTTTTAAGGCTGAGTTTCACTCTTGTTGCCCAGGCTGGAGTGCAATGGCATCATGATCTCGGCTCACTGCAACGTCTGTCTCCCGGGTTCCAGCGATTCTCCTGCCTCAGCCTCCCAAGTAGCTGGGATTATAGGCATGCACCACCATGCCTGGCTAATTTTTGCATTTTTAGTAGAGATGGGGTTTCTCCATGTTGATCAGGCTGGTCTCGAACTCCCAACCTCAGGTGGTCCACCCGCCTCGGCCTCCCAAAGTGCTGGGATTACAGGCATGAGCCACTGCGCCTGGCTGCAGTGAACTATTTCTTAACAGCAGCCTCCTGGCTGTTGAGGCATTCACACCCCAGGTTCTAGCCACACCCTTGCACAAATACACTCATGAACTCCCTGAAAAGGCTGGGCTTCCTCGTGCCCCACTCGTGTGGCCCATGGAGGTGGCTGGGCCTGAGTGAGAGCTGGACAGAAATGGTTTGATGTGGCAGCAGCTGGGCTTCTGAAAGAATGTCACTGGGGTGAAGCCAGGAGCTCGAAGCCAAGCCTGTGGCAGTTGCAAAATGCAGAGGAAGAATGCAGGCCTGTCTTCCACACCTCCCTCCTGCTTACGCTAGCGCTCCAAGTGTTACATGTGTGTTCTGTCTGCACATATGCACACACCATATGTGTGCATTCACCCATGTGCATTCAAAAGCCCAATTCAGGAGATTCTCACAGAGACTCCTCCAGGCCAAGCTCAGGGGCACCAGGGAGAGGACTGGGGGCTCTGTTTGCAAGGGGCTCAGTCAGGGCTGTGAGAGAATAAGAAATATATATTCTTATTCAAAATATTCTTATTCAAAAAATATATTTTTTTGTGGGTTTTTTTTTTTTTTTTTTTTTTTTTTTTGAGACAGAGTCTTACTGTGTCACCCAGGCTGGAGTGCAGTGGCACAATTTTGGGTCACTGGAACCTCCGCCTCCCAGGTTCAAGTGATTCCCCTGCCTCAGCCTCCCGAGTAGCACTCACCACCACACCCAGCTAATTTTTGTATTTTTAGTACAGATGGGGTTTCACCATGTTGGCCAGGCTGGTCTCGAACTCCTGATCTCAGGTGATCCATCCACCTCAGCCTCCCAAAGTGCTGGGATTACAGGCATGAGCCACTGTGCCTGGCAAGAAATATATATTCTATTTGGTCTTTGTTCCCGGTTCCTGGGTTCCCAGCACAGAGCTCCTAAAACCCTTGAAATTTTCTGAGAGAGGTGAGAGAAGCACCTTTTGTTACTTATAAGGAACCCCTTTCCACCATCCTACTTATGCTAATGAGGTGACTCGGTGGTCCCTAGCTAGTCTCAAAATGGAGGCTGCTGCCCCAGGAACCAACCATGGGATTAGTGGGTTGAAATTTTCAGCCCCACCCCGACTTCCAGGAAGGCGGAAGGGCCAGGGATTGAGTCAATTACCAATTGTCGATGATTTCATCAATCATGCTCACATAGTGGAACTTCCATCAAAGCTTGAAGAGAAAGGGTTCAGAGAACTTCAGGGTAATGAACGAACCCATGAGCCGGGAGGCTGGCATAACGCGTACTCCAGGGGGACAGAAGCGCCTGCCCTGGATTCTGGACCTTGGTCTCTATGTGTCTCCTTCTGGCATCCTTTATCATCAACCTGAGGCCCTAAGGAAAGTTCTGTGAGCCCTTCCATAGCAAATCGCCAAACCTGAGGAGGAGGCTGTGGGAGCCACCAATAGCGAATCATCGGCCAGGAGTGGTGGCTCACGCCTGTAATCCCAGCACTGTGGGAGGCCAAGGCGGGCGGATCACTTGAGGTCAGGAGTTCAAGACCAGCCTGGCCAACATGGTGAAACCCTGTCTCTACAAAAACACAAAAATTAGCTGGACAACATGACTGTAGTCCCAGCTACTCAGGAGGCTGAGGCAGGAGAATTGCTTGAACCCAGGAGGCGGAGGTTCCAGTGAGCCGAGATCACGCCACTGCACTCCAGCCTGGGTGACAGAGTGAGACTCCGTCTCAAAAAAAAAAAAAAAAAAAAAAAAAGGAAAAGCAAATCACCAAACCTGAGGAGGGGGTCATGGGAGCCCCCAATAGCAAATCACCAAACCCAAGAAGAGGGTCATGGAAGCCTCCAATTTGTAGCCAAGTTGGACTGAAACGTGGGCAACCTGAGGACCCTCTGCTTATGTTCGGGGTCTGATGTGGCGGGCAGTCTTGAGCTCCTAACCTGTGGGGTCTGCGCTAACTCCGGATAGTATCAGGATTAAACGAACTCACGCCTATAATCCTAACACTGTGGGAAACCAAGGCAGGAGAATATCTTGAGCCCAGGAGCTCGAGACCAGCCTGGGCAACATAGTGAGACCCCCATCTGTACAAAAATTAAAAAATAGCGGGGTGTGGTGGCAGGAGGTGGGAGGATTGCATAGCTGTAGTGAGCTAGGATCGGACCACTGCGCTCCAGCCTGGGCGAAGAGTGAGACACTGTCACAGGGGAAAACAAAAACAAAAACTGGAGAACTACTCGGTATGGGGGAGGAAGGCCCACACGTTGAGTGTCAGAAGTAGAGACAGTTTTCATTTAGAGTCTAATGGGAGGAGAGGAGATAAACAGACCACAGCAGAGATGGAGAGAAAGATACAACTGCCAGGAGGGAGGGAAGGTGAGTTGGAGCCTGGCTGGAGGGGTGCGCCAGGGTATTGACCCAAAGACAAAAGGAGGGCGGTGTTCATAGATGGTCTGGGGAGAATCCAACATTCCAAGCAGTGGGAGTGGGGTCTCAGGAGGGCCAGGTCAGCCCATCCCAAGGGCTGGACTCTGGGCCATCACTGCACTGCCCAGAGTCAGGTGGGGTGAGTAGGGGCCTGAGTCATGCTGCCCGGCCCTGCTTCCTTATCAGAACTAGCTTAAGTCGGGGCAGCCGGGAGCCAGCCTGCAAATCTCTGCTTCACCCAAGCTTGCCAGTGTCTCTGACCCCCTCAATCCCCCTGAAGCAGGACCCAGTCTCCGGCCTTTCCAGCCCACCTCAGATCCTGGGGGCTACATGATGTCCAGACCTGACTCCTGGGAAGGGACAGGAATGCGAGGCTTGGTATTAGTTTCCTGGGTCTGCCTAAAGGACAGACATTTCCTGGGTGGCTTAAAACAACAGAAATTTTCTTTTCACAGCTCTGGAGACCAGAAGTCTGAGGTCAAGGGGTCTACAGGGCTGGTTCCTTCTGGGGGCTCTAAGGGAGACTCTGTCCCTGCCCTATCTCCCAGCTTGGGAACTCCCAGACGGGCTTTCGCCATGTTGGCCAGGCTGGTCTCGAACTCCTGACCTCAAGTGATCTGCCTGCCTCAGCCTCCCAAAGTACTAGGATTACAGGCATCTGCCACCACGCCTGGCTAATTTTTATTTTTATTTTTATTTTATTTTATTATGTATTTATTTATTTATTTATTTATTTTTTGAGACGGAGTTTTGCTCTTGTTGCCCAGGCTGGAGTGCAATGGCGCGATCTTGGCTCACCGCAAACTCCGCCTCCCAGGTTCAAGCGATTCTCCTGCCTCAGCCTCCCGAGTAGCTGAGATTACAGGCATGCACCACCAGGCCTGGCTAATTTTGTATTTTTAGTAGAGATGGGGTTTCTCCATGTTGAGGCTGGTCTCAGACTCCTGACCTCAGGTGATCCGCCCGCCTCAGCCTCCCAAAGTGCTGGGATTATAGGCGTGAGCCACTGCACCTGGCCAATTTTTATATGTTTAGTAGAGACAGGGTTTCGCCATGTCAGCCAGGCTGGTCTCGAACTCCAGACCTCAGGTGATCCCCCTGCCTTGGCCTCCCAAAGTACTAGGATTACAGGCGTGGGCCACCACACCTGGCCAAGAGCCTTGATTGTATCTGCGAAGACCCTATATCCAAAAAAAGTCACAGCCACAGGTACTGGTGGTCAGGACGCAGATGTATCTTTCTGGGGGACGGAATTCAGCCCACAGGAGGCTGCTCAGGGTTCCGGGAGTGCAAGCTGTTTTGCCATCACGTGCATTCTCTAATTCGAATCCTGCTGGCATTCAGGTGGATGCTGGGCATGGGATGGAGTCCTGGCTCCCAGGGGGACCTTCCCACACCCCCATCCTCCCATTGCAAGCCTCCTGGATGTCAGAGCCCATGGGGGCCTCCTGGGCTTCTTCTCTCACATGAACGTGCTGAGAGCTCTCAAGCCCCCCTGCCGCATGTGGAGCGGATGTTCAGAATCTGAACGTCTCGAGCTGTTTCCCGGGAGACGGCTCACTTTGAGATCCAGGCTCTTCGACATAACTTTGGCAAACCTCCACGTTTGGTGAGTCCCTTGGCCGCAGTCACCTCCTTGCATGGAGGACCAGCGCCAACCTCCGTGGGAGGTATCAGGAAGTGGCTGCAAATTTGACCTTAGAAATAGACAGCAAATTCAGTCAATTTGAGGATGCTGGTGGTGAGATTGGTGAGAGAGGATTTGAGTGAGTCATTGATCACAGCATCTTAAAAAGATCCAAGAGGCCGCATCAAAGAAACTGTGGAAAAGACAGATTTTAGCTTAATATAAGGAGGTGTTTTCTAACAGAGTGGGACAGAGATGAGACGGCTGGCGTTGGATGGGGCCCGTCCTGGAGGGCCCCCTGGCACTTTAATAAGGAGGTAGCAGCTCCTAAGACTGGGGCTTGGGACCCGAGGTCCAGTCCTTAGTTCCAGAGCTGAGTCCCTTCTCCCCCGCCCCGAGGCTCTTCTCTCTAAAACGGGGAGCCCTGATGACTTCTAAGCTCCTCTCCATCTCTCAACTCCCCCACCCTTAACCCAAAGCAGCTGGCCCCCCTAAGGTGGGATTTTGACTTGGGGACAGGCCAAGAGACAGTGTTTTGCTGCCTCGCTCACTCCCAGCATCCAGGCGACATCCCTCAGGCATCATCTGTTCAAGGAGCCCACCTGGGCTCCAGGTTCCAGGCCAGGCTTCTCAAGGAGCCAGCGCTTTCTAAATGCAGACCTGCTTTTGGGATTTTAGCAAATCAACACCCAGTTTTTTCCATCAGGTGAGTCATTCCACCACCCCAGGGCAGAGTCAGAGGTGGGGGAAGTGAAGACGAAGTCCTTGGCGCTTTAGCCTCAGGTCCCCAAACCTTCTCCCGGGCCCCATCTCCAGGCCGCCTTGTAAAATCCAGTTTCTGCCATTCCTGCGAAGTCAGTTTAGCAAGAAGCCCCCATCCTCCACCGTCCCTCAGGCGATGTCTGGTCACCCCGGCCTGCCTTCAGCAAGAATCCTGTTAGGTGGGTTTAGCCGGAATCCCCCTGACCCCCTGCTTCCTCTTAGTAATTCCCCCCGCTCTGACCCCCACCCTGCTCCCTGGCTAGAAATTCACTTGGCCGTGCTGCATCTGAGTTGACCCTGACCTCTGCCCATGGCAGGTTCCCCCTGCATGGTCCCTGCGCCTATCGAGACGGCCCTGAGTCGAGTCAGCCTCACTGACCTCACACAAGTGTCACTGAATCGTTTTCTTTAACATGACCGACAGAAAACCATCCTGGGCAAACTGGGAGGGTTGGCTACCCCACGTAAGGGACCGACAGCAGCCCCTGGTGGTCCCTTCACAAAGAAAGATGCTTCCCCATCCCTATCACCCAGCCCCAGAAATCCTGGCTCTGGGCGTCGGAAGTTCTTTTCAGCCAGGCACTGTGGGAGGCCATAGATCGCTTGAGCCCAGGAGTTCAAGACCCACCTGGGCAATGTGGTGAAACCGCACCTCTACAAAAAATACGAAGATTAGCCAGGCATGATGTTGTGCACCTGTAGTCCCAGCTACTCAGGAGGCTGAGGCAGGAGGATCGCCTGAGCCCAGGGAGGTTGAGGCTGCAGTGAGCTGAGACGGCACCACTGCACCCCAGCCTGGGGACAGAGCAAGACCTTGTCTCCAAAAAAAAAAAAAAAAATCATTCTTGTAATGCACTCATGACTTCTTTTTCTGGAACATTCTTTTGTTTTGTTTTTGAGACGGAGTCTTGCTCTGTTGCCCAGGCTGGAGTGCAATGGCTCGATCTCGCTCGATCTCAGCTCACTGCAACCTCTGCCTCCCAGGTTCAAGCGATTCTCCTGCCTCAGCCTCTTGAGTAGCTGGGATTACAGGTGCCCACCACCATGCCTGGCTAATTTTTGTATTTTTAGTAGAGACGGGGTTTCACCACGTTGGCCAGGACGGAACATTCTTTTTCTTCTTTACCAGGTTAATTCCTATGTGTGTTTCTGGGGATCTCTCAACCTTTGGGTACCCTCAGTCACTGGGATCTTGCTAAACAGGGGCCTGCACTTCTGCAGTTCTAATCGGCTCCCGGCAATGCCCACGCTGCTGGTCCTCTGGCACACTCTGGGGACCAGGGGCTTAGCCTTCACGACCTCTGAGAGTGCCTCTCGGGCATCCGAGTCTCAGCCCCACCCTGTGACCGAAGCACACTCTGTGTCCCTCACGGCCCTTCCACAGGGTGTGGCAGATCCCTGCCGGTGTCTCCGTCACTGCCAGGCTGAATTCGTCTTTCCCGGGAAAGCCCGGCACCAGGTGGGAACGTGGGTAGCCCTCAAGTCTTTGCTGAATGAATGAAGGAACCCCTGCCTTCACACAAAAGGTCAGTATAGACCTATGTCCACCTTCACTACATCTACACCCCAGGAGGAAACCCCCAAAATTCAGAACATGAATCCTAGTTGAGTCACAAGTGGAGGAAATGACGAAGGTGACAGATGCAGGAGCAGCTCTGCTCACCATCAGAGCAGATGGAACCTGTACTTCTCAAAGTGGGGTTCCACTCAGCAGCATCCCGGTGCCTAGGAAACCCGTCAGCAACGCGGATTCTTCGGGAACACCCCGGTCCGACTGAACCGGAGACCAGGGAATCGGGGTGAGTTTGCGCCTGTGACTTCAGAGCCCTCCTGGAATTCTGGCGCCACATGAGTGTAAAATCCACTGGGTCTGGGCCAGTGATTCACCTCTGGAGCTGTGTATTGGAATCTCCTGGGAGCTTGGAACGCTGGGGACGCCTTTGCCCCACCGTACCCTTCTGATGGGGTGCGCTCTATTTGGGCTGTCTCCCTGCCCCCGTCCCCTTCTCAACAGAATGGAGGACAAAGTGGGGAGCTGGACATGGAAGTTGGGGAGCCAGCTGGGTGTCTGAGGTCAGGACAGCTCAGCTCCAGGGAGGCTGTCAGAGGTGGAAAGGGTGGGCGGATGGCTTCTCCGGGAGGGGCTGCTCTCTTGCCCCCAGCAGAAGCTGCATGCAGGGAGGGCTGGGCAGGGGAACTC
The DNA here is from genome assembly GCF_000001405.40 of Homo sapiens. NCBI lineage: Eukaryota > Metazoa > Chordata > Mammalia > Primates > Hominidae > Homo > Homo sapiens. The sequence goes on along the minus strand of NC_000017.11, from coordinate 78,954,317 downwards.
TACCAGCCAGCAGAGCCTTATTCTTCTGCGTGTTTGTAATTTGCTGAGCAGCTGGTCCCCATTAGACAGCCTCAAACCCTTTTTAAGGAGCCTCGTGGAAGCGGCTTTTTGCTTCAGTCACAGCAGACCCCGTGCGGGGATGGGTAGCACAGGAGTAGCGTTGCCGTGGCAACGCAAAGACTTGGGGGCTGGCTAGCGATGGTAACCAGGGCTGCTTTTGACCTTCACCGTCTCCTGGGGCTGCTGGCTTTCTCCTCTCCCGCATTCACTGGGGCCGTTTCCAAGCCTGCAACGAGACTAGAGCTCAGGGGAGGCCTCAGCGACCCCGTCCCTCCCACCCACTCATCCTAGAGGGCAGCTGCCCTAAGACAGTTTTCTCCAGGAGGCTCAAAGGAGTCCTGTGTCCATTTTAAAGCCCCCAACCCAAAGCTGAGGCCCTGCTTGCCCTGGTCTTACCCCGCAGCCCAAGACCACGCCTGCCTCTCACTCTGCAACTACAGCCCAACGAGCAACGTGACCTCTGGGTTCCAGATGGATCCGTTGCAAAAGGTGGTGAGATGCTGCTCCGAGTCACAAGTCCAGGCTGGCCGCCTGCCTCTTGGCTGTGTGATCTTAGGCAGGAGGCCTCCCCTCTCTGAAGCTCAGCTCTGGTCTCTGTAATATGGGCTGCTGACCTCTTCAAGGGTGTTGTAAATACTGAATGAAAGGCATCTGGAGTCTTTGACAGTGACTGTTTTTGCGATCAAGATGGTGGGGATGTTTACGCGTCTTTTCTTTTTGTTTTTTGTTGTTGTTGTTGTTTAGGCAGAGTCTCACTCTGTTGCCCAGGCTGGAGTGCAGTGGCATGACCTTGACTCACTGCAGCCTCCGCCTCCCGGGTTGAAGTGATTCTCCTGCTTCTGCCTCCTGAGTAGCTGGGATTACAGGCATGTACCACCACGCCCGGCTAATGTTTTATATTTTTAGTAGAGACAAGGTTTCACCGTGTTGGCCAGGCTGGTCTCGAGCTCCTGACCTCAGGTGATCCTCCCGCCTCGGCCTCCCAAAGTGCTGGGATTACAGGCATGAGCCAGCACATCTGGCTGGCATCTTTTCTTGTCATTACCTGATGTTCATGGAGGACCGGCTCCAAGCTAACTCCTGCAGGAATCTTTCCTCTTTTGGAGCCCTAGGTTAGGAATTTTGGTGCTGTCCCAGGCCTGGTGACAAGCTCTCTCTCACCCCCATCTGATTACGGGCAGTGCTCCATGTTTGGGGTTCAGGCTTTGCCACAATCCGAAGGCTGTGCCTTCGCTGGGGCTCAGGAAGAGGAGAGCAGAGGAGCTGGACCCCACTGGCACCGAGCCCACCGAGGCCTGGGTGGCTGATCTGCCCTCCTCCATGGTCTCAGCCTGGGGAACCACTCGCAGGGCTCACCACTGACCACATGATGGGCCAAGCCAGCTCCTCCCGCCCTGCTGGACCAGCAGCTCCCTTTGGGCTCGGGGGTGGGGAGTCCGTGGGACACGTCCATAGCCTGCCTGGTGTCTTATGAGTTCAGAGAATTTCTTCAAATGCTTAAAACCTTCAGCTCCCTTAAAAAGGGTTTTCTGCATTTCAGCACAGTTTGGTACTTCTGGGGCTGTGGGTTCCCCAAACCCTGGGGTTCCTGTGTTTATTCACCCGATCAGAGAGGAGGCCTGGCCAGGAAGACCTTGGTAGGAGGGGTCCTCAAAAAGTGGGTCTCAGGAACTTGCCCTGAGCTTCCCCACGGTGGGGGTGAATGCCCTCCCAGCCATGGAAGAAAAGGAGGCCAGTTAGGCGGGCCACCCTGGACAGTCAGGGGGACCTGGGCCCCAGGGGCTGGCCACTGAGGGAGTCATCCAGACTGCTGGCCGTGGCTGTCCAAATTCCGCCCCCGTCGCCTACAGAAGGGGGTTTCCCTACAGACACCAGGGCCTGGAGGGGACTCCCAGGAAGCATCCAGAGAGAAGAGGGTCCCCCAGGCCCAGGAGAAGAGAAACCAGCCTCGGCCCTTTAAGAATCTGTGTTGCCAGCAGAGAGCGAAGGCAAGGCAGGCCCTTGGGTAAACATCTGAGGGCCTGCAGTAACAACTCCCAGCTGTGTGGGGTGCTGGGGGCGGGGTCCTGAGCCGGTCCTAGCTCAGCTGAGGTCAGCTGGGTGGGGATCGACCGAGCACAAATGTAGGGGTGGGCAGCAGCTGAAAGGGGAGAGCCACTTGGGTCTGGAAGCTTCTACTTCCTTTAGAGCCTTTTCCAAAATCCTCCTGGGAGATCTCTGGTCGATCCTCACAGTCAGGCAGTGAGGACAAAGGGAGAGAGAGGCTTCCTCTCTAGGAAGGGAGGAGAGGGAGGGGGTTGGTGGAGTTTCCTTTGCTATTCCCCAGTTGCTCAGGGCTTGTTCATCTCTCCGTGGAGCACAGGTGGTGTCTGGTGTGTCCTTCTGTCATGCACAGCCCTGCACTGTCACTCCGCAATGCCAGCCTCCGGCTCCATGAGCTTGACCCTGACCCCCACCTTCTCCTGCCTAGAAGTTTTGCTGCAGGCTCCTGGCTGGTCTTCCTGTCTCCCAGCCCTCTCCAGGACAGCCCTGTGGAGACACCATAGCTATTGTTCTAAAGCATCTCATCGAGACATTTCCCTCTGCTTAAACCCAGCTGATGATTCCCTGTTAGGGATAGATGGTATATTAGGATGGTTTGGGCTATAAGTAACAAATATGATTGAGAAATGCTTACCCTTTGGAGGTAGTGTTTTCACTCATATTAACTAGAAAGTATACCAACCGGGTGGACTTCATGGCTGATGGAGCCCAGCAGTTCAACCATGTCCAGATTCAGGTCTTCCTCTCTCTTATGCCTTCTGTAGCAGCAACTCATTCACATACTAGTTTCCATCATAGTGGCAAAGTGGTTGCAGTGGCTCCAGGCTCTATACCACAACATTTAAAAGGCAGGAGTGGCATGAGCCTGTAGTCCCAACTACTCAAGAGGTGGAGACAGGAGGATTGTGTGAGCCCAGGAGTCTGAGGTTGCAGTGAGCTATGATCACACCACTGCACTCCAGCCAGGTTGATAGAGTGGGACCCTAAAAAGGTAAAAGGCAGGAGTGAGCCTCTTTTCCAGAACTTCCATTTTGGCCATCTATTTGTATATAACAAGTTACCCCAAAACTTAGAGGCTAAGAAGGATCTTTCATTTTGCTCATAATCTGCAATTTGGACAGGGCTCAGCAAGGGTGGCTCATCTCTTCCACATGGCATCAGCTGGGACAGCTCACCTGGGAATTGGAGGATCCATTTCAAGATGGCTCACCTACGTGGCTGAAAAATGGTGCTGGCTGTTGTCTGGGAACTCAACAAGGGCTGTGAAATGGGGGCCTCGGCTGCTCTCATAGAGGGCTGCATAGGCTTCCTCACAGCATGGTGGCTGGGTTAGAGAACAAGTCAGATGTACATGGCATTTTATAACCCAGCCTTGGAAGCCACACAGCACCACTTGTGATAGACTGGTGGTCAAGGCAGTCACAAAGGCCTGCCTGGATTCAAGGGGTAGGGCTGCATATCCCACCGCTCTTGGGAAGAGTGTCAAGGTCGCATTGAGTGTGAGTAGCGTGGAAGCTGCTATGTCCATCTCGAAAAATGCCTTCTGCCACAGTCTCCCAGATGTCTTCTCCATTCTCACCAAGCCTCTTTGGGCCATTTATCCAGCACTAGGCCAATAACCAAGACCAGCAGATAGGACATGTGTCACTGATGGAGCTGGGGTAGATTCAGCTCTCCCCAGAGTGTCTAGGGGAGGTGTGGATTCCAAACAAAACCAGCAGGGTCCCCCAGAGAAAGGAGAGGAACAGCTCTCCTTTCCTCTCCTGTAGAGGACCCTGATGCAATCACGGGCCCTCTACAGCCAACATTCATACAGTGCTCACTACACCATGGGGGCCGTGCTAAGTGCTTAATATTCGTTCACCCAATTCTCACCACAACTCAGTGAGACTGGAGTGATCTTTCTTCCCATTTTATAGAAACTGAGGTTTGTAACTTGCCCAAGGTCACAGGCCAGAAAACAATGGAGACTAAGTTAAAGGTCAGATCTATATGATTCTGAGCCTATACTATTAACCACTTCATAGCAAAGTTCAAGACTTCCGGTCTGTGGCACAACTTGAATGTGGAAGTGTGTTGTACTGGCAGCCATTTTGTGACCATGAGGTGATCCACTCTGAGCAAGAAGCAGATGCTCAGAAGAGGGAAGAGCTTTGTTCCATGTCCACAGCTCCCTCCCTGGGGACTCTTCAGTTAAGTGAGCAAGCAAATCTACTTCACTGTCTAAGACTGTGTGAGTTTGGTACATAGTTGCTTATAATTGAGAGTATCTTTTTTTTTTTTTTAGATGGAGTCTCACCCTGTCGCCAGGCTGGAGTGCAGTGGTGTGATCTCGGCTCATTGCAACCTCCGCCTCCCAGGTTCAAGTGATTCTCATGCCTCAGCCTCCCAAGTAGCTGGGACTACAGACACCTGCCATCACGCCCATGTATTTTTGTATTTTTAGTAGAGATGGGGTTTCACCATGTTGGCCAGGATGGTCTCCATCTCTTCACCTCATGATCTGCCTGCCTCAGCCTCCCAAAGTGCTGGGATTACAGGCGTGAGCCATCGCGCCCGGCCAATTGAGAGGGTCTTAACCAAGGCCATTGCATCCCTACCTAGTGGACACAGCATGTATTCATATGCAACCAAAACAGGTGCCATCTGTATTCCATGTGATAGACGTTGATTTTGTGTATGTGTGATGGGGGGTTGTTTGGTTTTTGAGACAGGGTCTCTCTCACCAAGGCAGGAGTGCAGTGATGGGATCTTAGCTCACTGCAGCCTCGACTTTCCAGGCTCAAGCAATCCTCCTAACTCAGCCTCCAGAGTACCTGGGACTACAGGCGCATGCCACCATGTCTGGCTAATTTTTTTAATTTTTGTAGAGAAAGAATCTCATCATATTGCCCAGGCAGGTCTCAAACTCCTGGGCTGAAGCGATCCTCCCACCTCAGCCTCTCAAAGTGCTAGGATTAAGGCATGAGATGTATTTTCTCCATCTAATAAGTATTTCTTTTATAACCATTAAGAGTCATGACCCACTGTTTGAAAAACACTGTTCTTTTGTCTTGAGACAGAATTTCTGTTGTCCAGGCTGGAGTGAAGTGCCATAATCTTAGCTCACTGCAGCCTCAACCTTTCAGGCTCAAGTGATCCTCCCACCTGTCTCTATAGAAAAGTTTTTTTTAAAAAAATCATACTTGGAGAGAAAATAAATGAAGACAAGTATAGCTATTCAGCTAGAATTTTTAGGTGCTTATGTTACAAAACATGTTTCTCTGCTTCTGAATATGGCAAGGTTCATTAAGTTGTTTTATTTATTTATTTTTTTTTTTTTTGAGATGGAGTCTTGCTCTGTCACCTAGGCTGGAGTGCAGTGGCGTGATCTCAGCTTACTGCAAGCTCCGCCTCCCAGGTTCATGCCAGTCTTCTGCCTCAGGCTCCCGAGTAGCTGGGACTACAGGCGCCCGCCACCACGCCTGGCTAATTTTTTGTATTTTTAGTAGAGATGGGGTTTCACCATGTTAGCCAGGATGATCTCGATCTCCTGACCTTGTGATCCGCCCGCCTCAGCCCCCAAAAGTGCTGGGATTACAGGCGTGAGCCACTGCGCCCAGCCATTTTTTGTTTTTGTTTTTTTTGTTTTTTTTTTAAGAGACAGGGTCCTGCTCTGTTGCCCCGGCTGGAGTGTGGTGGCATGATCATAGCTCAGTGCAGCCTTGTGATCCTCCCACCCCAACTTCCCGAGTAGCTGGGACTACAAGTACCACCATGCCTGGCTAGTTATTTTATTTTTTTTGTAGAGATAGGGTCTTGCTGTATTGCCCAAGCTGGTCTCAAACTCCTGGCCTCGAGCGATCCTCTGGCCTCAGCCTCTCAAAGTGCTAGGATTACAGGCATGTGCTACCATGCCCAGCCATTCACTTGTTTTCTTTTTTCTCTCTCTTTTTTTTTTTTTTTTTGAGACAGAGTCTACTCTGTCACCCAGGCTGGAGTATGGAGGCACAATCACAGCTCACTGCAGCCTCAACCTCCCAGGCTCAGGTGATCCTCCCACCTCGGCCTCCTGAGTAGCTGTGACTACAGGTGCACACCACCACATCCAGATAATGTTTGTATCCAGATAATGTTTGTATTTTCTGTAGAGATGGGGTTTCGTTATGTTTCCCAGGCTGGTCTTGAACTCCTAGCCTCAGGTGATCTGCCCGCCTCCACCTCCCAAAGTGTTGGGATTACAGGCATGAGTCACTATGCCCAGTCACTTGTTTTCAAAACCCAGATGCCACCCCCACGTTGTGACTGAGTCCTCTAAGATGTGGACTTGTGAAAGGTGGGAAGAGGGGCCGGGGCCACCCTGCCCCGCCAGCCTGGTGCTTAGAGCCTCTTCAGGCCTCCCACAGCCCAGAGGAGGCAATTTGGTTGGCACCAGGGAGCCACTGCTTTCCCAGGCCATCGGCAGAAATGGGCAATAGAAAGACTCTCTAGGACCTGTGTGGGACATGGGGGCAGGGCAGGAAGGAGCGGCGCCTCAGTGCTTTTATGTTATCAGCACATTCACGGCCATGAACCCAGCCTTGTTACAGTAAAACACTGCAGCCCAAGACACAGCCATTCTTGTTTTCTTTGCTCAAGGTTAACTTTGACAAGCCTGATTTCCTCCTACATACCCAGCCCCGTCCCGCAGCTTTGGCACATAAAGCTTTGCTGAGCATGGTCAAGAAAGCCTCCAAGAATAACAGTGTCCTGAGAGCATCTCTAGAAAAGGTGCGGCCTCTGGGAAAGCTGTGCCCAGCAGCGCAGCCTCCTGCCTCCCCTCCTCCCCACTCTGCCCTCGGCCGCAGGCCCTACCCTCCTCAGTGTATGAGTGCTCAGGGCCTGTCCCCTGAGCACTTCCTTCAGAACCAGCTGGCTGGAGCCGAGTCCAAAGCCGGTCCCAGAAGGGTGGCAGGCCATCTTTACCTGTCCACGAGAAATGGGCAAACTAAGGAAAAGGTCATCACAGCCTTTTTGCAGAAAACAAAATTTCTTCAGTGGGTGGAAATGCCTCGTGATCTGACACTGTCTCTCTGTCTGGTTTGCAAATAAAACTCCAACTCAATGGACTTAAGTAAGACAGATTTTTTTTTTTTTTGAGATGGAGTCTTGCTCTGTCACCCAGGCTGGAGTGCAGTGGCGCGATCTCAGCTCACTGCAACATCTGCCTCCCAGGTTCAAGCAATTCTCCTGCCTCAGCCTCCCGAGAAGCTGAGATTACAGGCGCCTGCCACCACGCCCAACTAATTTTTGTGTTCTTAGTAGAGATGGGGTTTTGCCATGTTGCCCAGGCTGCAAGCCGCTCCTTCTCCTTCTACTTCTCTGTGCTCTGTGGCGAGGAGGGCTCAACCATGCAAGACAAACTTGAACATGAGGAAGGGCTGCCACCCATAGGGGAGGTGACAGGGTCCGCATGCCCCACGCCCAGGGCAGAAGAGGAAGGAGGAAGGCAGACCCTGGGCTGGGAGCTCCCTCCACTGCTTCCCTCCTTTTTTTTTGTTTTTGTTTTTGAGCCAGAGTCTTACTCTGTCGCCCAGGCTGCCAGGCTGGAGTGCAGTGGTGCAATCTTGGCTCACTGCAACCTCTGCCTCCCGGGTTCAAGCAATTCTCATAAGGGCATGCACCACCATGCCCAGCTAATATTTTGTACTTTAGTAGAGATGGGTTTCACCATGTTGGCCAGTCTGGTCTGGAACTCCTGAGCTCAGGTGACCCACCTGCCTAGGCTTCCCAAAGTGCTGGGATGACAGGTGTGAGCCACCGTGCCTGGCCAACACAGATGTTTTTAAAATCTCACCCAACAGGAAGCCCAGAGTTAAGTGTGTTCATCTGAGACTCAGTGTGATGACACGGCCGTTGGAGAGATGACTGCCATTCCCTTGCCCGCTGCCTGCTGCTAGAATCCACGTCATCAGACGTCTTCCTGTTATCCCAACTGCGGATGCAGGGAAAACCTTCCCATCTTGTCTGTCCTTTAGTTATATTTGGGGTTGGTTCTTCAGGAGATGGGAATGAGATTATTGGATCAAATCTAGAAATTGCTCAAGATATTGATGACTTAGACACCTAGTAACTTTTTCCCTAAGACAGTCACCCTGATACAGATAAATACAGACAAACTGTTGGCAAGAAATTAAGTTTGGCCAGGCAGGGTGGTTCATACCTGTAACCTCAGCATTTTGGGAGACTGAGGCAGATGGATTGCTTGAGGTCAGGAGTTTGAGACCAGCCTGGCCAACATGGTGAAACTCTACTAAAAATACAAATAATTGGCTGGGCATGGTGGCTCACGCCTGTAATCTCAGCACTTTGGGAGGCCGAGGCAGGTGGATCACCTGAGGTCGAGAGTTCAAGACCAGCCTGACAAACATGAAGAAACCCTGTCTCTGCTAAAAAAAAAAAAAAAAAAAAAAAATACAAAATTAGCCAGGCGTGGTGGCACATGCCTGTAAACCTAGCTACTTGGGAGGCTGAGGCAGGTGAATCACTTGAACCCAGGAGGTGGAGGTTGCGGTGAGCTGAGATCACGCTATTGCATTCCAGAGCCTGGGCAATAAAAGCGAAACTCCGTCTCAAAAAAAAAAACAAAAGTTAGCCAGGCATGGTGGCGCATGCCTGTAATTCCAGCTACTTGGGAGGCTGAGGCACAAGAATCGCTTGAACCCGGGAGGTGGAAGTTGCAGTGAGCCAAGATCGCACCGCTGCACTCCAGCCTGGGTGACAGAGCGAGACTCCATCTCAAAAAAAAGAAAAGAAAGTTTAACCAAACTAAGCAGAGACTGTGTTTTCTAGATAAATAGAATTGTTTTTTCCAAAAAATGACCAGACGGGGTTTTGGCAAATTGGGATGTGTGTTTGGGGTGATCTGGCCTAACAGAAGCCTGGCAGAGCGAATGCCCAGTGCTCAAAGTCAGGAAAGCAGCTGCTTTAAAGCAGGGGTGGTGACTGGGAGGGACTCGAGGGAGGTGGTGTCGGGGGGGCCGGTGACGTTCCATTTCTCATTCTGCACAGTCGTCACTGGGGCATGACCACGGTGCAGAGATGCACCAAGCTCTAACCTCAACATTTGTGCGCTTGAAGAAAAACATGGCTCTGGATATCTGTGGAGGCCAGCGGGTGCCTGATGCTCACCCTGAGGGGTGGGTGAGAGATTGTCAGTCTTCCCTCAGGCAGCTGAAGCCAGGACAAGGATGGATGCAAAGCCTGTGGGGCCACCTGTCGAGAGGGAGGGGCCATAAAATTATCACACCTGTCAAGATGCCCCCGCAAAAGGAAATCAGCAGAGGGTTTAGGTCTGAGCTCCAAAGTCGCAAGGCCACCACTTTGATTTGAGCGTGAGCCGTTTGTCTCTCGTGAAGTTCCACACGCAGGAAGGCAAGGGGCGTGGGGTGCCCAGCCTGGTGGGCAGCCCTCCAGAGCAGTGCTGGGAGGCCCAGTGTCTGCCCACACAGATGAGAATGGCTTTGTTGTATGCCCTCTTCTGGGACTTGGGCTGGCCCTGGAATGCTCCCTGAAGTTCACCTGCCCTTTAGAGGTTGTTGCACCTTGCGTGGGACTTGCCACCATCACGCCAACCTTCAGTGGGTGCCTTAGTGCGGCAGAGTCCCCCATGATGTCAGGACTGCCCCTTCCTCAGGCCCCACGCCTCCCCATCAAACACTCCACGATCACAGAGAGCAAAGTGATCACAGTATCTCATGATGTCCGTGAGGATGGAGAAGCTGAGGGAGACCTGGGCCATGGGGCTTGCGAACCAGCCGGCCCCAGCCCTTGCTGTGTGGGGCGGCCCTGGGCAGCTCCCAGCCTGGCTGTGTCTCCCAAGCAGAACCAGGTCTCAGGGAAACGTCAGATTTCAGCAGCACTGGGAGGACAATGCAGACCTGGCTTCGTGTCTTCCGGGCCACCTGCTTTTTTTTTTTTTTTTTTTGAGATGGGGTCTGGCTCTGTTGCCCAGGCTGGAGTGCAGTGACACGATCTTAGCTCACTGCAGCCTTGACCTCCCACCTCAGCCTCCCAAGTAGCTGGGAATACAGGCGAGCACCCACACCTAGCTAATTTTTAAAAGTGATTGTAGAGATAGAGGTCTTGTTATGTTGCCCAGGCTGGGCTTGAACTCCTGGGCCGAAGCAATCCTCCCTCAGTCTCCCAAACCTCAGCCTCCCAAAGTGCTAGGATTACAGGCGTCTAATGAAGGCATTGTTTTCAAAATACGCAGCAAAACGCCCCTATTTCCTCCTTCCTGGATTTTCCTTGCATTAAGCCCATAGCAGCTGCCTCAAGAGTCCCCCCACTCCTGCTGCCAGGGTCCCCGAAACATCACCCCATCCCAACTAATGTGTTTGACTCCTGTCATTTCTCCCCACCCTCTGGTCTTCAGGTGGCTTCGTTTTTGTTCGCTCTTTTGCCAGCAAAGCTCTGCCTTCTCCAGCTCATGTGTGAGAAGCTCTTCTCACCTCCTCTGGTCCCTCCCTCACCCACAACTCCCACTCAGATGCCCAGCACCAGACCAGCAGACCTCACAGCTCTGAGGGCTGGGGTGGGCACCAAGTGGCAGAAAATACTCCCATGCTGGGGAGTGTCTGTCCAAGAGGAGAGGATGGCGATGGGGGAGCTGGTGGTGCCACCGTTGCCACTGCTCTGTTCTGCCTTGTTTCTTACTATCTAGATCACAGTGGATGCGTGTGGTTCGTGTGGGTCCTGGCTCAGAGAGCAGGTGAATGAGAGATTGTTGGCAGAAAGCGTGCAGGGCTGTCAAGGAAAGGAGAGGCCAGCTGCAGAGGGTGGCGTGTGAGCAGGTGGCATGGAGACACTCTCATCCTCCATGGGCACGGGGCCTCTAGAGTTCATCTTCCTGGGAGCCAGTGAGCTGAGGCTTTTTACAGTTTCTCCTGTTCACAGCGTCCTGACAAGGCCATGGAGCGGTCCCTGTCTGTCCTGGCACTCTGAGCTGGACAGAGGTAGAAGTACGAGGCCCAGCCCCCGGCTCCTCTTCTGAGGGGCTCTGGCATCCTCCGGGCCTGCCTTACCCTCCCCGCCCACTTTCCAGGACATGCCCTGCACCATCAGCCTCTTCTTGCCAGCGTCATGCCCTCGAACCACGCTTGGCTCCCCTCAGCCTCAGGCAAGCCCTCCCTGCCACCTAGAAGGTTTCTTTTCTCTGACTTTCTAAACTCAACCCAGCTTTCAAGTCTCAGATTCACATTTCTTTCATCCTTCCTTTAAAAACATAGTTATGCCGGGCGTGGTGACTCACGCCTGTAATCCCAGCACTTTGGGAGGCCGAGGCAGGCAGATCACCTGAGGTCAGGAGCTCAAGACCAGCCTGGCCAACATGATGAAACCCCGTCTCTATTAAAAATACAAGAAATTAGTCAGGCGTGGTGGTGCGCACCTGTAATCCCAGCTACTTGGGAGGCTAAGGCAGGAGAATCACTTGAACCCAGGAGGCGGACGTTGCAGTGAGCTGAGATGGCACCATTGCACCCAAGCTTGGGCAACAAGAGGAAAACTCTGCCTCAAATAAAAAAAAAAAATAATAGTTATGTGAAGATAGAATTCACTTACTGTACAATTCACCCATTTGAAACAGACAGTTCCATGGTTTTCTTTTTCTTTTTCTTTTTTTTTTTTTTTGAGACAGAGTCTCACTCTGTCACCCAGGCTGGAGTGCAGTGGCGCAAGCTCAACTCACTGCAACCTCTGCTGAGTTTCAAGTGGTTCTCCTGCCTCAGCCTCCCGAGTAGTTGGGATTACAGGCACACGTCACCACACCCGGCTAATTTTTGTATTTTTAGTAGAGATGGGGTTTCACCATGTTGACCAGGCTGGTCTCGAACCCCTGACCTCAGGTGATCTGCCTGCCTTGGCCTGCCAAAGTGCTAGGATTACAGGTGTGAGCCACTGCACCCAGCCCCTGGATTTTACTATCCTCAGAGATGTGGGTCCATCAGCACAGTCAATTTCAGAACATTTTCATCACTTCAAAGAGAAACCCTGGACCCTGCGAGTATCAAGCCTCTATTTCCCCATCCGTACCTGCACCACTGCCCCAGCTCAGAGTCAACACTAGTCTACTTTCTGTCTCTATGGACTTGCATATAAATGGAATCACACAATATGTGGCCTTTTATGTCTGGCTACTTTTACTTAGCATAATGTTTTCTAGGTTCAGCTATGTGGTTGCATATGGATCAGCACTTTGTTCCTTCTCATGGCCATTGCATGGAGGGACCCCCTTGTGTTTAGTTTTCAGTCGATGGACACTTGGGTTGTTTCCACCTTATGGCTGTGATGAGTCCACCATTCACTTTCCAGCCTTTTCCAAGCACTCACTGGGTCTATGCATCATGCTGTCTCCCTTCCCTGAACACTACTGCTACTACTCTTTTTTTTTTTTTTTTTTTGAGATGGAGTCTTACTCTGTCACCCAGGCTGGAGTGCAGTGGCTCAGTCTCAGCTGACTGCAACCTCCACCTTCCAGGTTCAAGCAATTCTCCTGTCTCAGCCTCCCAAGTAGCTGGGATTACAGGTGCCCACCACCACGCCCGGCTAATTTTTGTATTTTTAGTAGAGACGGGGTTTTATCACGTTGGCCAGGCTGGTCTCAAACTCCTGACCTCAAGTGATCCACCCACCTCGGCCTCCCAAATTGCTGGGATTACAGGTGTGAGCCACCACCATGCCTGGCCTGCTATTACAAATTACTACCTATTAAACATGTACTACGTGCCAGGCTCCAAATTGCTTATGGCAGCAGATCAAATTCTCAACCACTGATGAGTGTGGCAGGTGATATTATTCCCACTTTACGTGGAAGGAAGCTCGGCTCCAGAAAAGGAAAGAGACTGGCCAAGGTCATGGTAGAAATGGGACTTAAACCCAAGTCTGTCCTGCAGCAAAGTCCTCCTGTAGCATTGATCTCATGTTTGACATTGAACCCTTTTTAAACTGAGTTTTCCATATTTTGGGGTCTCCCCAAAATTATAAGCTTCTTCAGGAGAAGGGGCTGGATCTTTAGCCTTAGGCCCAAGACACCATGGAGCATTTTCCCACTCATATTTATGGAGTTCCTGCCAGCTTGCAGCCTGGGGGATCTCTGCTTGTTGTCGCCTCAGCATCCCTTCCACCTGCCTCCTCCTGGCTACAGGATGGGCACGTGGCTCAGGCCTGGCCAATCCAAGTCCTCAATCCTGCTGGCCACAGGGATTGACTCAAGGATGAGCACAGGATCCAAGCCTGGCCAATCAGAGCCATCCTCAGGTATTTTCCATGGCAACGGCTGAGGACACCTGCTTACTCTTTGGGGCTGGGAGCTATAAGGGCCACCAAGCCTGCAATTGCCATTGCCAACCGCATTCTGCCTCCTGGGGAGGGAGAGAGCTACAGCGGAATGCTGTGCAGACATTCCAAGAGGTACTGCAGGAAAACCCTTAATGACGTGGGAAGATGTCCATGGTAACTTCCTGGGTTAAAAAAAAAAAAGGCTACAAATCAGCACATGAGATCTCACTAGCTATATATGTGTTCATCTATATGAAAAAATATATAGAATCATATGCAAAGAAAAAGAATGGATAATGTGGGCCAGAATACTAAGAGGAATGCTCTCTGTATGAGTATCGGCTGTATTTTTTCTTTTGGCTTATCTGAACTTTCTAAACTCATTGTGCATTCTGTATTTTTCAGAAGTGGTTGTTATTATCCTGTTTATTTTTAGCTGGAGCTTCTGCAATCCCCCTTGAGAAGTCATTTCTAGCACATGCCTCTTGGTGAGTGTTTAGTCTCAGCCTGTCCCCTCCTTTGCCTTTTTAGTGCGTGCAGTTTCCCAACAACCCCATTTTTTTTCTCATTTTATTATTATTATTATTTTTTGAGACGGAGTCTTGCCCTGTCGCCTAGGCTGGAGTGCAGTGGTGCAATCTCAGCACGCTGAAACCTCCGCCTCCCGGGTTCAAGCAATTCTCCTGCCTCCGCCTCCAGAGTAGCTGGGACTACAAGCACACATCACCACGCCTGGCTAATTCTTATATTTTTAGTAGAGAACGGGTTTCGTCATGTTGGCCATGCTGGTCTCAACCCCCTGACCTCAGGTGATCCGACCGCCTCAGCCTCCCAAAGTGCCGGGATTACAGGCGTGAGCCACCATGCCTGGCCCCAACAACCCCATTTCTGCTGGGGTCCCAGGCCAGCCCCACTCTCGGCTGCTCTGCCCACCCAGCCCCTTCTCAGCCGCCAAGACTTTCAGGCCCTGGTGTGGCTGGAGCACGCTGAGCCAAGCCTCCCTCCCCACCCTGCACAACTCATCCTGCTGGGTGTTGAGTTTCATTCTCAGCTCACAGGAAACCTGCAAAAAAATATTTTCTTTGGCAGCCAATATGAGGGTGGCAGCCCCAGACATCTCTCCCGGGCGATGGCCAAGCCTGGAGTGGCCGCTGCCCTCCACAGCTGCCCAGGAGACACAGTGGACAAGGCCAGTATTCTGAACTCATCTGCCTTAAATAGGGTTCTTCCCCCTCCCCCATCAAGGCCAGAGAGATTGCTGCCTGAGGGATGGGGCCCCACAGGAGCCTTCTGGCCAACACAACCTCTCCCAAGCTGATGGGCACCTGGCTGTCACAGCGAGCGGTGTGGCAGACCCTCCAGAGGCCCAGCCCCTGACTGCCTTCTGTTGCTGAAAGGTTCTGAGGGTAGAAGGGCCTCACAGGAGGCCAGTCAAGGGCCCAACTGTACCTGCTCTGCCATGAGTCTTTTTGTGGGGGCACTGCCCTCCCTCCAAGAGCTGTCCATCCCTCTCCCATCTAGACCAGCCCTGTCCTTCAGACTCCCAGGCCCTGACCACCCGGTTGGTGTCAGTGGCCACAACTGGCCCCTGCTGGCTCAGTCAGGTCCTTACTACCAAGAGGGGGACGCTGGGAGAAGAATGAATGAGACGGGAGCATCTGAACTAAAATGGTGCAGAGTGGGTGACAGCCGTCACACTGGGCCATGGAGATGCAGAGAGCCGGTGGGGGCCAGGTGCCATGGCTCATGCCTGTAATCCCAGTATCATGGGAGGCTAAGGCAGGCGGATTGCCTGAGGTCAGGAGTTCAAGACCAGCCTGGCCAACACAGTGAAACCCCATCTCTACTAAAAATACAAAAATTAGCCGGTCATGATGAAGCACACCTGTAATCCCAGCTACTCGGGAGGCTGAAGCACGAGAATCACTTGAACCCGGGAGGCAGACATTGCAGTGAGTGCAGATCACGCCACTGCACTCCAGCCTGGGCGACAGAGCGAGAGTCTGTCTCAAAAAAAAAAAAAAAAAAAAAAAAAAAGAGAGAGAGAGTGAGCCAGTGGGGAGAGTAGAGGCAGAGAGGGCAGCAGTGGAGGTGAGGTGCCGGGAGCACGAGGAGCAAGAAGGGGAGGGTGGCCCCCAGGACACTGCAGTCCCCTGCCCGCCAGCTGTGTTTTCTGCCCGTAGGTCACAGGGCATTCCTTGTATCATTTGAATGAAGCCCCTTCGACTGAGCTGTCTCATCTGGGGGTCTATTCCTTACAATCTAAAGATATCAACTGGGTGTGGTGGCTCTGTGCCTGTAATCCCAGCACTTTGGGAAGCCGAGGTGGGCGGATCACTTAAGGTTAGGAGTTCAAGACCATCCTGGGTAACATGGGGGACCCCCTCTCTCTACAAAATGTACAAAAATTAGCTGGGTGTGGCGGTGCACACCTGTGGTCCCAGCTACTTGGGAGGCTGAGACGGGAGGATCTCTTGAGCCCTGGAGGTTGAGGCTGCAGTGAGCCAAGATCGCACCACTGCACTCCAGTCTGGGTGACAGAGTGAGACCCTGTCTCAAAAACAAAACAAAACTGCCAAAGATCTGGACTGGGTCACACTAAGGCGACCTGTCCGCAGGTGGGAGGAGCGGCCTCCACCTGCCTCCGGGGGAAAGGAATGGCTCTCTTCTGGTTCCTCTCCACTTCCACATTGGCTGAAAGGCCCCCCTTGCTACTGGTTCCCAAGGCTCTTGATCTCTTAAGGAAAATGCTTCCCTGGACATCTCCCCTAACCCTGGTGCCCATGGGATGGGTCCCAGCAGAGAGACCTTTCAGATCAGGACCAAAAGTCACTGGTCCGGGTCGGTCAGTGGACACTAACAAAGGGAGCTCAGGGGTGCCTGCTGGTGGAAAAGGGGGACAGCGTTCAGGGTCTGACAGCTTTTGGCGGGGGGGTTTGAATCCTGGCTCCAGCAACCTCCCAGCTGTACGATCCTGCTTTTGTTTCTTGGCTCCTTCATAGCCAACATCACAACAACTTGCCATGTGCTCCACGCTGTTCCGTGAGCTCCTTCAGACAGGTACTAGCACGATCCCATTTTCCAAATAATGAAGGAGAGGTGGAGCCCATGAAGCACGCATGCTCAGGTCACCCAGCTGGCGGTAGGAGGCGAACTCCGGCTTATCTGATTCTCAAGCCCAGTTGAGCTGCTGTATTAAACTCTCCTTCCGCACTGCACGGTGGGAGGAGAATCAGATCAGATCATGGCTTGGAAGTGGCATGTCATAGGCATCCCAACATGGTAAGTAATAATCATATTTCAAATGTCCCTTCACCCACGTAGAAACCTCCAGTCTCCTGAGAAATCACAAGCCTTGGCCTGGCGCGGTGGCTCAACGCCTGTAATCCCAGCACTTTGGAAGGCCAAGGTGAGTGGATCACTTGAGGTCAGGAGTTCAAGACCAACCTGGCCAACATGGTCTCTACTTAAAATACAAAAATTAGCTGGGCGTGGTAGCGCGTGCCTGTAATCCCAGGTACTCGGGAGGCTGAGGCCGGAGAATTGCTTGAACCTGGGAGGCGGAGGTTGCAGTGAGCCGAGGTTGTGCCATTGCACTCCAGCCTGGGCAACAAGAGCAGAACTCCATCTCAAAAAAAATGACAAGCCTTTACCTATAGCCGATGCCTCGGGCAGAGCCTCTCAGCATCCTCAAGAATTAGGAAGGAGAAATAAAGCATATTGCTTGGCCACCTGCCAAATTAAAATGTTCAGGCCTGAAGGCATCCCCAGGGCATATTTGCAAGGATGGGTGAAAAGTTGTGTGTTTTCACAGAGGGTGAGGATTCCAAGGCAAGGATGCTGGGAAGCTGGTTTTGCCCTTAAGAGAAATGTCTTGTGCTAAGATAAGCCGCTGCCATATAAAGTTGACATGCTTCTCTATCCAGAAGAAGAGAAGGTAATCATTTAAAAAGAAATAAGAAATAAAATTGTAAAAACAACAAAAAAAGTTCTTCCAATATTTGCCTGTGAACTACAATGTCTGGGATCGGCTTCGAAATAATCCTCTTGGGTGGATGTTGATGAAACAAACCCGGATGAGTCGATCAGTTTCCAACGTGGGTGTTGGTCCATGGTCAGCCTGGTACTGGCCTCTGTCCTTGCAATTCTGAAATTTTTCATAATACTTTTGTTTGTTTGTTTTTGAGACAGAGTCTCACCCTGTCGCTCAGGCTGGAGTGCAGTGGTGCGATCTTAGCTCACTGCAACCTCTGCCTCCCGGGTTCGAGTGATTCTTCAGCCTCAGCCTCCCGAGTAGCTGGGATTACAGGCCTCCACCACCAGGCCCAGCTAATTTTTTGTATTCTTAGTAGAGATGGGGTTTCACCATGTTGGTCAGGCTGGCCTCGAACTCCTGGCCTCAGGCAATCTGCCCACCTCAGCCTCCCAAAGTGCTGGGATTACAGGCGTGAGCCATGGCGCCTGGCCATAAGTTTTTTGTTTTTTTTTTTTTTTTTAAGTAGCAAGTAGGAATATGGCCAGAGCATCCTGTCGCAGACTCTAAGGGGCAGAGTCGGTGAGCAGCGACAAGTAAGGGACCCTGGAGCCCCTCCCCACCACCCCACCGCCGACCACTCTCCCTCCCCACCCCTCTCCCTGTTGACGTCCATGTCGTCCAAGAACCCTCGGCTGTGAGTAATAAACGCGCCTCTCGGCGGGAACATGTGTTTCCAATCATCGGAGTAGCAGTGAGTCACCACCAACAGCTGCCGCTGTCTCCATCTCCCTGCACTCACCTTCAGCCCCCTGTGCCGACAGCCCAGGCTCTGCCCCCACCCGGCTCTGGCTCAGCCAGCCTGACCCCCTGGAGTCCTGGGTGTCCTCCGGCCTGTGGGCCTCCCAGCGCCGCTAGCTCCCTGGTCTGAAGCAGTGCCTGCCTCCTCCACCTGGATCACCCTGACTCAACCTCCAGGTCCCACTCGAGACATCCCAGACAGCCCCCCCAGACCACCCCAACCCTGCTGGCGCCCGTCCATTGTCCTGGGTCGCACCACAGTCACCGCACCCAGCACACTCTTTGCAATGGTCTCTGTCTCTTTCATATTAAAGGATGGTTTGCGCTGCAGGAAGGAGGGGTCACTCCCCATCCATTTCCCTGACGTCTGCACAGCCCATGGCTGGTGCCCAGTAAATACCAGTTGAATGAATACATGAACTATAGCCTTAAGAGGTTACAGTCAGTAGGGGAGACAGACATCAGAATGAGAAATCTATGAGATAAAATACAGGGAGTCTGGATGAAGTCAGGGTGATGAGCCACAGAAATGCGGGGTCCACCTCTGCCGGTTGCTAGGACGACTGCATCTCCGCCCCGCCCCAGCTGGGCCCCTCCCCGGGGCTGCAGCGCATCGCCTCACTCTCAGCTGGCTGTTGCCTGGTGAGCAGGGGTTGGAGGCCAGGCCGGTCTTAATGAGGAAGGATGGCTGAATGCGGGGCAGGCAGTGTCTGATGGGGCTGGGAGTGACTGTGGGCTCTCTCATCAACGAGGCCACATCTAGGGCGTTCTGCTACCTCCTTCAAGGGGTCAGAACCACAGTCCCACAGGACAGGCAGCACCGACAGCGACCCAGAGCACCCTCTACCCCAGCAGGGAGCCCAGCCCAGTGCAGGTGCGGTGGGACACCACCTGCCCAGACATCGGAGCCTTCCTCATGGGCATCCACAGCAACACGGCTCTGGCTGGGTGGCACCTTCGAGGGGAGGCAAGCAGGGGCCGGTGAATGCAGGGGACGCTGAGGGGTGACGAGCCGTCAGCCTTGTTCCTGGGCCGGAGAGCACCAGGACAGAACCAGGGTAGCCAGTCACGCAAGAGGCAAGGCAGAGTGTGATGGGTGACAGGGCTGTCACAGGTGTCCACAGAGCCTAGGGGCCCTCTGGGGGCTGAGAGGAAGGGTGGCCATGCCAAAAAGTGAGTTAACGAGTCAGACTCAAATCTCCAGAAACCAGCTGGGAATGGCGAGAAGGATCTGAATCGCTTTCCAAGAAGCTTGGCTCCTTCTCACCTTTCTCCTGCCTCACTGCCTCTGATCTCGGTGGTAGTGACCACAGCCACCCCCAAGCCTGCTCTTCCTGCTGTCCAGCACTCCAGCTCAAGGTTGAATGAGGACCTTCAGGAACTCTGCCCCTCACCCCAACCCATCCTCCCCAGGAGGAATCCAGGGACTCAGACCTGTCCCAGGCTTCAGGAAGCCGGTTCCAGAGGACGTGAGGCTGAGTTTGAAACTGGAGGTAATGAGAGTCTGGCTCGGGCCTGATGCTGCTGCTGGCCACAGGGTCCATATCACAGAGAAACTGAAGCATCCCCAGAGGAGAGAGAGGAAGGACCAGAGGGGAGGGCAAGGAGGAAAAGCAGGCGGGACAGGAACAGAGAGAGAAAAACAGGCCTGGGGAGAGGGGAGGAGAGAGGGGACATTCTTGGGCACAGACCTAATCATAGCCTTGAAATGAAATTTACTGCTGCACTCAGCATGGGACAGCCGCCAGCTCCGCCAAGCCAGTCTCCCTTCTGTTTGTACGAGGTGATGACATCATGGCCATGGGGCGTCACTCACACGGAGGAGGAGGAGGAAGGCCAGCTGGCGAGAAACCTGAGCCTCCCCTGGCCAGGCTTCCAGGCAAGGCAAACCCGAAACCATGCAAGTCAGCCTCCACAAATCCCTGCTGAGCTGGGCAGCCGGTTCCTCCACTGTCCACCCCTCCCTCATGGCCAGCTCCGGTCCCCAGCACGCCAGCTGAGGCTGCTTCCTGGGGAGAGCCAGTGATGGAGAAGCCCTGGGGACCGTCTCTGCTCGCTGGCCCTGGTCCCCAACCCGCCCATGAAAGGAAGCACATGACTGCATGCCCAGGGCCAAAAGGAAATAGCCCGGGCATGAGGAAACACCAGCCCCAGGCCCAGAGCATCCAATCCCAGCATCTCGCATGTTCCTCCTTGTGCTTATAGGAACCAGTCTACAGGAGGATCCAGGAGAGCCAGAGTCGCAGGTGTGGGGGCAGACAGGTGGGGAGCAGGTGGGGAGAGACAGCAGAGCTCAGCGGCATAAACTCTTGGGGGTCCACAGCTGCAGAAGCCTCTTGGAAGGAGGGCCCGGGGGCCCTGCTCAAACTGTCCTTGCAGGATAGGAGATGCTTCCGAGTCAAAGAGGAGGCAAAACCTGGCCACAAAGAGGAGAGACACTGCCATTTCAGCCCACGTGAAGCAAGGTCTGCCAAGGCTGCCCGGCTCAGGGGTGAAACCACTGTTGCATCCGGGCGGCCTCCCTGCAGGAAGGGTTCATATGCTTTCAGCCTGAGTCATCTGGTCTAAGCTGTTTACCCGTGGCAGTCTGTAGAGCCAGTGATGTCATGGGCTTCTTGCTTACCACCAGGACAACCTCTCTGCCTCTCCTCCTTTCTTTCTGGTGTCACTAGAGACTTGACCAGGGCAACAGGGCTGGCTTTGGGGCTGCTGCCTGGGGCTGTGAAGGTTGTGCCGGGCACAAGGGGTGTGCAGAGGCTGGAATCCAAGCAGGTTTGCTAAAGGGAGGTGCCCTGGCTCATGGCTGCTTTTGCCCTGAGGGGTGCCTGTCTGCGGAGGGGCGGTAGGTTGGGGTGACAGGAGATGGAAGTGACGGAGAGAGGCCAAAGTCCCACCTTCTCAAAGATGGCCTGTGGGATGGCATGAAATAGATCAACAGACTCTGCCAAACAAAACCCAAAGGGAAGGCCGGGCGTGGTGGTGCATGCTTGTAGTCCCAGCTACTTGGGAGGCCGAAGCCGGAGAATTGCCTGAACCTGGGAGGCAGAGGTTGCAGTGAGCCGAGATTGTGCCACTGCACTCCAGCCTGGGCAACAGAGGGAGACTCTGTCTCAAAAAACAAAACAAAAACAAGCAAACAAGAAAACCAAAGGGAGGCGTGAACCAAGAGTGGCTGGAAGGTGGAGCAGGATCTTTAAAAAGTAAACCCTGATGGCTGTGGCCAAGAAGGCTTTAATAGTGTTATACAGAAAGGGTGGGAAACATCTGTGCTCCTTCCCCCAGGCCTGCCCATTTCAGGGCCGGACCCTCATCGGAATATTACATTACCTGCTCCACACGGAACAGGACAGAAGACACCCACCTACCTGAGTTCCCATTGCCCAGGCGCACCCACTAACCTTTCTGTGAACACCTTTGTATGCTTCTTTTTTTTTATTTTTTATTTTTTTGAGACAGGGTCTCACTCTGTCGCCCAGGCTGGAGTGCACTGGCACGATCTCGGCTCACTGCAACCTCCACCTCCTGGGTTCGAGTGATCCTCCTGCCTCAGCCTGCCAAGTAGCTGGAACTGCAGGCGTGTGCCAGCATGCCCGGCTAATTTTTGTATTTTTTGTAGAGATGGGGCTTCGCCATGTTGTCCTGGCTGGTCTCAAACTCCTGGGCTCAAGCGATCCTCCTGCCGTGGCCTCCAGAAGTGCTAGGATTACAGGCGTGAACCACCGTGCCTGGCCTGTATACTTCTTTCTAGATCCACTCACATATTTGACTTCACATATATGAAGTATTATACATGCTGTTTATTATGGAAATTTTTTTTTTAAGAGTCAGGCTCTTGTTCTGTTGCCCAGGCTGGAGTGCAGTGACCCAATCAGAGCTCACTAAAGCCTTGAACTCTTGGGTTCAAGTGATCCTCCTGCCTCAGCCTCCCAAAAAGCTGAGACTACAGGCACATGCCACCATGCACAGCTAATTTCTTTCTTTCTTTTTCTTTTCCTTTTCTTTTTTGGCAGAGTATCGCTCTGTCGCCCAGGCTGGAGTGTACAGGCACGATCTCGGCTCACTGCAAACTCAGCCTCCTGGGTTCAAGTAATTCTTGTGCCTCAGCCTCCCGGGTAGCTGGGACTACAGGCATGCTACCATGCCCAGCTAATTTTTTGTATTTTTAGTAGAGACAGGATTTCGCTATGTTGGCCAGGCTGCTCTGGAACTCCTGGCCTCAAGTGATCCAGCTTCCTTGGCCTCCCAAAGTGCTGGGATTACAGGCATGAGCCACTGCACCTGGCCTTGACCACCTAATTTCTTTAATTCTTTGTCGAGATGGGGTCTCACTGTGTTGCCCAGGCTGGTCTCAAACTCCTGGTGTCAGGTGATCCTCCTGCCTCAGCCTCCCAAAGTTCTGAGATTACAGGTGCAAGACACTGTGTCCATACCATGGACACTTATAAAAAATCTTTTTCGGCCAGGTGCGGTGGCTCATGCCTGTAAGCCCAGCATTTAGGGAGGCCGAGGCAGGCAGATCACTTGAGGTAGGAGTTCGAGATCAGCCCAACCAGCATGGTAAAACCCCGTCACCACTAAAAACACAAAAATTAGCCGGGCGTGGTGGTGGGAACCTCTAATACCAGCTACTTGGAAGGCGAGGCAGGAGAATTGCTTGAACCCGGGAGGTGGAGGTTGCAGTGAGCTAAGATTGTGCCACTGTACTCCAGCTTAGGCGACAGAGCGAGACTCTGTCTCAAAAAAGAAAAAAAAAATTCTATTCTGTGCCTGGCCTCTCTCCCCTGACAATCGGTGTCGGCAGCATGGTGCATGTCTTGGTCTCCAGGCTGTGGGGACCTTCACTCTCCCATCTGCATTCTTGTTCTCTATAGAACCTGTTTGTTCCTATGTCTCTGCACCTTGCTTTGCTCAGGACCAAAGACTTTTATTGGTTTGTTAGTGGTTTCCAACCAGGACCGTTTTGCAATGTCTTGAGACATTTTTGATGGTTGCAATTGGAGAGGGTGCTGGCATCCAGTGGGTCCGGCCAGGGATGGTGCTGAACACCCTACAGTGCCCATGACAGCCCCCCACAAAGAGGGATCTGGCCCAAATGTCAACTGTGCCAAGGCGGAGAAGCCCGGCCCCTAAAGAAGATGGCTAATGAAATCCATGTTGAAATGCCCTTCAGCACGTCCACCATAGAACACGATGAGCCGCTCATGCTGCCTGTGTATCTTGTCTCAAGCACAGTGGGTCCCAGTCACTCTATTTTTTTTTTTTGAGATTGAGTCTTGCTCTGTTGACCAGGCTGGAGTGCAGTGGCAGGATCTTGGCTCACTGCAACCTCTGCCTCCCTGGTTCAAGTGAATTCCGGCTAATTTTTATATTTTTAGTAAAGATGGGGTGTCACCATGTTGGCCAGGCTGGTCTCAAACTCCTGACCTCAAGTGATCTGCCCACCTCGGCCTCCCAAAGTGTTAGGATTACAGGCGTGAGCCACCACGCCCAGCCATCACTCTTGACTCACCTTCTTGTCATCTTCAGGATGTCCTGTGGTGAACAGCCCCACCAGTGGATGTTGGGGACGGACACGTGGGCTGGGTGCCCATTGTGACCAAGAGTCTGAGACCCGGCTGGATGGGGAGGCACAGATGGGCTGCCTGCCCATCCAGCCGGGCCTCAGACTCTTGACAGCCACGTGTCACCTGACTGAAGTGTCACCTCCCAGACAGCCAGACTCAGACACGGTCCCCACCTTCCTCTACAGCTGCCGGCTCCCTGCCCCTGAGACTGCCCTGGACACTCCCCTGAGGGCCGGAGTTCCAGCCATCGGCAGGGGGTCAATTTCCCGGGTGTGTGGGGCCAACGTCCATGCTGTCTCTGGATGAGAACATCTGGCTCTCTAGGAACCTGCCAGAAAGAACGTGGGGGCTTCGGGTCCGTTCAAGCTGTCTCCACAGAGAGAACGTGACCTGCTCAGGGGAAGATGGCTCTCATCCAGACTGGGAGGGCGAGGCCACCGAGAAGAGCAGCATCCTCCCGCCAGCCCGGCGCAGCAGGGAGGGCGTCCTGCCTGGTGGCCTGAGACGGGAGCGACAGGGAGGAGGCCTTGGCACTTCCTCCGGCCCCGGACAGGATTCATCAGGTCCAGCCTGGGAGGTGTTCGCCTGGTGTGTTCAGGCGAGGGTGCACACACGCCTGACAGCTCTGCTGTGCTCTCTGCCAGGAAGGTCTCTTTGAGGGGGTGGGGGAGCAAGACGATGTTCCTCGTGGGAAGCGGTGGCCCCTGGAGCGTGGTCTGAGGGCCCTGAAATCACCCCCATACTTCACAGGGCTCCCTCGTGCTCCTGTCTGTCCTGAGAGGCTGAGAGCCTCTGCTCTTAAGCTGATCCAAGCCAGGGTCCCCCAGGCTGCATCTGGGCTGGGTGTCGCTTATGGTCCCTATGGTAGTCCACCCACCAATATCAAGATGAGAAGTGAAGGGGGCTGGTTAGGAGTGAAGCCATGGGTTGGGCGCGGTGGCTCACGCCTGTAATCCCAGCACTGTGGGAGGCCGAGGCGGGCGGATCACCTGAGCTCAGGAGTTCCAGACCAGCCTGGGCAACATGGTGAAACCCTGTCTCTACTTAAAATACAAAAATTAGCCGGGTGTGATGGTGGGCACCTGTAATCCCAGCTACTCAGGAGGCTGAGACATGAGAATTGCTTGAGCTCAGGAGGCAGAGGTTGCAGTGAGCCGAGATGGTGCCATTGCACTCCAGCGGGAGACAGAGTAAAACTCTGTCTCAAAAAAAAAGCAGTGAAGCAGTGGAGGGAGCTCCCAGCCCGGGGTCTGCCTTCCTCCTTCCTCTCTTGCCCTGGGCATGGGGCATGCGGACCCTGTCACTTCCCTTATGGGTGGCAGCCCCCTCCCCATGTTCAAGTTTGCTTGCAAGGTCAAGCCCTCTTGGCCACAAAGCACAGAGAAGGACAAGGAGAAGGAGCAGCTTGCAGAAGCTGTGTCTCTACAAAAAATACAAAAAATAGCCAGGTGTGGTGGCGCATACCTGTGGTCCCAGCTACAAAGGAGGCTGAGGTGGGAGGATCACTGGAGCCCGGGAGGCAGAGGTTGCAGTGAGCTGAGATCAAGCCACTGCACTCCAGGCTGGGTGACAGAGTGAGACCCCGGCTCTCAAACAAAGAAAAAAAAGAAAAAAGAAAGAAAAAGTGGGTTTGTGCTGCCATGAGCCAGATTCCAGTCTACTCCCTGTCTTCAGTAGGTTCCTGGTCTGAGGCCTCAGTTTCCTTGATTTTGAAGTGTGAGGACCCTAACTGGAAGAGAAGGTGGAGGGTGGTTAATGAGACAGAAGCTGGCTCAGGAGCCAAGACCCTGAGGGCCCCAAGCAGCAGGGAGATGACTGGGTCAGCAAGCTGGGGGCTGTGGGCTGCGAGGGAGGCCTGGCTGCTGGGACTGTCCTCTCCCCTCCCTGCTGTGCCCTTGGGAGAGTCATTTGGGCCCTCAGACCTCAGTCCCCTCTTCATCTGACTTTGCAGCCGCAGGTCAGCCATTCACGGCACTGCACCAGAAAGGGGTTTTGTGACTCTGGAGTCTCTGCATCTCCAGCACCTGCCCTTTCACTGGGCTCCCTGCCCCCACCCAGGCCACCCACCAGAGTCCCATCCTTCCAGGGGATGCGTCCGATCCTGCCCCTCTGCTCAGAACCCTCCAAAGGCTCCCACCTCACTCAGAACAAAATGCACATCCTCCCGGTAGCCTGGCTGCCCTCCGCCGTGTCCCCTCCCAGCCCCTGCTCCTGGCCTCCTGCCTCAGCCCTCCTTCCTCTCACTCCTCGCCACACCATGGGCTCCACCAGGTCCAGCATCGTCCAACCTTGGGGCCTTGCGTGTTTCCACCTGCTGTTCCAGGGATGTTCCTCTGTTCTGTAGACGCTGAATGTCTCACTCTTAGGACGGTGTCCAGGCTACAGCAGATACTCAAATGAGTATTTGTTGATGGATGGAGGGAGGAGGGAGAGAGAGAGAACCAAGAGAAAAGGGAGGAAAAGAAAGCTGGAAACTTCTGGTTTAGAGACCTGTTTGGAGGAGATAATGGTAGAGGGAACAGAAAAGTAGAGTACTCTCTGGTGGGGGAATTGAGGGGAGAGATTTTTTTTTTTTTTTTTGAGACAGGGTCTCACTCTGTCACCAAGGCTGGAGTGCAGTGGTGTGATCTCGGCTCACTGCAGACTCAACTTCCCCAGGCTCAAGCGATCCTCCCACCGCAGCTTCCCTGTAGCTGGGACTACAAGTGTGAGCCATCACGCCCAGCTAATTTTTTTTTTGTAGAGATGGGGTCTCAGTATGTTCCTCAGGCTGGTCTCAAACTCCTGGCCTCAAGTGATCCTCCCACCTTAGTTTCCCAAAGTGTTGGGATTACAAGCGTGAGCCACTGCACCTGGCAAGATTTCTGCTTCACTTTTCCTGGGAGCAATTCCAGCCTGTTTGTGTGCTGGTGGGGATGACTTCGGGGAGGGCAGTCCAGGATACAGGTGCGAGGCCTTGGGTTGGAAGTTCCAGTCTCACGCCCCCCAACCCTGGAGCCCAGGCCCCCCTTTCCTCCCAGGTACATCCCACATTGGCCCCACCCCCTTGGCTGTCAGCACCACAACTGCTCTAAGGTATTTATCACCCTAACATGTACCTGATCACTTATATGTAGAGCTTGTCTAAAAGACCGAGAGCCCCTATGCTACCTGTTTCTATCATGAACTGACAAATTGAAACACAAGTTCAACAGCATTTTGTTCCCCCTGTAACCAAAAAGAAGGAAAGAAAACGATGAAATGGCTGAAGGCAGCCAGCACATAACAATTTTCTGAATTAACTGTACTTTTAAACGTTAGCTTCAAACATCATTTTGTGAACGACCCAACTCTATTTCACGCTAACAAAAACCAAAAAAGTGACTTTGGATTTGTCAGGGTGCTAAAAATAACGGCATTGCTTATTTAACTTTTCTCAGAACTGTCTGTTACAAAACATACACAAACAGAAAGAAGCTGTTTTTCCATTCTTTCACTATTTTCCAAAGTTTCATACCTCAAGTCAGCACCGCACAATTTAGTGGGCAATTCTTTTTAAAAAAAAAAAAAAAAAAAACAAAAAAAAACAAGAGTCTTTCTCTGTCGCCCAGGCTGGAGTGCAGTGGCGCAATCTCGGCTCACTGCAACCTCCGCCTCTCGGGTTCAAGCGATTCTCCTGCCTCAGCCTCCTGAGTAGCTGGGACTACAGGCGCGCGCCACCACGCCCGGCTAATTTCTTGTGTTTTTAATAGAGACGGGGTTTCACCGTGTTAGCCGCCAGGCTGGTCTCGAACTCCTGACCTCGTGATTCGCCCACCTCAGCCTCCCAAAGTGCTGGGATTACAGGCATGAGCCACTGCACCCGGGCTTTTTTTTTTTTTTTTTTTCTTTTGAGATGGAGTCTCGCTCTGTCCCCCAGGCTGGAGTGCAGTGGCATGATCTCGGCTCACTGCAAGCTCCGCCTCCTGGGTTCATGCCATTCTCCTGCCTCAGCCTCCCGAGTAGCTGGGACTACAGGCGCCCACCACCAAGCCCGGCTAATTTTTTGTATTTTTAGTAGAGACGGGGTTTCACTGTCTCTACTAAATGCTAGCCAGGCTGGTCTCAAACTCCTGGCCTCAAGTGATCCTCCTGTCTCGGCCTCCCAAAGTGCTGGGATTACAGGCGCAAGCCACCGTGCCCGCCCTGATTCTTCCTGTGTCATTTTCCTGGGCTTCCCTCTCCCTAGCTGGACTGCAAACACTCTGGAATGCTGACCTGAGGGCTGGAGTGCTGACCTGAGTGCAGCAGTGTCCATGGAGCCCCACGGGGCACACACCAAATGTACAGGGTGGGTGCCCACAGCCGGGCACAGGCAGGTTCACAGCCAGGAAGCCCGCCTCACCACCCTACACATGTTCATCCCTTCATATGCCTGGGTCTTTCCTGGAACACAAAACTGTTTTGGGAAAAGTCCTTCGGCTCCCACATTTGTGGACTAAGAGAGGAAACTGTGAGCGGAACCCAGCCAATGCCTCTGCTGCGATCCTACTGGCTCCTGGGCGCCTGGGCCCACCCCCGTCTCTTGTTGGCTGGTCAAAAATATGGCCAGTTTATATAAAATCCTGTTTTGTTCACAGTAACCACACCCCCCACCCCCCAACTAAACTGGCCAGGCGCACTTAAAATTCTAAGGCCTCCATTTGAAAAAGGGATCCTGTCAGTTTCTCAATAGGCCACCCGCCCACAGAAACGGGGAGGTGGCGACAGGGAACGGCCCCTGCTCCAAAGGACACCCCTTGGCTCGCCCCGAGGCTGGGCTCGAAGGGACCCCGGGGTGGCGGGGGACGGAGCAGCGTAGCCCTCCAGAGTCGAGCTGAAGGGGAAAGGGTAGCGGGTGGGTCGCCTGGTGTCCTGGAAGAACGGGGCGCGAGTCCCCCGCGCTGAGTCAGGGACCCCGGGCGCAGAAGGCCACGCAGCGGGGACCGGGGTCGGGGGGCTGGGGGCGTCCGGGGACCCCCGCGCGGGTGCGGGTCGCGGGCGCCAGGTGGTGCGGGAAGCCCCCGACGTGCCAGGCCGGGCACAACAAAAGCGCGGGCTGGGGGGAGGCGCGGGCGGAGGGGGAGGAGGGGGCTGCTGGGAGCGCCCAGAGCCTGCATTGGCCGCCAGCCACCGGGAGGAGGAGCAGAAAATCCTCCGAGCGCAATAAAACTGCGGCCCGGCCCAAGCCCGCAGCAAACACATCCGTAGAAGGCAGCGCGGCCGCCGAGAACCGCAGCGCCGCTCGCCCGCCGCCCCCCACCCCGCCGCCCCGCCCGGCGAATTGCGCCCCGCGCCCCTCCCCTCGCGCCCCCGAGACAAAGAGGAGAGAAAGTTTGCGCGGCCGAGCGGGGCAGGTGAGGAGGGTGAGCCGCGCGGGAGGGGCCCGCCTCGGCCCCGGCTCAGCCCCCGCCCGCGCCCCCAGCCCGCCGCCGCGAGCAGCGCCCGGACCCCCCAGCGGCGGCCCCCGCCCGCCCAGCCCCCCGGCCCGCCATGGGCGCCGCGGCCCGCACCCTGCGGCTGGCGCTCGGCCTCCTGCTGCTGGCGACGCTGCTTCGCCCGGCCGACGCCTGCAGCTGCTCCCCGGTGCACCCGCAACAGGCGTTTTGCAATGCAGATGTAGGTAAGGAGCGGCGACCCCAGCCCCCGCGCGGGGCCCCACCTCCCCCGCGACCCCGAGGGTTCGCAGACGCCCCGCCCGCCCGCCGCTGGCCGAGGGACCCCAGCGCCCGCCTCCTGGTCCCTCGGCGCCTTCTCGAATCCTGCAAGTGGACGCCCAGAGCCGACTTTCTTTCCCCCCTCCCTCCTCTCCCTTTCTTTCCCTCTCTTTGCCGAGATGCGTCTCAACCTCAAAATTCCACCGAAATTCCGCCGCAGCTCCAGCCCCAGGAAAGGGAGCCAGTTTGGCTTTTGGCAGGCGGCGCGCCCTGGGATGCCAGCGCTGGGGGCGGGGAGCGTGGGGGACACGGCGTGGGGGCGGGGGGCTGGAGGACTGGGGACCCCAGGAAGAAACTTTCGCAGATAAGGTGGGAGTTGGGCTTCTCTGGGCTTGGGGCTGGGTGGGGAAGGGCTTCTCTGCTGGGGCTTCTCCCACCAGCCCCATTTGGGGGCTCCCCGATCAAGCCAGGGTGGGATGGAAGCCCGCCCTACCCGAGGCAGGTTCCACAGGCCCAGAGGGGCAGGTGAAAAAGCCGGTGGCGTCTCCTGGCGTGGCTCCTTGCTTGCGCCCTGCCCAGGAGGCCCTGCAAACTGGCTGGGCAGGGACCGGGACCCCCGAATGTTCCGCTTTTTCGGGACGTCCACAAAAGCTGGAGACTTTGGTGACCGGACCCGGCACGTGGGACTGTGCTGCTGCTCAGATTCCCCAGCAAATACCCATGACCTCCGGACTCCTAGCCCCCAAAAGACAGGCGCCATGGAGGGAGGCAGGAGGGGCCCAGTTATTTGTTCTGATCCATGGAGGGGGAGGACCAGCAGAAATGGGAGGAACCCGCTGGCTCGAAGTTTCCACCCTGGTCCTGCACCTCAAGCCTCTGCAGCCCTGGTGCTGGTCAGCATGGTTTTCCTGGGGCAAGTCTGGCTACACGGCAGGTGGTCTCGGAGCCCCCTGCCCTCCTTCCTTCTTATGTCTGAGTCTCAGTCGAGTGACCTGTCCAGGGCAGATGGAGCAAGGCGGGGGCCCCCTCACCTGCCCAGAGTGGAGGTGGGACTTTCTGTTTCTCCTGCTGTCAGCCACGCCCTTCCCATACCCCGCCCACGGCTTCTTGCCCCACCCCGGTTAGCCCTAGGAGCTGCGTGCCCAGCTGGGGAAGTTTTCAGTTGCACCAATCTATTGAGATCACAGGTCTCAGGTGGCTCAGGCCACCTGGGCGGAAGGCTTGGTGTGTGCCTGTGTCAGTTTCCACAAAACCCAGTTTGGGGGAAATGAGGTCTTTTCTCCAGTTTAGCCTTGGTGCTCAGCAAGATTTGTGGGTGAAGGAGAGGTTCCTTTGATGAGGGAGCCATAATGGGCCTTTCTCTGGGGGTCCACGAGGAGTGCAGGCCTGTCCAGGCTCCTTGGCTCACCAGCACGTGCTGGGGCAGGATGTAGCCAAGGCCCAGAAGGAGGCTGTGGATAAAAGGACCTGGGAGTTGGATTTGTAGGAGTTGGGCCTTGGGACCCCTCCCCCTCCCGCCCCCCCCCCCACCCCGCCCCACACACACACTCCTCAGCTGTGTGGGAGAATGTCCAGGCAGCCACTCTGTCCTTGCTTGGCATAAGTTAAGGCGGCCACTGAGCTGGGAGCTGTTTCTGCGTGGGGTGTGGATCCAGGATGGCAGAGGGTGGAGGGCTGCAGTGCGTGCCTCCCGCCTCCTTCATGCTCAGCGCAGCACTCTCCTCTTCTGGGTTGCCTGGCATTTGTGTCTAAATCTTTGCATCAAAATCATCCTGTAGCTAAAACTTTTCACCCCATCCCGGCTCAGAGGCCCAGTCAGATGCCAGAGTTGCACTGCAGAGCTCAGGGCATTCGCTTCCTGTGGCCGCTGTGACAAACTACCACAAATGGGAGGGCTTAAAAGAACAGGAATCGATTCTCTGTAGCTCAGGAGGCCAGAAGTCTGAAAAGGTGTCCACAGAGCCAGTTCCTTCTGGGGGCTGTGAGGGAGAATCTCTTCCAGGCCTCTCTCCTTGATGTTGCTTGGTTCCATTTTCAAGGAACACATCACTTCCATTTCCGCCTGTCTTCACATGGCCTTCTCTCGTGTGTCTCTGTGTCCAAATTTCCCTGTTCTTTTTTTTTGGAGAGCAGGCTGGAGTGCAATGGCGCAATCTCGGCTCGCTGCAGCCTCCGCCTCCTGGGTTCGAGCAATTCTCCTGCCTCAGCCTCCCAAGTAGCTGGGGTTACAGGCACCTGCCACCACACCCGGCTAATTTTTTGTATTTTTAGTAGAGACAGGAATTCGCCATGTTGGCCAGGCTGGTCTCGAACTCCTGGCCTCAGGTGATCCGCCTGCCTCAGCCTCCCAAAGTGCTGGGATTATAGGCGTGAGCCACCGCGCCCGGCCAAATTGCCCTGTTCTTCTAAGGACAGCAGCCATTGGATTTAGGGCCCACCCTAATCCAGTATGACTTCATCTTGATAGATCAACAAATACTCTATTTCCAAATAAGGTCATATTCATAGGATCTGACTAGATGTGCATTTGAGGGGGGACGTAATTCAGCCCATACACCAGGCTGCCTTCTCTTATTCCCAGTCACCCTTTCCGTGCTCAACCAACTTGGGATAAACAACCCAGGACATCCCAGGGTAGGGTCCCGGAACAAATCCCACAGGGACGACAGCGGCCTGTCTATTCTCCAGTGTTCGATTCTCCTCGAAGCGATGCAGGTTTGTGACTTTCTCAGCAATGGTTCCCCATTCTGGCTCAGAGCAGAATTGCCTGGAAGATTCTTAAAGATTGCTCAGGTCTAGGTCCCTTTGCAGATACAGAGGGTCTTGCTCAGACTTCGGCTTTTGCAGTTTTAAAAGGCCCACAGGTGATTTAACCAGGGCTGTGACCCAGGGGTCTCAGAAAGGGGGTACAGTGGAGGTTAATAAAGGCTGGCTTGTTATGTGGCAAGCTGGCTCCTTTTACTCTTGGCTGCATGCAGCCTTGTTAAATGGCTTGGTGTCTACAAGAGGCAATTGGCTTAAGAAACAGTCAGATTTCTGTCTGCCCGGCTGAGGATTTCTGGGAGGTATCTCCCTAGCAGCTCTTGCAGTTGGTAGGACCGGAACTGTGGTCGGCAAAGATAATTCATGATGAGGTGGTGATGTTTAGGATAAGGGATGGTAAGAGGTGACCTGATTTCTTCCTGGAAGGCCCCAGGTCCTTGTCCTTTCCAGCAAGGCCAGCACAAACGGGAAGCATTTTGTGTCTCAGTTACAGTACTGTTCAAATGCGCTGCTGGCCCGGCTCCCTCTCACCCAGTGAAATCCTTCACATCTACTGCCAGCCTGCACAGCTACAGGGATCTGGCTGGAAATTAGCTTTGGGCTCACCATTCAGGCAGTCCCATGCCTGGAGCCACTTAGCCAGCTGAGCTACTTGGCAGACTCGGGCTGCTTGGGCCCGTTTCTGGACTCAAGGGTAAAGCCAGGAGCTCTCTGGATGCAGAGAATAAAACCTCTCCTCTGGCTTGGGTGGCAGTACCTAAGGCCACACATTATCCTAGAAGACCTCTGCGATGACATCTTCCTCACATGTTCCCACCTCCAGAAACTGTCCTCTGCAAATCCCCCGAGGAGCTCCAGCTCCAGCTAGAGAGGGGTCCACAACCAAGAGGGGGAACAACTGCTATTTTCTGGGGTGAACAGCCAAGGGTGACCTGGTTCCTGGGGGACACAGTGACAGGGACCAGACAGATAGTAGGGGCCACCCCAGAAAACACACAGCACGCAGTCAAAAATGGCTCTGTCTTCAGGACACGTGCTCAGGAAAAGCAACACAGCATCAGATTCATGTGAGCTGGGTCAGGCCTTCCATGCGAGGGGGCGGCGTGGCGCTTTTTAAAGAAACTGTTGGCAACTCGTTGTGCGAAGTATGTGATCGATCTGTATTGTCAGTTTTGTTCATCTTGATTTTCATATTGGGCTTGTCTGTGTTTCAACAAGCAATTATGGAGTGGCTGCCTCTGCCCCCGGGGATGTAAGGGAGAAGCAAGACATTGTCCCTGTGGTGGGGGATGCAGGGGGTGGTACATCTTGGCACCAGGCGGTGTGGAAGGGGGTTCCTGCTGCCCGGCGTGGTGAGCAGGCCTCCCCTCCTCAACTGCCCAGGTGTGGTATAAAGTCAGTCCACTCAGTGTGGTTTCGGTAAATAATTAACAACAGATAAACTTTCGAAATAACCAAAATTCAGGAGTAATCATGTGACAATGTGAAATGCATTTGCAAGATGTGAGGATAGAAGGCCCCATGGTAGGTTGAGGAGGGAGCTGTGGGGAGAACTGAGGCTCTTCGGCTTGGTTTTGAACAGCGTCCTTGGAGGGACAGGATCTGTCAGGGGAGTCACTGACCCCTGAATTACTGGCAGCTCCCAAGGCAGGGGGACTGGAAGAGCAGGGAGAGCTGTGCACAGCCTGGAGGTATGGCAGGTGCTGGAAGGAGCTCTCTGGACAACACACGTTTCTCCCTATCTGGGATCTGAGGACAGTGCCAGCCTCAGAGCCTCTCGGGCCTCCCCTATTTGCACCCTTCTGGGGGTGCAGAGCCACGTACGCAGTCCTGGCCTGTCGTTTGTGAGCTGCAGGTGGGCTTGGGTACTGCCTCCCTCCTCCCTGCTGTCGCAGCCAGGTTGCTAGGTAGATGCCACTGGTGTGGGCTGAGAGGTTCAGACTCTGTGGCGACATCTGAGCACATGGAGAACAGGGCATAGATGACTCCTGGGAGACTGAGAGGCGCGGGCAGCCGTCTCCAGTCCTGATGCAGAACCACTGACTCGATGCAGTGGGGGTCGTGTGTAGGGGTGAACGTCTTGGGTTCGGAAACAACAAAGAGGTCTGCCCGAGGCTTCCCAGGCAGCTGCGAGGAGGGATGCAACAGCAGGGAGGAGGAGATAAGAAGGAAGCAAAGACAGGCAGACGTGGCAGTGGCAGGGGCAGGAGGGGTGCATGCCCTGGACACTCTCTCTGTCCCCCGGTGCACGCACAGGCTCACAAACCAGGGACGGAGGGCAAGTGGCTGCATGGCTAGGATGGTCTTCTTTTCTTTTTCTTTTTTTTCGAGATGGAGTCTCACTCTGTCTCCAGGCTGGAGTGCAGTGGCGCTATCTTGGCTCACTGCAAGCTCCGCCTCCCGGGTTCACGCCATTCTCCTGCCTCAGCCTCCCGAGTAGCTGGGACTACAGGTGCCCGCCACCATGCCCGGCTAATTTTTTTGAATTTTTATTAGAGACGGGGTTTCACCGTGTTAGCCGGGATGGTCTCGATCTCCTGACCTCGTGATCCGCCCACCTCGGCCTCCCAAAGTGTTGAGATTACAGGCTTGAGCCACCGCACCCAGCAGATGGTCTTTTTCAAGAGGGGAGGGCAGAGTGAAGAAATCAAGGTAAGGGAGGGTGAAGAAGCCGCATCTGGAGGACGGCACTGGGGACCGTAACCCCTGGTCATTTAGCGGCAGCAGGGTGGGGTGTGCACAGGTGTTCTAAGCCAAGGGACCAACTGCCCCAGGAAAGGTGAGAGTTCTGGGTACAGAGTAGGCCAAAGAGGAGCCTGGGGATTCAGGGGGACCCACAAGGAGATTGGGGCCAAATGTCACGGCTCTGGCTTGTCATGTGACATCTGCATTCCATCCCGGGACCCACGCAGCCACCAAAGATGTTCTGGCTGTGGAATGACAGCGGGCGTTGCCCAGGGAGCCTGGTAGAAGGCAGCCGCCTAACTCCGCGTGCTGGAGCGGGCCTGGGGGTGGCACTGGAGTTTCAGGACTCTCCAGGTGCTGCTGCCGCCCGCCAAAGTTGGCATAGACCAGTCGTCTCCGGAGGGGTGCCCAGTACAGCCTCGGTGCTAAGAATGTTATGAATAGTTAGCATATGGATTCAGAGTTGTACTCCAAATATAATTTTTTTTTTTTTTTTTGAGACGGAGTCTTGCTGTGTCACCCAGGCTGGAGTGCAGTGGTGCAATCACAGATCACTGCAGCTTCAATTTCCTGGCCCAAGCGATTCTCCCACCTCAGTCTCCCAAGCAGCCACCACGCCCAGCTAATTTTTTTAATTTTTTGTAGAGATGGGGTTTCGCCATGTTGCCCAGGCTGGTCTCGAACTCCTGAGCTCAAGTGATCTGCCCACCTTGGCCTCCCAAAGTGCTGGGATTACAGATGTGAGCCACGGTGCCCGGCCTATATATACTTTTTTAATGAATATCTGATATTGTGAGTGCTTGGCCAAGGTTTTGTTTTTGTTGCCCGTGGGTCTGAACAGAAAGTGTGGAGGCTGACCACCTCAGTGTCGGGGGGTGGAGTAAGCAGGCAGATGAGCTGCCCTGAGATTGCTGGGAGGAGGGAAGGCGGGCAGACCCAGACTTCCCAATGGAGAGATGGTCAGGAGCATGGATGTCTCAGAGTGGCAGGCAGGATGAAGCTGGTGTCCCCAGGACCTCCCAGGGCCCACCTGCCTGGACCCCTGCAGCCTGTGCCCTGACGCCCTGGTGCCCTCGTGCATTTGCTGGGACGT
This sequence comes from Homo sapiens, assembly GCF_000001405.40. Classification (NCBI taxonomy): domain Eukaryota; kingdom Metazoa; phylum Chordata; class Mammalia; order Primates; family Hominidae; genus Homo; species Homo sapiens. The sequence goes on along the minus strand of NC_000017.11, from coordinate 78,918,383 downwards.
GGCTGTGCAGCGGCAGAGGGAAGGGCACAGAGACCCCGCCCCGATGATTCCCACCTTACAACTGAGGGCTGAGCTACTCCCCAGTCAGCCAGGTCAGACTGGAGCCCAGGGAAAGCTTCCGGAGCCCCAGCAAGTCAGGTTGAGAGTGTGTTTACGCTAAGAAGCAAATTGAGGAACAGTCTTTATAAAAGAGGGGTCCTAACCCAGAGTGTGTGAACACCCAGCCAGAGATAGGCCTGGCGGGTTTGGGGGTGGTCACAAGCCCGGAAACTGTAAGTGAAGTTGTGTGTGTGTGTGTGTGTGTGTGTGTGTGTGTGTTTGTGTGTGCACGCGTACGTGTTTTTTTTGTGGACAGTGGCAGCCGCCAACTTCTCAAAGGTGCCTGTGGCCCTCCAAACGTCAAGTCACTGCCATTTAAAAGGAGTCTTTTTATAGGTTTCGAGTCTTCTGTTTCTTGTGAGTATCTGCCTAGTCTCGGAGCTGAGCGATGGTAACGATCTTGCCTTTCTCTCCTCTTCCACCCTCATTCTGCACTCGGCCGCCCTGGGCAGCCAGGATCCGCTCAGACACTACCACCACGAGGGGAGTCCGAGGCAGACCTGTAACCAGCTCTGGGGAAAGGATGCCATCAGTGTCCTTTGGCCTCCTAGCTGGTCTCAGGGATGGCTCCAAAGACCTGGGAGGTTCTGTGGTTGTCTTCCATGGGGAAGACGTCCTTGGTAGACGGCAGCTGCTCTTTGATCTCAAACTCTGATCACAGCTGGACCACACATGGCCTGAGGGAACTCCAGACCTCACCAGTTAGGAAGGGCCTGGTGTCTATGTCTTAGATACCTGCTTCTTACAGAATTTATTCACTTAAGTGTTTTTATATTTTGTTTTACAATAGAATTTGGGTGCCTACCGTACACAGAAATACTATGGCAAGTGTGTCAAGGAATTATTTAGTTTTCTGAGACGGAGTTTTGCTCTGTCGCCCAGGCTGGAATGCAGTGGTGCGATCTTGGCTCACTGCAACCTCCGCCTCCCGGGTTCAAGCAATTCTCCTGCCTCAGCCTCCCGAGTAGCTGGGATTACAGGTGTGTGCTGCCATGCCCAGCTAATTTTTGTATTTTTTTTTTTTTTTTTTTTTGAGACGGAGTCTCGCTCTGTCGCCCAGGCTGGAGTGCAGTGGCGGGATCTCGGCTCACTGCAAGCTCCGCCTCCTGGGTTCACGCCATTCTCCTGCCTCAGCCTCCCAAGTAGCTGGGACTACAGGCGCCCGCCACTACGCCCGGCTAATTTTTTGTATTTTTAGTAGAGACGGGGTTTCACCCTGTCGGCCAGGCTGGTCTCAAACTCCAAAGCCATGGTGCCCATCTTCAAGGAAGTGAGCGCAGGAATGCGAAGATCATCTTGCAGGCTGCACCTCTTGCTAGAGACTCTTACCGAGGTTAGGACACTGTTGAGATTGTGGGCCCTGAGGGGTGGATCTTATCAGAGCTAAGATAAGCCCCGAGGAAAGGTCCTGGGGTGGGTATGGGGAGCCCAGGGTGGCTGTGGTAGAGAGTGTACCACAGGGGGACAGAGTCATTAGAACAAAGTATGGCCAGGCTTGAGCCCAGGTGGAGCAGCAAAGCCTGGAGGCCCGGCAGTGGGACCTGGCAGTGGGACTCCGGGGAAGGCTTTATGGCCCCTGCACTGGGGGAGAGGGGGCAGACAGGAGGGGGATGACACTGAGGAGGAAGGTGGTGTTGAGAGGCTCGCAGTTACCAGGGGAGCAGAGCTCCCACCTGCACTGGGGAAGACCCAGGAGATGGAAGGCAGGCCCTGAGCGGGGCCATGGGTCGCGGGCAGACACAGGAGATGCCTCTGGAGCTTGACCCAGTGCCTGGGAGCCAGATGCCCTCTAACCTGGTCAGGAGCTCAGGCGGGTAGAGGTCTCTGTTGAGTTCTGCTGGAATCTGGTGACCAGAAAGTCTCGGCGAGAGGGATTTGAGCTAGAACTTCAGCAGACAGTGGAAATTGTGTAACGGGGCCTTGGAGGGAACAGGAAACGGAGCATTGAGGGGGAAGGGAGCCAGCAGTAGCGAGGGGAACTGACATTCATAGCAAACAGGGTGAGCGGGGGTCAAATGCTGGCCCCAGATTGAGTCCAGCAGAGCGATCCGGGACAGGTGGCCTCTCTCTGCCCCCACTTCCACACCTCCAAAAAGGAGAGGCGAATTTCCTGCCTCCCAGGAAGCTCTCGGAGCTAGTGGGGGACACCAGCTCTTTCTGCATCAAACCCTGGCTCTCCCTGTCTTTGTGTTCTTGTTCCTCCCCACCCCGCCCTGAGGGAGGCCTGGGAGCAGCCAGGGAGGTGAATCATGACATGGTGATAATGACTATGGCAACAATAACAGCTGGCAGAGGTGCCAAGGGCTTGGAGGTATGTTCTTGCTCTTCACTAGTGTCAACCCATTTCCTTCCCTATCCTCATCCCCATTGTACAGACGATCCAACGGAGGCACAGGCCCACTAAGGAACCTGCTCAGGGTTAGCTGGCTAGGAAATAGCAGAGTAAAAGAAGAGATGGTTTTTAGGCCGGGCACGGTGGAATCATGCCTGGAATCCCAGCACTTGGGGAGGCCGAGGCATGTGGATCGCCTGAGGTCGGGAGTTCAAGACCAGCCTTGCCAACATGGTGAAACTCCATGTCTACTAAAAATAAAAAAATTAGCTGGGCGTGGTGGTGCACGCCTGTAATCCCAGCTACTCGGGAGGCTGAGGCATGAGAATCGCTTGAACCTGGGAAGCAGAGGTTGCAGTGAGCCGACATCGCACCACTGCACTCCTGCCTGGGTGACAGAGTGAGACTCTGTCTCAAAAAAAAAAAGAAGAAAAAAAGAGAGAGAGACGGCTTTTAAAAGGAGGTACATCAACAGAATGGTGCTGATTCAGACTGATACTGGCTTGGGGATGAATGGTCTAGGCTGTGGAGCTGGGCTGAAGCTCTACAGGTGACGGATGGAGCCACTGAGGAGGGAGAGGAGCTCCTGAGGCTGGCCTTGTTCATGAGGTTTGCCTGTCTGCTGGAGATAAGCTAAATCAATTAATCTTTCTCCCTGCCGCAACAGAGTGAGCAGACATTTCAAATGATATTACAGATTTGTGTTTATGACCTAGAAAAATGTTCAGAGCACAGTACTTTCAAAAGCCCAGACTGGGCCGGTTGCAGTGACTCACGCCTGTAATCCCAGCACTTTGGGAGGCTGAGGTGGGTGGATCACCTGAGGTCAGGAGTTTGAGACCAGCCTGGCCAACATCATGAAACCCCATCTCTACTAAAAATACAAAAATTAGCTGGGCGTGGTGGCGGGCACCTGTAATCCCAGCTACTCAGTAGGCTGAGGCAGGAGAATCACTTGAACCCGGGAGGCGGAGGTTGCAGTGAGCCGAGATCGTGCCACTGCATGCCAGCCTGGGCAACAGAGCAAGACTCCGTCTCAAAAAAAAAAAAAGAAAAAGCCCAGACTGGCCAGGCGCGGTGGCTTACACCTGTAATCCCAGCACTTTGGGAGGCTGAGGCGGGAGGATCACTTGAGCCCAGGAGTTCCAGATCAGCCTAGGCAACATAGCAAGACCTCATCTCTACATAAAATAAATTAAAATTTTAAAAATTAGCCAGGGGTGGTGGCACGTGCCTGTAGTCCCACCTACTCGGGAGGCTGAAGTGAGAGGATCACTGGAGCCCAGGAGTTTGAGGCTGCAGTGAGCTATGGTTGTACCAGCCTGGGGGACAGAGCAAGACTCTGTCTATAAAGAAAAAAAAAACAGCTTGGCTGGGTGCAGTAGCTCATCCCTGTAATCCCAGTGCTTTGGGAGGCCAAGGTGGGTGGATCACCTGAGGTCAGGAGTTCGAGACCAGCCTGGCCAACATCATGAAACCCCATCTCTACTAAAAATACAAAAATTAGCCGGGCATGGTGGCGGGTGCCTGTAATCCCAGCTATTCAAGAGGCTGAGGCAGGAGAATCACTTGAACCCAGGAGGTGGAGGTTGCAGTGAGCCGAGATCGGGCCACCGTACTCCATCCAGCCTGGGAGACAGAGCGAGACTCCATCTCAAATAAATAAATAAATAAATAAATAAATAAATAAATGAATAGCCAAAATTTCGAAGGCAGATGAATGCCAATAATGTTCTCAAGAAGCAATAAAACATTGGGTTATAACCTGTGCCTCTGAGGACTCAAGGGGAAGTCAGGCAGGCCCCAGCCAGCGTTAGTCGCAGCTGCCTGCTCTCCCAGGTCAGCCCTTGCACCCTCGCAGAGGAAGCCGTCCCTTCCGCCTCTCTCCATCATAAAGAAAACTTCTCTGTCTCTCCATTCACGTCCCAAATGCCTTCTAACTTTAAAATAATTACACAACTATATGTGTTAATCATGGAAAAGACACTTAAGCAAAAAGCAAGAAAAATCATCCTGATTGTATCCATTGCCTAGAATTTTTTTTTTTTTTTTTTTTTCCCCGAGACAGAGTTTCGCTCCGTGGCCCAGGCTGGAGTGCAGTGGTGCAATCTTGGTTCGCTGCAACCTCCGCCTCCTGGGTTTAAGCAATTCTCCTGCCTCAGCCTCCAGAGTAGCTGGGATTACAGGTGTGAGCCACTGTGCCCGGCCTATGTTTTTTGTTTTTTTTTGTTGTTGTTTTTCTGAGACAGGTTCTTGCTCTGTCACCCAGGCTGGAGTAAAGTGGCATGATCATGGCTCACTGCAGCCTCAGCCTCCTGGGCTTAAGCAGTCCTCCTACCTCAGCTTCTCAAGTAGCTGGAACTATGGGACCATACCAGCACACCCAGCTAATTTTTACATTTTTTGTCGAGACGAGGTTTTGCCACGTTGCCCAGTCTGGTCTTGAACGCCTGGGCTCAAGCCGTCTTCCCACCTCGGCCTCCCAAAGCACTGGGATTACAAGCGTGAACCACTGCACCCAGCCTGCTTTTGAGCTGCTTTATTGAGATGTAATTCACATACCATGAGGTCACTCCTCTAAAGTGCACAGTTCAGCGGTTTGAGTACATTCACAGAGCCGCACAGCCATCATCTCTAATTTTGCAGCTTCCAGAGTAGGGCCTCAACGTGGGTTCACGTGATGTTTCCCCAGATAGACTCAGGTCAAACGCTGTTGTTAGAGCCCTGCAGAGCCGCGGGTCTCAGCCCTTGTTGGTATGGCGAGGTCCTGTAGCCGGCAGTCGGCCTCCCAAAATGTTGTTGGCTTTTTCCAGCGGTTGGCAAACTAGACCCACTGCTGGGCTGATGGCCTGTTGTTGTAAATATTTTTTTTTCTTTTTGCCACCACACCCGGCTAATTTTTGTATTTTTAGTAGAGACAGGGTTTCACTATGTTGGCCAGGCTGGTCTGGAACTCCCAACCTCAGGTGATCTGCCCGCCTCGGCCTCCCAAAGTACTGGGATTACAGGCTTGTGCCACGGTGCCTGGCCTAGTGCAAATAAAGTTTTATTGGAACACAGCCACGCCCACTGGTAAGGCCAAACCCACGTGGCTTTTGTGCTATAACAACAGAGTTGAATGGCGGTGATCAAGGACTGTATGGGCCTCAAAGTCTAAATTACTTACCAGCTGGCTGTTCATAGAAACCTTTTCGGATCCCCAGCCTAAGTCATCGCAGGCTGATGGCACAGGTCTGGGCTTCCCAGTCCTTGTGTGGCTGGCTCCTCTCTCCCCGGATTGCCTGTTCCCTGCTTTCCAGAAGCAAGCAGGTGGCCTGGGAAGAAGTGGAACCTGCAGGGTGTCATTCTCCAAGCCGATGCTGAAGATGCAATGCCTTCACCCGCCTCTTCTGTGCTCTTCATCGCACGGGTGGGCTAGAGCAGGGAAGATGGACTTTCAGGCTGGAGCCTGGCTTTCTGTGGTGGGATGTTCTGTGGGTACCGAGACCCCCTTACTGCATCTTCAGGGACAGAATCTGGCTTGGGTTGAGAGTTTATTTGGCCCTTTCTGATCTGTAATCGGGAGAGATTGATTGAGCTTTCCTGACACAGACGTGGCAAAGCAAACTGGCAGTGGGGCAGGCTTTGCCAAGGCTCGTCATGGTAGCGGAGGCCTGGACAGAGCACCCGCCAACAGCTGCTGCTTAACCAAGGACAGAATGAGGAAATGGACATTTCAGAGAAAAGAGGCGACATGAAAAGTATTGGAGAAAAGAGCCTGGGCTTTGGAGTCAAGTGGGACTGGTTCTGAATCCCGACTGTGTGCCTCTCTGAGCCTTGGTTTCCTCTTCTGTAAAAGCAAGATCAGACTCTTCAGTGTGGTGCCATGGGAGATTCATATTTTTTTTTTGAGACAGAGTCTCACTCTGTTGTCCAGGCTGGAGTGCAGTGGCACAATCTTGGCTCACTGCATCCTCTGTCTCCCGGCTTCAAGCAATTCTCCTGCCTCAGCCTCCCCAGTAGCTGGGATTTCAGGCGTGTGCCACCATGCCCAGTTCAATTTTTTTTTTTTTTTTTTTGGTGTGTTTTTAGTAGAGATAGGGTTTCACCATGTTGGCCTGGCTGGTCTTGAACTCCTGACCTCAAGTGATCCACCCGCCATGGCCTCCCAAAGTATTGGGATTATAGGCGTGAGCCACCACACCCTGCCAAGATTAAATTTTTGATGAGTGAGTCAAATGGAGGCCAGGTGGGGTGGCTCATGCCTGTAATCTCAGCACTTTTGGAGGCCAAGGTGGGCGGATCACTTGAGGTCAGGAATTTGAAACAAGCCTGGCCAACATGGCGAAACCCCATCTCTACTAAAAATATTTTTAAAATTAGCTGGGCATGGTGGCGGGTACCTGTAATCCCAGCTACTCGGGAGGCTGAGGCAGGAGAATCACTTGAACCCAGGCGGAGGTTGCAGTGAGCTGAGATCACGCCACTGCACTCCAGCGTGGGTGACAGAGTGAGACTCTGTCTCAAAAAACAAAAAACAAAAAACAAAAACAACAAAAGCACTGGAGGGGCTCAATAGTTAGTTAGTTTGTCCTAGACCCTTCTAGAATGTTGAGATCCTGGACAGTGCTTCTGAGAAACCTGCAGTCTCTGTCCAAGGAGCCCTTAAGGAAGAAAGGCAGGAGTGTGGGGCAGGAAGACCAGCTTCCCCTTTCCATTCCACACGGCTGGCTCGCAATATTCTGTTTCTCCTGCGACAGCCTGGTTCCTCCCTGCTCCCCAGCTCGCCTCTGCCACCATTCTTCCCTCAGTCCAGATCAAGAGTTCAAGGGACGGGGACAGATGATCAGAAAGGCCCAGCTCAGGCAAGGAAGGGGAGAAAAGGGAACTCGTATATGCGGTGGGTGGGAATGGAAAGTAGTACAGTCACTATGGTGGAGGTTCCTCAAAAAACTACAAATAGAACGGCCATATGATCCAGCAGTCCCACGACTGGGCATTTATCCAAAGGAAAGGGAATCAGTGCATCAGAGAGACACCTGCACCCCCATGGTCCTGGCAGCACTGTTCACAATAGCCAAGATATGGAATCAACCTCAGTGTCCAACAACAGATGAATGGCTAAAGAATGAAATAGTATTTCATTGTGGATGTTGGTACATCTACACAATGAAATACTACTCAGCCATAAAACAGAATGAAATCTTGTCATTTGCAGCAACATGAATGGAACTGGAAGACGTTAAGTGAAATAAGCCAGGAACAGAAAGTTAAACATGGCATGTTCTCACTCATATGGGAAAGCTAAAAAAAAGAAAAGTTGATCTCATCGAAGTCAAAAGTAGAACAGAGAATACTAGAGTCTGGGAAGGGTTGGGGGAGGAGAGAGGGAGAGATTTGTTAAAGGATACAAAATTACAGCTAGATAGGAGGAATGAGTTATAGTGTTCCATGTCACTGTTGGATTAATGTAATTAACAATAGGCCAGGCGGTGGCCCACACCTTTAATCCCAACACTTTGGGAGGCCAAGGTGGGCGGATCACCTGAGGCCAGGAGTTTGAGACCAGCCTGGCCAAAATGGTGAAACCTTGTCTCTACTAAAAATATAAAAATTAGCCAGGCCTGGTGGTGTGTACCTGTGATCCCAGTTACTCAGGAGGCTGAGGCAGGAGAATCGCTTGAACCCGGGAGGTGGAGGTTGCAGCGAGCCGAGATCACGCCACCACACTCTAGCCTGGGCTACAGAGCGAGACTCCGTGTCTCAAAAAAAAAAAAAAGAAAAAGAAATTAACAAAAGTATATTGTATAGTTTCAGATAGCTCGGAGGACATTGAATGTTCCTACCACAAAGAAAGAAATGCTTGAGATGATGGCTGTGCTAATTACCCTGATCTGATCACTATACATTGTATGTATCTAAACATCACTATATATGCCATAAATATTACAATTATGTGTCCATTAAAAATAAAGGCCCAGCCCAGCTCACATAAGGACGGCAGGTGTGTTCCTTAAAGCATCACACCGGGTCCCAGTACTAGACGGACACTCCGCCTCCGGTTGTGTGACTCTGCCTTTTCTGTGCCCTAGTTCCCTGTTTGCTCCAGCTAGTTGAGAATCCACACTGCCTGGGTCACAGTGCCCGGCCTGGGTCCCGTAATGTTGTGGGGGGCGGGGGGTGGAATAAGGGAGAAAGCCAGGAGTGCCAGCAAGGCCGGCTACTTGGAGTGTCGGTAGCATGACGCTGCACGTCTAGAGCATGTACAGAAACCCGATGAGACCCGAGCCTTACGGTGACCCTAGGTACAGAGGACGTTTGTCACCACTGGGTCTCTCTAACACTGGGAAGGTGACATAATCCGTTTGCCCACGGTCACACGGGCAGCTGGGGGTCCAGCTGCACCATGGCCAGGCCTCTGGCACCAGGTGATGGGGTACGGGGTGCTTCAGTGACACAGCACTTGACGTGACATGAGGGAGAAAGGACTGGGTGGGGGGGTCATTCGTGGGCTTCAGGTCCGGGGGGATTATTATGCTCAGAAGGCATGTGCTGACACTGTGGCAGGAGAGCTCTGGGGACAGGTGGGCTCCTTGATTTATCTTTTTTTTTTTTAAAGAGATGAGGGTCTTGCTCTGTCGCCCAGGCTGGAGTGCAGTGGCGTGATCCTAGCTCACTGTAGCTTTAACCACCTGGGCTCAAGCAGTCCTCCCACTTCAGCCTCCCGAGTAGCTGGGATTGCAGGTGTGTGCCACCACGCTTGGCTAATTTTTAAAATTACTTTTGTGTTTAGAAACCAGATCTTGCTATGTTGCCCAGTCTGGTCTCGAACTCCTGGGTTCAAGTGATCCTCTCATCTCAGCCTCCCAAAGTGCTAAGATTTCAGGCATGAGCCACTGCACCTGACCTACCTACTGTTTTGGGGCAAAGGCTTAGATGGACACGCACACACATGACTCTCCTGGGCTTCTGGTTCAGCACTTTCTCTTCTGGGGGTGCTCCTCTCATTTCATCCTCAATCCTGAGCTGACCCCAGAAGCCAAGGACCAGCCTGCCCAGCCCAGGCAGAAACTGAGTATGCCAAGAGGAATGGGGTCAGGGTGGAGCTGGGATGAGCATTGCTGGCCTGACTCTCCCTTGTGAGGTCTTGTCCACTTGGCCCAGTTGGCTCCAGGGCAGGGAATAAAGGAACAGTCTGTGGTGGTCTTCCCTTCTGTGCACTAGTTCTGGAAAGCAGGGATAAAACAACCAGGCAAATGCATAAAAATACTGTCGAGGGCTTTTCAGCACAAAGGACTTCACATCTTCCTTATTTACAAAGGCTCTGCGGGGGAGGTGAGGCAGGTGTTTGGATGGGGAGCAGCCGATGACTTGCCCAAGGTCACCCACAGAGTGGCAGTGCCAGGAATCCAAGGGGAATGATCCTGGCTCGAGTCTCTGGGAAGAAGATTAGATTTCACAGCTTTGGATTTAACATCACTTTGCTCCTTTTGGCCAAGAGGCATGTTGTCCTCAGAAGGCCTTGGTGACAGGTATATTTTGCCTTAATTTGAGTAGTTTAGAGGCATGGAAGGGCATTTTGGCAGCAGTGATCAAGGACTTTAAAAATAAGTCTTCCCTTTGATCAGGCAGCCCTATATCTTGGAGTTTTTCTGAGAGAAATAATTTAGGACACATGGAAGTATTTAGCTGAAGGATATTCATCTCCGTCTTGCTTATCTTACGGAAACGTTAGAAACACCTATATATACAGTAGCAGGGGCGTGGTTAAATAAATCACAGCATCAGATGCTCTGCAGACATCACATGGTATAGCTTTTTCTTTTCTTTTTTGTTTTTGAGACAGTGTCTCGCTTTGTCACCCAGGCTGGAGTGCAGTGGTGCGATCTCCACTCGCTGCAACCTCTGCTCCCTGGGCTGAAGCAATCCTCCCACCTCAGCCTCCCAAGTAGCTGGGACCACAGACACACACCACTATGCCCAGCTAAGTTTTTGTATTTTTAGTACAGATGGGGTTTCGCCATGTTGTTCAGGCCGGTCTCAAACTCCTGAGCTCAAGTGATCCTCCCACCTCGGCCTCCCAGAGTGCCGGGACTACAGACGTGAGCCACCACACCTGGCCAGAACGTTTGGACACATGAGGGGACATTAGACTTTCTTTGGCAAGGGTGTATTTTCCAGTTGCTCTAGAATGAACATGAATTCCATGGGTGCACCTGTTTTACTGGACTTCGCTATATTGTGCTCTGCAGATACTGCGTTTTCATGAATTGAATATCACGGCTGGCTCAACTCTGAGTCTATCGGTGCCATTTTTTTCTCACATCACGTGTTCACTTCATGTGTTTGTGTCCCATTTTAATAATTCTTGCAATATTTCAAACTTTTTCATTATTATCATACCTGTTATGGTGATCTGTGATCAGTGGTCTTTGGCGTTACTGTTGTAATTGTTTTGGGGCACCATGAACTGTGCCCACATGAGATGGCAAAGTTAATTGATCCATGTTGTCTGTGTTCAGACGACTCCACCAACTGGCCGACTGGCGGCTTCTGGTCTCTCTCTCTCTGCCTAGGCCTCCCTCTTTCCTGAGACACAACAATATTGAAATTAGGCCAATTAATTACCCTATAATGGGACTGGGCGTGGGGACTCATGCCTGTAATTCCAGCACTTTGGGAGGCTGAGGCGGGAGGATCACCTTGAGGCCAGGAGTTCGAGACCAGCCTGGGCAACACGACAAGACCCCATCTCCACAAAAAATTAAAGAACTTAGCTGGGTGTGGTGGCACATGCCTGTAGTCCTAGCTACTCAGGAGGCTGAGGCGGGAGGATCACTTGAGCCTGAGAGTTCTAGGCTGCAGTGAGCCGAGATCACACCATTGCATTCAAGCTTGACAGACAGAGCGAGACGTCTCTTACTTTAAATCAAAAGCTAGGAGTGATTAAGCTTAGTGAGGAAGGCGTGTTGAAAGCCAAGGTAGGCTGACAGCTAGGCCTTTTGTGCCAAACAGCCAAGTTGTGAATGTGAAGGAAATTAAAAAATGCTACTCCAGGTGATCACACAAATAATAAGAAAGTGGGCCTGCCGGCCAGACACGGTGGCTCACGCCTGTAATCCCAGCACTTTGGGAGGCTGAGGCGGGGGGATCACCTGAGGTCAGGAGTTCAAGACCAGCCTGGCCAACATGGTAAAACCCCGTCTCTACCAAAAATACAAAAATTAGCCAGGTGTGGTGGCGCAGGCCTGTAATCCCAGCTACTCGGGAGGCTGAGGCACAAGAATCGCGTGAACCCGGGAGATGGAGGTTGCAGTGAGCCGAGATCGCACCACTGTACTCCAGCCTGGGCAACAGAGCGAGACTCTGTCTCAAAAAAAATAATAAAAATAAAAAAGAAAAGGAAAAAAAAGAAATTGCCACAGCCAACCCCAATCTTCAGCAACCACCACCCTGATCAGTCAGCAGCCATCAACATGGAGGCAAGACCCTCCACCAGCAAAAAGACTGGACTCACTAGGTCGAGATGATTGTTAGCATTTTCAAGCAATAAAATATTTTTATTTTTATTTTTATTTCTTCAAGTTTTGGGTTTTTCTTTTTTTTGAGGCAGGACCTTGCTCTGTCACTCAGGCTGGAGTGCAGTGGCATGATCTTAGCTCACTGCAGCCTCGAACTTCTGGGCTTAAGCCATCCTCCTGCCTCAGCCTCCTGAGTAGCTGGGACTGCAGGTACGCACCACTATGCCTGGCTATTTTTAGTTTTTTATAGAGGTAGGATCTCACTGTGTTGCCTGGCTGGTCTGAAACTCCTGGGGTCAAGCCATCTACCTGCCTTGGCTTCCTAAAGTGCTGGGATGACAGGCGTGAGCCACTGCCCCGGCCAATAAAGTATTTGTAAATTAAGGTATGTGCATTGATAAGACATAATGTTATTGCACACTTACTGGGCTACTGTACAATGTAAACATAACATTTATATTTGGGAATATATATTGGTTTGGGAAACCAAAAGAGTCATGTGACTCACTTTATTTCAATATTCACTTTATTATGATTCTGTGGGAACTCAACCCGCAGTATGTCTGAGGTCTGCCTGTACCTGTAATTTTTAAAAGCTAGCATTTGCTAATATGTGGTTCTAATTGCAGTCAACAATAGTATGGACCCAGACTCTCAAGGCTGAGTTGGCCTTAGGCCAGTAGTGAATCCCATGCCAGAGAGAACATTTAGCAGGGCGGATTAATCCAGAGGATGGGGCTGCCTTCTAGAGCTTGCCAAGGCAGCGTCAGGAGAGCCCAGGCTTGAGAGAGATGTCCTCAGTCCAGAAAAGACCTGACGAGCACTTGGCAGTCGTGCTGGACATTCTGCAAGGGCCATCGAAGGCCTAGCGTGCCATCCTGTTGGTCCCCATGCTATTTCCTCCTCACTAGAACCTCTCCCCTTGCTTTAGAATGGGCGTCAAGGCCACGCTGAGAGGATAAAAGATGTAGGGATCTTCTCCGAGGAAGAAGCATATAGAAGATTTTGTATCTATGGGTCCGTATTAGGGTTTCCCAGAGAAACAGAACCAATAGGCTCCATCCAGCTGCGTAAGATGGGATTTATGTGGGAATTGACTCATGCAAGTATGAAGGCTGGGAGGTCCTGGAATCTGCTGTCTGTGAGCTGGAGCAGCAGGGTCACTGGTGCAGTAATGCAGCCTGAGTCTCAAAGCCTGAGAAGCGGGGTGGCCACTGGGGTAAGTCCTGGAGCCCAAAGGCCTGAGGCCCAGGAGCTCTGAGGTCCAAGGCAGAAAGAAGGTGGATGTCCCAGCTCTCTCTCTTTTTTTTTTTGAGATGGAGTCTCACTTTGTTGCTCAGGTTGGAGTTCAGTGGTGCGATTTCGGCTCACTGCAACCTTCACTTCCCTGGTTCAAGCGATTCTCCTGCCTTAGCCTCCTGAGTAGCTGGGACTGTAGGTGTGCGCCACCACGCCCGGGTCATTTTTGTATTTTTAGTAGAGATGGGGTTTCACCATGTTGGCCTGGTCTCAAACTCTTGAGCTCAGGTGATCCACCTGCCTCGGCCTCCCAAAGTGCTGGGATTACAGGCGTGAGCCACCGCGCCCAGCCTGGATGTCCCAGCTCTTGCAGAGGGAGGGTTTGCCTGCCTCTGCCTCTGTCTCTTTGTTCTGTCCGGGCTTTCAACAGATTGAGTGATGGTGCCCCACCTGGCGAGGAGGGATCTTCTTACTCAGTCCCCCGGTTCAGATGCCAGTCTCTTCCCAGAGCCACCCAGAAATCACGTTTTCCCAGCTATCTGAGCATCCCTTAGCCCGTCAAGCTGACATAAAATGAATCATCAAGGGCTGCGAAGATGGACTCCAAAAGTGGGCGGGGGTAGGGGGGTGGTGGTGGACTGTGATCGAGAACATTCCTGCAGGGAGAATGCCTCCCTTCCCTGAGTCAGGGACCAGATAACCTTTCCAGGGTCCTTCCAGCCCAGGACAAAGGGCTTTGTCTCAGGTTCAGCTCTCCTGAGAATTCATCCTCCCCGAGATTTGGACACCTCAGCCGAATTCCTGCTGTTTACCTTCTTCTCTCAAGAAACAACAACCTGAGGATTGTTGCTTTCACTTCTTCGGACCCAAATCATGATTTCCCAGCCACATTTCTCAGTTGTCAAATTTGTGGAGGATGCTGGAAGCTTCTAGTGAGTTGCTTACAGATGATCCAACTGGCGGCTTACTAAAACATATCTTGGGCTGGGGGCGGTGGCTCGTGCCTATAATCCTAGCACTTTGGGAGGTCGAGGCAGGGGAATCGCTTGAGGTCAGGAGTTCAAGACCCGCCTAGCCAACATGGTAAAACCCCGTCTCTGCTAAAACACACACACACACACATAAATTAGCTGGGCATGGTGGCATGCACCTGTAGTCCCAGCTACTCAGAAAGCTGAGGCACTAGAATCCCTGAACCCGGGAGGCAGAGGTTGCAGTGAGCCGAGATTGCGCCACCGTACTCCAGCCTGGGCAACAGAGCAAGACTGTCTAAAAAACAAACAAAAAACATATCTTGACAATGCCAGTCATCACTTTACCACAGACCTTAAGATGCCAACCACCCAGACTAGGTCAGGGGCCCCCATTTCCAGCAGCTACTCCTGCTTCCTGGAAACCCCCTGCACCGGCCAGACTCCCCCAGTGTCCCATGTTCATCCCCAGCCTCGCCCTGCCAGCTTCCCTCGCCCATCCTTCTGATCAAACTGTCTGTGGGGAACTAGCCCTCAAACGAGGCCAAGTACGTGTGGCTTCTCCTCCTGTGTGGGCAGGTGGTTGACGGGATTCTTTCTTCCCCCGCCTCCAGTGGGTTTCAGTTTAACGATGGCTTTCTGGAGCTGTTTAGAAGCGTGAACAGATGCTGTCCCTACAGGAGAAGGGATGGCAGGCGTTGTCAGGAACCCTGACCTTGAAGTGTACCTCCTTAATGGCCTGACAGCTCAGAGAGAATGACACCCTGGGAGGTCTCCATGCAGCCAGCTGGGGACAAAAAGATGTCCTCTGCCTGGTATGGCCACGAGCATTTGTACATTGCACTGTCCTTGTTCACCCACACCTCCTTAAACAGTGCCTTCAGGTGCCCCCATGGCTCCCGGCTGCTTGAGCCAAATCTTTATGATTGATCCCCTAACCTACACGCTTGCCCCCTGGCTGGCTCACAGCTGTCCCTGACCTCACCCCTGCCATGATGTCACAGCTCAACAGCTCTGCTGTTCCCATGGCAACAGCCTGCTATGAGTAGCCAGCCAGGGCAGAGGCCGGGCTGCAGGTGGAGGCGGGGAAGCGATTCCGGCCACCTTTGGTCAGTGGGCCCCTGAGACCACTGCGGGGCTGAGGCTCTCTGTGTCTGTTCCCATCTGTGGTGAGGGTGGGGTTCTTTCCATGCCCAGCTGTTTAGCGAGGCTCCCAAGAGGGCCCCGGAGAGTGGGCCAAGGAGGGGCTCCAAGCCGTGGGTTCGCAAGGCCAGCGGCAAAGTCCCTGCACCACGGGGCTCCCCACAGGCAGTGTGATGGGAAGGAGAGTGAGGGAAGCTGGTGGGACTGGGTTGGAGATGAATATGGTTGTTGGAGGAGTTGGGCTGGGGGGTCTTCAGGAAGCAGGAACACCTGCTGGGATTGGGGACCCCTGACCTAGGCTGGGTGCTTAGGATCTTGAGGTTTGCAGGGAAGCGGTAATGGACGCTGTCGAGGTATGTTTAGTGAGCCACCGGTTGCATCAGCTGTAAGCCCCCCACGTGGGGAGCTGGCGTCTCAGCTGGGAGTTTGGAGGTCAGTCTGCCTCAGTGTCTGTCTCTGTGAAGCTGGTCAAGGGGAGGCCTGAGCCCGAGCTTGCCCCCAGAGGCTGCCTGCCCAACCATCTCCACCCTGGAGAGCTGACCCAGCCCAGGATATGGATACACACAGATTCATGAGCTGTGGCCCCAGTATTCGGGTGGAAAAGCCTGCTGTGGGCCTAGCCAGGACTCATTCTAACGTGACCCACCCCTGCCCCAGGTGATGCTAACACAGCCAGTCCAAAACCCAGTGCAGGCTGGGCATGGTGGCTCATGCCTGGAATCCCAGCACTTTGGGAGGCCGAGGCGAGTGGATCACCTGAGGTCAGGAGTTTGTAACCAGTCTGACCAATATGGTGAATCCCCGTCTCTACTAAAAATACAAAAATTAGCTGGGTGTGGTGGCGTGCGCCTGTAGTCCCAGCTACTTGGGAAGGCTGAGACAGGAGAATTGCTTGAACCCGGAAGGTGGAGGTTGCAGTAAGCTGAGATCGCACCACTGCACTCCAGCCTGGGCAACATAGTGAAACCAAAACCCAGTGCAGTGGCTTGGGACCCCCGTCCCCCCGCCACCACTGGGACGTGGCTAAGAGTTGGGGAGAAGAGGGCGAAAACCAAGCCTCTGGCAGCACACAGCGTGTCATGGAGGGTATTTTTAGAGGCTAGAACTCAGAGAAACGGAGTTAAAAATGTTTCTGATGTTTGTTTTATCTGGGCTTGGTTCGGATGCCTCCAGTGATGGGCGTCTCACTACCTACAAAGTCAGCCCAGTGATTTCAAGACAGCCCTGGAGACAGTGCTTCCTGCCCTCCTGTCAGCTTCTGCCTCCCTGTAATGTGTTCTGGGTGGTCTAGCTCAGTCATCTGGAGACACACACAGTAAGTACCACCCCTCTTCCCCAAGCATTTCAGGTGCTTCTCGTGGTGACAAGCACTGGCATCTCTGTAGATGGGTGCTGCTGTTGTTATCATCCCCATCCTAAAGAGCAAACTGAGGCACCCAGAGTGAAGTCGCTTGGCCTAGGTCACATAGTACTCTTAAGCACCATACTCTGCCATTCTAGACTTTTCTATCCTTTGCAAACACCCTTGCCCCACCTCACCTCCTTTGGCTTTTCTTCCTAGGACCTTTGGTCAGTGGGCCCCTCCTGACCAAAGGAGTTCATTCTCCTCCTGGACTCCAAGCCTGCGGCCTCTTCTCCCCGTCCTTACCGCCCTCCTCCTCTCCCGAGAACTGTCCAGGAAGACACACCTCTCCCTCGTTCAGATTTGCTCCTTGTTCTTCAGCCCGTGCATCTCCTTTAGGTCTTGAACAGTTCTGGACAGGTTTATTCCTGATCATTTCATCACGGTTTTATTGATTTTGAAACTTTATCCCGTGACATGATCAAATTGGCCATTTCTAGAGCACAGGCACTTCGTAGCTGTTGACCATCATTTAGCTCCACGTCTGCCCGTCGGTTCCTCGTGCGTGGAATCCAGCACCACGTGGGTGTCTCTGCCGAGCTCTCGGCATTTCCTGAGCCCTCCCGGAAGCCAGACTCTGTTCTCGGCGCTTCACACGGGCCGTCTCGTCTGATGCTGTGGCGTCCTGCAGGGTGGGAACGGGCGGTGCCCGTGGACGTGGCGCTGTGCCTGCCGGCGTCCTGGGCACCACAGCGTTGCCGCTTGCCCACTGCCTCCTAGCATGGCCAGGTGAGGTCGGGCTGGCTGGGCTGCACCATTCGCTCGCATGTTAGAGGCGTTTCTGTTCACTCAGGGGACAGTCACGTTGGCCCTTCTGGTGGCCCAGCGTCTTTTGTCCCCTGTGCTGCTCCACACACCCACCTCTGTACTTGCATAGTTGGATTTAGGGACCCACATATAAGTTTTAGATGTGTTCCCATTACCTTTTTTTATCTTGTAAGATTTGGCCAGTTGTGCAAGCTGTTAAAAACCTCTAGGCTAGAGTCTAGCAACAATTTTCCACCTCCCCCAAGGGTTATCTGTATCCGGGGATGCCCACAGCTTTGAATTGATAAGGTCAGGTGTGAAAGCTCAGGCAGTGGTCCTGTGGAAGAGCCCACCACCACCTCGGACTCTACTTACTTTATTAAAAAACACATTTTTTTTTTTTTTTGAAATGGAGTCTTGCTCTGTTGCCTAGGCTAGAGTACAGTGGTGCGATCTTGGCTCACTGCAACCTCCGCCTCCTGGGTTCAAGTGATTCTCCTGCCTCAGCCTCCTGAGTAGCTGGGATTACAGGCATATACCACCACACCTGGCTAATTTTTTGTATTTAGTAGAGACGAGGTTTCACCACGTTGGTCAGGCTGGTCTCGAACTCCTGTCGTGAGGTGATCCAGCCACCTCAGCCTCCCAAAGTGCTGGGATTACAGGCGTGAGCCACCGCGCCCGGCCAAAAAAACCACAATTTTAATAAGCTTGTTTGTGTGGCTGCTGTCAGACAGTTATGACCAGGGAAGGGAGGACACAGGAAGCTCTAAAAAGGCGACTTAAAAAACCCAAATTGCATTCTGGGGTCACTTAGTTTATGGGACCTCTGTTCTTTACATTTTAAAAGCCCTCGAGGGATTTCCTATATTATCATCCCAAAGACAATCCAAAATTTCCCCCAAAGAAGGTCAAATTACATATTCTACGTAGGCGCCTTAGACAGAGAAATGTCTAACTTTCCATATGAAAGGGTAAGCTCTAATTATATGGAAATGTTCTCTCTCTGGCCGATGCCAGCTAACGGAGCCCTTCTATAGCTATTTTTATGTTTCAAAGACAAAGCGCTTGACTATGTGGCCCGGGTGCTGGGCTTCTGGAGAAAGGGAAGAGCATTCTCTTTGTTCCCTTGGAGGGTTGGGGCATCCTGGGGGAGTGGGAACGAGGCCTGGGCTGGGGACATGCGGGTAGGATGGGGAAGGGGGTGTGTCCATGTCACGAGGAACCTGCATGAGCACATTCCAGGCGCTGCTGGGTGTGGGGCATTTGGGAATGGCCAGGAGCTCTACCACCCCTGTCTGGTGTGCAGCGTTCCAGGCTAGGGTGGCTCCCAGGGGAGCCAGGGCGAGCTGCTTGACCGTTCTCAAGCCTCTAGGCCCAGAGATTGCCAGGCTTTGGCAGGGCAGCTGGTGAACTGGCTGCATTCCTGGGCCCCTCCCGCAGGGGCTGGGATAGGATCTGTCAGGGGTGAGGCCCAGGAATCTACCCCTTCACCAGCAGCTCAGCTGATTATGATGCACGTGGCTGCGGGTTGCACTCAGAGACTTGCTGGTGTGGACAGCAGGGAATCACATGGGGGATGCTGAAATGTAACCCAGGTCTCTCAGTTAGACAGCGCTGGGCTGCAGTGCGGGAGAGGACGGGGTGCAGGCCTGGGGGTCGGGGGCAGAGAGGCTGATTGGGAGGCTTTTAAGGGCCTCAGGTGAGAGATGATCAGGGCTGAGCTGCTGGCAGGGGAGGAAGGCAGAGCAAGATGCAGCTTCCTGGAAGAGATGGTTTGCCAGGGCCGCAGTACTCCAAGCGTGGTCCCCCAGATGGCAGCATCAGCATCCCTGGGAGCGCTTTAGAGATGCAGAGTCTGGCGGGCGTGGGGGCTCACACCCGGAATCCCAGCACTTTAGAGATGCAGAGTCTGGCGGGTGCGGGGGCTCATGCCTGGAATCCCAGCACTTTGGGAGGCCAAGGCGGGCAGATCACTTGAGGTCAGGAGTTTGAGACCAGCCTGGCCGGCATGGTGAAACCCTATCTCTACTAAAAATACAAAAATTAGCCAGGCATGGTGGCGCGTGCCTATAGTCCCAGCTACTTGGGAGGCTGAGGCAAGAGAATTGCATGAACCCAGGAGGGGGAGGTTGCAGTGAGCTGAGATTGCACCACTGCACTCCAGCCTGGGCAACAGAGCAAGACTCCGTCTCAAAAAAGAAAAAAGAAAAGAAAAAGAAATGCAGAGTCTTGGGCCCCACCCAGACTATTGAATCAGAGCCTAACTGTTAACAAGATTCAAGCAGCACCATGGCCAGGTCTCACCCTTCTGTGCATGTTGACAAATCAAGTACTTGAGCAGAAAGAAGATGGGGATGATCGACGTGATGAACTCAGAGGCACCAACCGTGGTGTCCTGGGTCGATGCACACAGAATGCACGCAGGCCCCTTGCAGGCCTTCCCACCCTTCAGAAGCTCAGCACACCTGTCAGGGTCACAGGAGGGCCAGGGAGGTCAGAGGTCACGTGAGGCCAAGCACAGTCCAAGCAGAGTCTCCTTGTGCTGTGGAAGTGGTTTCCAGCTCTGACCTCCCTGGGCAGCAGGCTAGGAGCCTGGATCAGGGGCCTGCCTGCTCGGCCCGGAATCCCTGCTGCCCTGATTACGAGCTATGTGGCCTTAGGCAAGTTACTTAACCTCTCTGAGTCTCAATTTCCCTGTCAGATTGTGCGGATAGGAATAGGCCTCACCTCCTATGGTGAGGCGGTGAGATGGAGAGAGGTGTACGTGAAATGCCGGAAGAGTATGAAACCCTGCGGGTCTGCGTGCTGATCAGTGTGATGTCTGGATTCAAACCCAGCTCCTCCGTGTAAGCTGGGAAAGTTATTCAGCCTCTCTGAGCTTTTGTTTCTTTTTGTGAGCTCAGAGGGGAAATCAAGGAGAGCTGGAGGCGGCAGGGACAAGGTTGCATCCGATGGTGTCATGGGGGAAATCAATTCCTGAATGATGGAGCCAGCTGTGATTTTCTGGACTTTATCCCAAAGACCTCTGCCCAGATGTTTTAAGTTTGTACCCATTTCCGTGTCTCCAGGAAAACCGACACAGCAGCCCCGCTGGCTCCTTTCACAGTCACCCTCTGGATCATGTTGCAGTGACTCTAGCCAAGGGTATGGCCTGTGTCGTGTCTGTTACAGGCCGAGGTGGGAAGAAAAGGTTGTCCCTGTATCTGGAGGGGCCAGTTCATGCCTTGAGGAGGAGAGAGGCACTCTGGGTCCTGCCATTGTCCTCAGGGATGGCCATGCTTGCCATTGTCCCACGTGTCTGTTCGGGGGGGTCCTTCTCCTGGGGATACAACGTCTGCCGCGTTGATTTTTGGGTGTCTAAGTGTACCGGGCTAGTATCACATTGAGAGTCACCCACTGTGGGTGGATTCACCCATTCCCGTCATGGTGCCTGGGGCTCCAGCAGCCTCGTCACAACACAGCCTGGTAGTTGGAGGGTCTGAGCCTTTGTTACAACCGCCCTGACTTAGCCGCAGGACTATGCACCTGGTGGGGACTGGGGTGGGCGGCCACTCTCTCACAGGCCCACCCCAAGGCTCTAGATGGGCACGTGCATTGTTCAAATGCCGTCATACCTTGGGGGTGCGAGGGGGCAGCGTGAGGCAGACGAGAGAGGCGGAGGTCTCACAGTGAACCACAGGATCTGGTATCCTGCAGCCGGGGTGCAGGCCTGACTGTGGAGCCCCCATTCTGGGCGCCTCACACTCCCTATGACTGTGATGCTTGCCCCCCGCCCCCCGATGCCACAGGAGTGCACAGCAGGCCTGGAGTCTCCTTCGGAGGGGGTGAGGAGGCCGGCGGGGGGCGGGGGGGTGCTGTCTGTGGGCCCTGGCACTTCCACGCTGCCTGGGTGGAGGGTCCCTGGGTGAGGTCTGCCTTGGCTGAAAAGCTGTCTGAGCGGCCGCCCAGGGAAAGGCGAGCTGCTTGGACGTCATTCTCAAGCTGTAGGCCAGAGGTTGCCTGACTTTGGTGAGAATCGCTGGGAATCTGGTGGCCAAGCACATTCCTGGGCCCAGGTGCTGGGATCGGATCGGTCTGGGGTGGAGCTGCCATGGGCTGGCTCCTGCGCTGGGGCCACGGGGCTGTAGAGAGCAAGAGAGGAGAATGGGCCCAGTGTCCACTCCGCTCTGTGGGAGGCCC
The DNA here is from genome assembly GCF_000001405.40 of Homo sapiens. Taxonomy (NCBI): domain Eukaryota; kingdom Metazoa; phylum Chordata; class Mammalia; order Primates; family Hominidae; genus Homo; species Homo sapiens. The sequence goes on along the minus strand of NC_000017.11, from coordinate 78,896,768 downwards.
TGGTGCCGTCCGGAGGCCAGATTGGTGTCCACTCGCCTTCCTTCTGCTGCTCCGAGCGCGGCTTCTGCGGAGGGGGGAGCTGTGGTTTCTCTGAGTGGTTGAAGGCAGCCAGCAGAAGGCAGGCTTGTCAGCTCGGGGTGGCAGGACCAGAGGGCAGCAGGGGAGTAGAAAACACCAAAGCAGCCCAGGATGCTCAGAACACTCAGAGGATGTGGAGGACAGAGGAGCGCCAGGACCCCTGCCCCTTCTAGAATATTCTAAGCAACCAGAGAGGGCAGGTGCCTCTGGGAGGGGAGCTGTAGCGAGGGCCCTGATTGGAACCATGGCTGTCTTCATTGGCAAGTGTCCTGCCAAGGGCACCCGACGTCCTGTCTGGCAGGGCTGGAGAGACACTGGGCTGCCTGGAGATCAGCCTGGGCATCACAGGCAGAGGCAGGCATCCCAGCAGGCTGTGCAACAGGTGAACGGCTGTTTCTCCTTGGTCATCTTGGGCTCAGCTAAGGCTCTGTTGCTTTCCCTGCCAGTGCCTGCACAAGTCCACGTGAGACCCTGCCCTCTGCCTCAAGTTAGTAAGTGGGGAGGGTCTCAGAGGGGAGAGCAAGGAGAGCTGGGGTAGCGGGGACGAGGTTGCATCTGATGGTGTCAGAGCGGGGATCGATTCCTGAAGGATGGAGCTGGCTGCAATTTTCTAGACTTATCCCAAAGATCTCTGCCCAAATGTGTTAAGTTTTTACCCGTTTGCGTGTCTCCAGGAAAACTGACGCTGCTTCATTGGGATGCCCACGCCAGTGGGGCTGGCACGGGGTGCACTGAGGTCATTGAACGGGCTGGGGGCACTTCCAGAGCAGGGAAGACTTGTCCAGGTTTTACTAATTGTTGGTTGACAAGGGGTGTGAGCCAACGGCTCTTGGCACAGAAATAGACTGTGAACCTTGGGGCCTCCAGGCACCTTCCGAGACACACAGAGGGGCATTCACAGCAGCCCCGACCTCACCACACCTAATTGGACATCCCTGTGGCCGTTCCTGGTGGTCTTTGGTGTCTGAGGCCAACTCCTCCATGTGAGCTGGGAAAGTTATTCAACCTCTCTGAGCTTTGGTTTCTTTTTGTGGACTCAGGCCTTCTCTTGGTTATAGACCTAGGAGTGGAATCTCTGGGTCATAGGGTAAGTCTGTGTTTCCCTTTTTAAGAAACTGCCAGACTGTTTTCCAAAGTGGCTGCACCATTTTCCATTCCCACCAGCAGCGTGCACAGGGTTCCAATTCCTCCCCCTCCTTCCTCACTGACAGTTGCTATTGTCTGTCTTTTTGACGACAGCCGTTGGAGTGGATGTGAGGTGGCAGGACACTGCAGGGTCAGTGTGCATTTCTCTAAAGACCGCTGCCGTTGAACATGTTTTTATGTGCTGTATTAGCCACACATCTATGTTCTTTGGTGAAATATCTATTTAAATCTGTTGCTGATTTTTATTTTTATTTATTTATTTTTGAGACAGAATCTCACTCTGTCATCCAGGCTGGAGTGCAATGGTGCAATCTCAGCTCATTGCAACCTCTGCCTCCCAGATACAAGCAATTCTCCTGCCTTAGCTTCCCGAGTAGCTGGGATTATAGGTGCGTACCACCACACCCGGCTAATTTTTGTATTTTTAGTAGAGACGGGGTTTCACCATGTTGGTTAGGCTGCTTTCGAACTCCTGACCTCAAGTGATCCGCCCGCCTCAGCCTCCCAGTGTGCTGGGATTACAGGTGTGAGCTGCCACACCTGTCCTTCTTTTGCTGATTTTCAAATGGGATTATTTGCCATCTTACTGGGTAGTAAGAGGTGTTCATATGTTCTGGATTCAAGTCTTCTGTTGGATATATGATTTGCAAATATTTCCTTCCAGTCCGTACCTTGTATTTTCACTTTACTTATGGTACCTTTTGAAGCACAAAGGTTTTTTTTTTCTTTTAATTTTGATGATGTTCAGCTTATCCGTTTCTTTGTTTATTGGTTGTGCTTTTGGTGTTGTATCTAAGAAATCTTTGCCTGACTCAAGGTCATGAATATACACCTACGTTTTCTTCTAAGCGTTTATAGTTGTAGATGAAGGTCTATGATCCATTGTGAGTTAATTTTTGTATATAGGGTGAGATAAGGCTGTGAATTCCCATTTTTTGCCTGTGGATATCCAACTGTGCCAGCATCATTTGTTGAAAAACAAAAAAACTATTCTTTCCCCACATTAAATTGCCGTGGCACCTTTGTCAAAAATCTCAATCATTGCATTGAAGGGCCCAGCTTTCTCTCTCCCTTTCTCTCTTGATCATCATGGTGGTTGGCAGATCTGGCTAAATATAATATTAACCACTATTCTAATTGTGTGATCTGATTTACCAAGAGGTGCAAGGACCTCCCACTAGAAGACTTAAGTCAAAGCCAGCTGCAGTGTGACCACCTGAGGTTGGTCAAAGGTGCTGGGGTTCGTCCAAGCAGCAGAGGGCCTGTCTCTGCCACTTACCAGCTGTGTGATCTGGGTTAAGCATCTTCATCTCTGCCTGCCTCAGTTTCCCTGTCTGTGAACCGGGGGGGGTAGGAGCTTCGTATCTCAAAGGATTACTGTAAAAAAGATGAACGGATACATGCCCAGTGCTCAGAGGGGAGCCTGCACGGTTAATGTTAGCTGTAATGTAGATGCAGTATTTTCTGACTCCTGCAACTACATGTGACTTCAGCTGCAACTACGTTTGACTCCAAAGGCTTAGCCTGGTTCCACATAGACTAAGATGAAAGAAGGGAAGGAGCAGTGGAGGGGGACTCCATATCGACTGTGGCTGTCCCTTAGCCTTTCCTGCAGCTCACAGATCTGGCTGTTTCTGGCATCAGCTACCCGTGGCAACAGACACAATCCCGTACTGTTTTGGTGTAAATGCCCCTCCTTTCCTAGGAAGGCCTGCCAAAGCATGGGTCCCTTCCTGATGCCAAAGAGACCTGGAAGAGTCCTTCTCTGATCATTATAAAAGGAAAGAGCTGGGAGTCATGAAGAGAGAGCTAACACCAGCTTCTCCTCCTCTCTGGTTTCTACTGGATTCAAGTATCAGACTTGCATGCACACATACATACCTGCATGCCCCACACGGACACATACACATACACACACCGACATGCACACAGAGGCACACACAGACATGCATACATACACACACCTGTACACCCCCCTGTACACACAGATGTGCAGGCATGTGCACAGAAACATAAACAGATGTGCACACGCACACACCCCTGCGCGCACACACCCCTGCACACACACCGCTATGCACACACACCCCTGCACACACAGCCCCACGCACACACCCCTGCACACACACCCCTATGCACACACACCCCTGCATACACACCCCTGCACACACACTCCTACACACCCCTGCACACACACCCCTGCACACACATGCATGGAGACACACACACCCTTGCACATACACCCCTGCACACACACCCTTGCCCGCACACCCCTACACACACACCCCTGCACACACACTCCTACACACACATGCACACACACCCCTGCACACACATGCACACACATCCTTGCACACACCCCTGCACACACATGTATGCACACACACCCCTGCACACACATGTACGCACACACACCCCTGCACACACATGTGCATGTGCACACACCCACACACACCCCTGCACACGCGTGCACACACTCCTGCACACACACATGCTTGGCAGGCTCCTCCCTGCCCCGTCTCTTCCTCCTTTCCTTTACGATCAATTCTCCCTCCAGAGGCCCAGACTTCCTCTTTTACTTCCACCTGCTCTTCTCAATATTTGTTTCCAAGGGCTGCCCTTTGTGCCCCTCCATCCCTACCTGAATCCTAACCCTTGCCCTTTGGGTGGGATTGTCAGTCTCGGCACTACTGACATCTCTGGCCAGGTTATTCACTGTCTTGGGCAGCCCTCCTGTGCAGTGTGGGGTATTCAGCAGCCTCCCTCGCCTCCACCCAGCTGCAGGCCCGGAGCACCTCCTCCCTGCATTTGTGACAATAGAAAATGTTTCCAGACATTGCCAATGTCCCCTGGGAAACAACACCACACTCTGTTCAAAACAGCTGCCCTACAGGCTCTTGTCAAAAGTGTACAGGACAGAAATTGGGAGGCTGAGAGTGGGCCCTGGTGGGCACGGGTCAAGAGAGCTTGGAGGGGCACATTTTGCAGCCTGTCCTCACAGTGAGAATCCCGTGTGCTTGTCTCCAGGGCTTTGCTCACTCTCCTGGGAGCGATCTGGAAAGCTGCACTTGTGCTCCCTTCCTCGTAGGTTTGCTGTGGAACGTTGTGGCTTCTGTGGCTCCTCAGGCCCGGGGGCGCCCCTTGAACCCTCCACTCTTGGCTCCAAGCACCTTCCCTGGGAAGCTGTATCTGCTGGGTTCGCAGACAGGAACAGAAACATGGATGGAGCCATGTGGCTGAGCCTCTGTCCTGATAACGAAGACCTGCTTTGGAGGAAAAAGCACAAATTGCTACAAGCCCGGGGCAAAGGCGATCTCGCTCTGCAGAGAAGAGCGGATGCCAAGCTGTGGAAAAACTACCAGCTCCAGCGCTTGGCTGAGGAGTTGAGGAGAGGGTATCAGGAGGCACAGCACCTGCACGTCGGTGGCCTGGACAGGCTGCAGTCAGCACGTCTGTTGGGCTGGGGAGGAGGACGGGCCAGGGAAAATGAGCCTGACTCGCAGGGGCCCATCCAGCGAAGATCAGCCAGGCCCCCGAGGGCCAAGGAGAAGCATAGAGCAGCCCTTAGTGAAGAGAGGAGTTGCAGGGAAGAGTTGGGCCAGCAACACCCCAGGCACTCCAGGCCCCGGAAGACAGCAGCGAGTCCAGAGAAACCACAGACTACAAAAGCCACGGGTCGGATGAATTCTCACCTGGCCCCGCCTGAGAAGAGAAAGGGAAGGCCAGAACCTTCGACCAAGTCTGGGGGTGGCCGCTGTGCCATCCATCCTCGGAGGAGCAAAGGGGCGGACCTAGAAAGGTCAAACCCACTCGTGGCTGCTGTGGGAGAAATCGGGCTTGTGGAGGAAAAAGAGAAAGGAACAGCTCGGGCGGGGAGGAGGCAACTGGGAAAGGGGGCAGTTTGCTTTGTTCCAGCCCTGACCAGTCGCTCTCAGGGACAGAGTCTGGAGGGGAAGCTGAGAGACCTCGGGCAGCTGTGGCCAGCTGATTCCAGCTGCAGAAGGGAAGCCGTGTCCCCAGCATCTCAGTGCACGCTCCGGGAGAAGAACAAGTGGCAGAAAGAGCTGGAGTTGGCCTTTGAAGAGTTGTTTAATATAAACAGAAAGCTGAAAAAACACCTGTGCTTGTACCTGGCACTGAAGCCCAGGATGGACCAGAGACCTGGGGAAGGGCATGCCTTCTCAGAGATGCAAGAGTGTGGCGCTGGGACCCCAAGAGGGAAGAAAATGGCAGACCCAGAGATGCTGCCTGCCGGGGAACCCAGGAGCCCAGCAGAGGAGGAGGCGCAGCAGGCAGCGTCCAAGACCGACTTGAAAACGTTCATGGGCAAGGCCCAGAACCAAAAATATCAGGGCACGGTCAAGCCCACGTTTAGAAATGGAAGTCAAACATTGTCTCCCGAGGCAGGTATATTTATCAACAAAGAGGACTCATTATTGTATAGCACTGAATCTGGACAAGAGACCCCCAAACTGGGCACGCTGGCAGAGGGCTCCCTTCAGCTCCACCTTCAAGACCAGGCAGACAGAGTGGGCTCGACGGCATCCAGGCAAAGGCAGAAAGCAGAGATGGAGCAGAGAAGACAAAAACAACTGGAATCGCTTGAACAAATGGAACACCCAGATATGAGCTTGGAAATCCACTACAAAGCTGAGCTAGAAAAAGAGAGGAGGGAGCAAAGAAGAGCTCGACTGGCCCATCTGAAGTCCTCCTCCACGAGAGCCCAGGAAAGGGAGAGAGGATCTGAGCTCAGCACCACTTCCCCATCGGGCACCAGCCTCGCCGACGACGACCGGCACAGTCAGATGATCCGAGACCAGCAGCAGCAGATCTTACAGCAAAACAGGTTGCACAAGCAGTTTCTTGAAGAAGCCCGGAAATGCTTGCGGGAGTTTCAGAACATATGCTAAATGCGAGAGGCCCACCCGGGGTAAATACATCACTGATAATGGTGCTGCCAGCACTGGTACCCGGGTCTCTAAGATCTGTGTTTGCGTCATTGCCTCAGAGACTATTAGGCCTCTTTAAAATGGGCAATCTGGGGCCGGGTGCAGTGGCGCACGCCTGTAATCCCAGCACTTTGGGAGGCCGAGGTCGGCCTCAGGATCACCTGAGGTCAGGAGTTTGAGACCAGCCTGGCCAACATGGCGAAACCCCGTTTTTACTAAAAATATAAAAATTAGCTGGGTGTGATGGCATGTGCCTGTAACCTCAGCTACTCAGGAAATTGAGGCAGGAGAATCACTTGAACCTGGGAGGCGGAGGTTGCAGTGAGTCGAGATTGCACCACTGTACTCCAGCCTGGGTGACAGAGTGAGACTCGTCTCAAAAAAAAAAAAAAAAAGCAATCTGTCATTATACCGTCCTCCAGGGCACATTCCCTCACAGGGACTCTTTCCCTAATCTTGCCTTTATTGATTGATTGATTGATTGAGACGGAGTCTTGCTCTGTTGCCCAGGCTAGAGTGCAGTGGTGCAGTCTCGACTCAGTACCTCTGTCTCCTGGGCTTAAGCAATTCTCCTGCCTCAGCCTCCCGAGTAGCTGGGATTATAGGCGCCTGCCACCATGCCTGGCTAATTTTTTGTATTTTTAATAGACACAGGGTTTCACCATGTTGGCTAGGCTGGTCTTGAACTCCTGATCTCGTGATCCGCCTGCCTTGGCCTCCCAAAGTGCTGGGATTACAGACTTGAGCCACCGCGCCTGGCCTAGTCTTGCCTTTAAAACGAAGTCCCTTTTGGGAAACCACCTATATACAAAAATAGGAACCCGTGTGGGTTTCAGTGGGTGTGTCTAGCCCATGTGCTGTGGATGCATCTCCCAGAGCCGATCATGTCACTACATTCCAGCCTGGGTGACAGTCTGTTTTCAGGGGCCACAGGCACAGATGGAGACTCCAGGTCATTTAAGCCCTTCAGATGTTTTAGCCAAATAAACACTGGCCTTTCAGGGGCACCCAAGGTCAGACGGGCACAATTTCAGGAGATAGATCACTTAGTGCTTAGCCAAGGCTGAGACATTAACGGAGATTGAACCAAAGCTAAAACCTCTTAGTCTTTCAAAGTCACAACAAAACCAACATTGTTTAAATAGCACGTCGCTTAATACATTCTTATAACTTTAAGAGAAAAGAGAGTAGACGGAAAAGAGAAGACAAGCCACCCTCGCCCCGCTGGGTGATTCCCTCTGGGGCTGGCAAGGGTGTCGGCACCTGGGTGTTTGATCAGTTTCCTCCCCGCTAGCTTTGCCACTGACCTGGCATCCACCAGAGCCATGGAGACCTCACACTGGGTAGCTTCTCTTCTGCCAATTGCAGTCTTAGGGACAGGCACAGGGATCAACATACTTTTTCTGCAAAGAGCCAGAGAGTAAATATTTTAGCCTTTGCCAGCTGTGCAGCCCCCGTGGTAATTACCCAGCTCTACTGCAGCTGCTCAGAAGCAGCCACAGATGAGATGTAAATGAAAGGGCGTGGCCAGGTTCCAATGAGACTCTACAAAAATAGGTGGTGAGCGGCATCTGCCCTTTGTGCCATAGTTTGCTGATCCCTGTACTAGGATGGTTTCAGAGTCTGTCTCTCTCCCTCCCTTCCAACAACCTCAGATACATTGACTTAGATCAACCAATCTTTGTTCATGACACATTAGTATCATTGGTCCACGAATGGCCTTACTTATGTATATTTTGTAGACAATATAATGAAGTACCATGAGCCCATCACCCAGACCCAAGACCCAGAATATTCACTACCTGTGCGCTACCTCCCTTTTCCATCCCCCTGCTGCCTCCTTGGACATATACCTGCTGATGGCTCACACCTACAATCCCAACATTTTGGGAAGCCAGCGCAGGAGGATCACTTGAGCCCAGGAATTCGAGACCAGCGTGGGCAACATGGGGAGACCCTATCCTACAAAAAATAAAAAATTAGCTGAGCATAGCGGCCTGCACCTACAGTCCCAGCTACTCGTGAGGCTGAGGCAAGAGGTTCATTTGAGCCCCAGAGACTGAGGCCGCACAGGGAGCTGTGATCACGCCACTGCCAGCCTGGGTGACAGAGCGAGACCCTGTCTCAGAAACAAAAAGATACTGGACGCGGTGGCTCACACCTGTAATCCCAGCACGTTGGGAGGCCAAGGCGGGCGGATTGCTTGAGGTCAGGAGTTTGAGAACAGCCTGGTCAACACTGTGAAACGCTGTCTCTACTAAAAATACAAAAAATTAGCCGGGCGTGGTGGTGGCATCTGTAATCCCAGCTACTCAGGAGGCTGAGGCAGGAGAATTGCTTGAATCCGGGAGGTGGAGGTTGCAGTGAGCCAAGATTGCGCCACTGCACTCCAGCCTGGGTGTCAGAGCGAGACTCCATCTCAAAAAAGGAAAAAAAAAAAAAAGAAACAAAAAGATATATACCTGCTGAACTTGGGGTTTAGCCCTCCCTATCTTTATCCATATATGTATGCTAAACATAGTGTTTAGTTTTACTTGGTTTTGAACTTTATAAAAAGGATATTATGTGGAGTCTTTTGAAAGCTAGGTTTTTTGGCCTCGGCACGGTTACTGAATTCATCCACATCACACAAACGCCTCTTACTCATTTTCACTGCAGCATATCCTCATCGCGTGTATGAGCTTCTTTCCAGGATCATAGCTTCTCCAGTTTCGTGCTTGTTTCCAAAAAGAGGACTATATCTCTGATGCATTTGAATCAAAGGACCGGGTGTCAAAAAGTGCTTTTGGCACAGCTGGGATGTAGGTGTGGGAAAGATCCCGTTTATTGCTCTTTTTTTTTTTTTCCTATTTTTTTTTTTTTCCCCAGAAAAAGATTGACCTGCTCTTATAAAATATTTAATTTACAAATATGAGGCTGGGCGCGTTTGCTCATACCTGTAATCCCAGCACTGTGAGAGGCCGAGGCAGGTGGATCACTTGAGGTCATGAGTTCGAGGCCAGCCTGGCCAACAGGGTGAAACCCCGTCTCTACTAAAAATACGGAAATTAGCCGGGCGTGGCGGCGCGCACTTGTAGTCCCAGCTATTCGGGAGGCTGAGGCAGGAGAATCGCTTGAACCCAGGAGGCGGAGGTTGCAGTGAGCTGAGATCATGCCACTGCACTCCAGCCTGGGGACAGAGGGAGACTCCATCTCAAAATAAATAAATAAATTTACAGATATGAGTCCTAGACACTGTCCCAGTCACTAGAGATGAGCAGTGAGCCACACACATGGAACCACAGGACTCCCGTTCTGGTGGAGGACGCAGATGATGAGTGAGTAAAAGCTGGAACTATGGCTGTGCAGGACAAGGTGCTCAGTGGGACCCCAAGTGCACGCCTCTGAGAAACTCAAGCCGGACTTCCCTGGCGAATGCGAAGCTCGTGGAACCAACAAGCGTTACGCTCATTTGGACGGGGCGGGAGTAGCATCCCACAAGACTCTTTTGTTTTTGCTTTTGGGTTCTTTAATCATTAGTAGCTTAGGTCTCTGTTGTCTGTGGCTTTCTGCTTCAGGCCAAGTAGAGGAAATTCGAGGCTGGGCATGGTGGCTCACACCTGTAATCCCAGCACTCTGGGAGGCCAAAGCAGGTGGATGGCTTGAGCCCAGGAATATGAGACCAGCCTGGGCAACATAGTGAGATTGTGTCTCTATAAAAACAAAAAGTAGCCAGGCATACTGGCGTGCACCTATAGTTCCAGCTACTAGGGAGGCTGAGGTGGGATGATCTCTTGAACCTGGGAGGTCGAGGCTGCAGTGAGCTGTGATTGCGCCGCTGCACTCCAGCTTCAGTGACAGAGACCCTGTCTTAGGGGGAAAAAAAAAGAAGAAGAAAATTTTGATCTTAGCCTGGTTTCTTTCTATCCTCTGCTTCCAGAATGTCATGGGCTAGGGTTGCAAAGCCACTCCACAATTTGCTATAGGCTCAACATGATTAAGAAGGAAACTGGGGGTCAGGAGGGCTGCTGTTTTTCAAAAGCCACATAGATTTCTCGGGGTGGGGTGTCACCGTGCTCCTGCTGTTTCTGCACTTGCCTTGTGCCCAGCTATTTTTTGCACACGGAGACCTGGAGCGTAGCCGCCTGTCAGTGTAGCATCACCTCTGTCTGAGAGGGCAGAGAGGGTGTTATGGCATGACTGAGTTAAAAGCCATGGCCACAATGGGGCCCAAACATTGAGTAGCCGAGGTCTTCCTGCCTTAGCCTGGAAGCCACAGTCTGATGGGGGAACCAGCCTGCCTTTGAGTGGGTTATTTTTGTTTCCATTTTCAAAGGTAGCATTTGTGACCCATGTGTTCTAGGTGAGGAATCGCCCCTTCTTGACCACACGAGCTAAAACTAGGCGTGGAGACGGGCAGCAAGACAGTGTGGAGGGTGACTCATCTCTGCCCGGACGGTCACACCTGCACTGTCCCCTGGCAGCAGGACCAGACACCCGGCCCTTTCCCACCTGTCCTGCAGAAGGCTAAGGGGACAGGGTGGTTCTTTAACTAGGGCATTGGTGTGGGCACTAAAACAGCCCTCCAGGATGTCCACACCCAAAACCATGGCCCTCCAGTGATTCTTACGGAGATGTCATGAGTAACTTTCCATCCCAGGGCCTGGCAGTGCCTGTGTTCCCCTCCCCCCTTGGTCACCTTGGCACAGCTGGACTGCGGTAGAAAGGGCTGTGGAGCAGCCTCCAGCTTCCCCTGGCTCACCCCGTCCCATGCCTCCACCCAGAGCCTCCACCAGGAGCTGGTGAGAGCCCTACTGCCGGGGTTGGAGCCCTGGCTCTGCCATTTGCCAGCAGCTAGGTGACCTGGGCAGAGTGTTAAGGTTTCTGCACTTCCTCCAAGGCCTGGCCCTCCACCTCCTGCCCCTCACACCCCTCACACCCCTCACACCCAGCTTCCAGCATCTCTCTTCCCACCACCTCTCTTCCGGACACAAGTGCACAGGGCCTGCCCCCTGCCTTGCGAGCCTAAATCCTCCCCGAAGTGCCAGGCACCTCATAGGGCTATGTTGGCGGGCTCAGGGGTGCCCCCTGGACTCACACCCCAGCCCTTGCCCAGCCTTCATTTGACTGTAAAACAAGGGATGGAGCCACCCGGAAGGGTGTGGGGCTCCTGAGGTTTCCAGAGAGCACTGCCATGCCAGCAGCGGTGAGGATCCCAGATGTGGTGGCCGTGTTCACCTTCATCCTAAGGCACTTCCAGGTACCCCGCACGGTTCTCCTGCTCCGAACACTTTGCACCTTCTAGAGCTCTGCTCTGGTTTGGTGCTTCTGCCCCCACCCTTGGGGGACAGATTCCGTGTTCGCGCCTCACTCTGCATTTGCTGGAACCTTCGTCCTCCGGCCCCATCTTTGCTCCCTGCCTTGTGGGTCCTTCTCCCCAAACCACAGGGACCCAGGAAGGCCTCCGTGGCTGAGCAGTGGTGCGTGGGTCGCCCTGTTGGTCCGTGAGGCTTGGACGGGGAGCAGCAGCGTTGCTTGTGCTTTCTGCCGAGGTCAGCTGTCCATGGGCTGAGGGGGGCCAGCAGGGTCTGGCAGGTGCTACCTGTTCACCTCCTGGCCTGCTCCCCCCCAACCTGCTGGCCAGTTGGGCTTTGGATGTGACCCCACCCTGAGAGCTGCCCTGGGGCGTCCATCTTCTCTCCGCACAAATCTCCCTTCCCCTTCAAGCCCTGTGTGACCAGGATCTCCGACACATAAGACAAAAGGAAATAGGGTTTTTAGAGTGGACGGGTGGGTAGAGCACCCTCCCTGACCTGTGGTCATTCTTCCAGTTCGTGCAAATGGCAAGGGGGTTATATCGAGATCTCCAAGAAGACACGGGGCGGAGGGCTGGGGTGCAGCCTGCACTTGCAGCTGCTGTGACAGCCCAGGCCAAGTCCTCCAGCTGGAGACGGGGCTACACAGATGCACACCCCCCAGGACAAGCTTAGGGAGTCTGGGGGCGCCGCTCAGCATGGGGCTTGTTTGGGAAGCTGTGCTGAGGAGGAAGGGAAAGGGGAGTGGGGACCTCAGCCCCCCTGCTTTCATTCTTTCCTGGGTGTGTGGACCCTGGGATTCCAGCCTTCATGTCCTTCATGTCCCTGTTTCTGTCTCCTGAGAAATGCAGCAAGTCAGGCTCAGCCCACAGGCCACATGACCCTGGGTCCGACGAACAGCCAGGGCTCAAAGACAGTCAGTGCCAATGAGCCTGAAGCCTGGGCCCGGACCTCACGTTCGTCCCCAAAAATGGATCGGCTTGGGAGGAACAGTGCCCTGCCCACCTCGCGCTGTCGCAGCCCCCCAGCAACAGTGCGAGGAGAGAATCTGCTGCTGCCCCTGGCTCCGGAGTTGTCACCCTGGCCCCCTGCTCATCTGTTGTAGGGGGGCGGGTTGCAGGGATGGGTAGGGGTTTCCTCGGTGCCTCTCCAGGCTCCCTCTGCCTCCTGCCCTGCACGGTCCTGCTCCTGTCCCTGCTCCGGCTCTGGCTTAGGGTTTGCAGGGCTGAGCTTGGCTGTTCCGTGGGTCTTGACGGAGAAAATGCAGAGCTGCACTTCCCTCCACAAAGCCGCACTGTTCTCAGCAAATCCTCCCGGGGTCTGGTGCATTGTTTTCAAGTGATTCAGCAGCACGTGAATGGGAAGGGCCGAGCCGGAGGCTCTGGCATGAGACCTGCTGGCCCACCAGGGAAAGGGAGGGCAGCGGGACGTGGGCCCCGAGGTCCTCCCAGAGCTGCAGAGGGAGGGGGCAGGGCCCTGGGGTTGGGGAGGGCGGCAGGAAGGCTGGGCAGAGAGGGCGGCTTTGCTCTGCGTGGCTGAGGTGCTCTGATAGATGCTGTTTCCCAAGAGGAGCCAAAACGAATGGGCAGGAAGTGAGATGGGAGAGCTGGTCTCCATGGAGACGGGCACCCAGTGGCCAGCAGCTCACGTGCACTAGAATCTCAGGCAGCCGGGGAGGGAGCATTCCCTGGGGCGGCAGGGCCTGGAGCACCCCCAGGTGCCCGCTGGCAGGCGGTGTGGCCCCGGCTGAGGCTGCGCTTCTGTTCCCTGATCTCTGTTGTGCACCCTGTTACCTTCTCTGCCCCACCCTCCTCCGCACCCTCCCCAACAAAATATCTTTTCTGAGTAGTTGTCATTCCAGGCGTTTTTCACCCTGGCCTGAGTCATGCTGGCCAAGTCCTCTGTCCTCACCCTGGATGTCACGGTCCCGCCCTGCACCAGGGCTGCAAGTCACCACTGAGGGTGGACCTGGGGCCTCTCTGTCCCAGCCACCCACAAACTCTCAAGGTCAGAGTCTGGAAAGGGAGGTGGTGCCCCATGTCTTCACTTCCGGTGTCTACACCCTCAACTGGGGACGGATGTCCAGTGTGCTCCTATGGTGCCCCCTCTGCTGAGGTCTTTCCTGCTTCCCAGAAGGCCCCGTTGCTGGCTTCCGGGGGCCGAGGAGGTTGGAGGACCTGAGGGTGGGTCTGGCCTCCACAGCAGCTGCAGGGCGGGAAGAGCCTGGTTCCTGCCCAGCACCACAGGGCTGTTTTTAATTACCAAGTCACGGCCCTCTTTTCTGCTCATTTCCCTAAAAGGAGTGAATTTGGAGGAGGTCTGCCGCACCCGCTGACCAAAAGGGGCTGGCATGAAGGGGCCGAGGAAGGGCAGAGCCCAGTGCCCGGGGGAGACCCTCTGACTGCCCACCAAGGGCACCCGGCTGTGTCACTTGAGGCCAGAGGCTGAAGGTGAGCTGGACCAGCTAACCCTCACTGTCACCTCACAACACTTGTGACACTTCCTGGCTGCTCAGCCTTGCCCCGTGCCCCTGGGCAGTTCCGTTGGGAGAGGCGTGGCCTCCAAACCTAGAGGACTAGAGCAGGTCTGGGGTCCTTGTGAGCACAGCCCCTTCCTGGATCACCGTCTGCCATCCCTGGTGGCGTTTGTGGCCACTTCTGCTGCTCCAGCTGGCGAGGTCGGCCCCATCCTGCTAAAAGAAGGAGGTGCTGCCCGAATGGAGAGCTTCCATGTTTCTAAGCTGTCTTTACTGTGATCCTGAAGCCCAACGAGATTAGTTACACACAAACATTTAGGGATCCCACAGCGATCTGAGAGCAGGGCCATGAAAAATAGTCATTTATTACAGCAGTTGCAGGGCAGGGCCACAGCTGTGTTACTGGACATCTGTCCTGAGCTGAGGGTGTAGACACCAGAAGTGGGGAAAGTGGGCTTCACCTCCCTTTTCAGACTCTGATCTTGTGGGTGGCTGGGGCAGAGGGGCCCCTGGTACACCCTCAGCTGGCGCTTTAGACATATTAATCAAAATGGTCAGGCCGGGCCAGGTGGCTCACGCCTGTAATCCCAGCACTCTGGGAGGCCAAGATGGGTGGATCACGTGAGGTCAGGAGTTCAAGACCAGCCTGGCCAACATGGTGAAACCCCATCTCTACTAAAAATACACAAAATAAAAATCAGCCGGGCATGGTGGCGGGCACCTGTAATCCCAGCTACTCCAGAGGCTGAGGCAGGAGAATCGCTTGAACCCAGGAGGCCGAGGTTGCAGTGAGCCAACGTCGTGCCATTGCATTCCAGCCTGGGCGACAAGAGCGAAACTCTATCTCAAAAAAAAAAGAGGATATGGAGCCCCTGCCAGGTTGACCAGCCATATGGTGTCATTACATCCACCCAAAAGGGACAAGAGACTCTCATCCCCAATGGCAACGCCAAGTTATAGTTACAGATGTTAGCAAGGGCGTTACTAACTGTGTGATTTGAGGGTGTGGACATTGGCACTCATGGCACCCCACTTTTCTGGAGAGTTTAGACAAGGCGTGGAACGTCACAGTCCTTTCCCAGTGAAAGAACAAAGCTGAGTCCACCTGCAACTGCCATTGGATCCTCCCCAGGAGTAAGTGGAGGTTGGGTTTCATCCGGGAGAGAAAATGGTTTCTTTGATAATTCCTCTGAAATGACTGGCATGTAATTCCACCCAGAGCCAAATGAACCAAATGACGCTCAGAAGACGTCTGCGGCTCCGGCCTGCAGTTACCGCGTTTGCGTCTACGCAGTGTGGAGTCCTCCAGGGCTGGCCCCTGGGATGCATGCAGTGGCCACTGGTCTTCATTGCCACTGTGGGTGCTCTGGGCTGACTCTGACCCAGCTGCAGCATCAGAATGCCCCCCACCCACTAGTGATGTGGGCCAGTAGGGTCTTTGGCACATGTGTGAAGCCCCCACCCGACTCCCAGGAATGACCCATGTTGAGAACATGGGGACCCCTTGGCGTTCTCCGCTGGGCCATAAGCAGGACAGGACAGAGGGGAAGGAGGCGCTTTCCCTGCCAGTGCTGGTCCTATGGGCGCCCCTCCCCAGGTGAAAGCTGGAGCCTGCAGAAGAGGGTGGACGGCTGGGAGGGGCCAGTGCCCTCCAGTGATACTGAGCAAACCCTCCCAGTCCGAGTCAGTGTGCACACAAGGTGCAGATGATCGGGCCGGGTTTTGACTTTGTATTTAGCAGCCGAATGTGTTTCTGAGTCCCAGGGATCCCTGCACCTCGTCTGGGCAGACAGGTGACTTTGAGGGACAGTGGGCCACCTTCTCCCGCTGCCTGAGCACGTCCCGTAGCCGAGACAGGCGCTATGCTGTTACAGTGTGTGGAGTGCCCCGGGGAGAGGCTGTGAGTGGTCTAGACGTTGGGTGTTGATATCCACCGGTTTGCCTGTCCCAAACTTGGGCCTGGGAGCCCGGCAGAGTGGCTCAAGTGGAAAATGTTCTATATGGTATATTTATACATATAGCATGTGGGATTCCTCCAGCGAGCAGTTGGGCCCCTGGCAAGATAATAAAGAGAATTCAATGAGTGTGGAATAAGTACATTTCTTACAGGCAATTTTCTTTTTCTTTCAAAGGCAGGGTCTGGTTCTTTCACCCAGGACCGAGGTGCAGTGGTGCATTCATAGCTCACTGCAGCCTTGAACATCTAGTTCATACAATTCTCCTGAGTAGCTGGGACTATAGGCAGATGCCACCACGCCCAGCTAATTTTTGTTTTTTTTTGTTTTTGTTTTTTGTATTTTGTTTTTTATAGATGAGGTATTGCTATGTTGCTCAGGCTGGTCTTGAACTCCTAGCTTCAAGCAACCCATCCACCTTGGCCTCCCAAGTGCTGGGATTACAAGTGTGAGCCACTGCACCCGGCCTTTCGAGGCAATTTTCTTTTGGGGTCTGTCTCCCTCCCCCAATTGTGGGCATGGCTTGTTCTTATTTTCCGCAGGAACTTCCATAGTACTTCTGTGGACACAGGAGGATTGGAAAGATGTTGGTGGGTGTATGAAGGGGACGTGAGGACGCAGGACCCACGTGTTGATGGCAGCAGAGGGGACACCGAGGAGAGAGAACAAGGGAGGACCGTGCCACAGAAGCCGTGGCGTCTCTGCCTGGGGCTGGCGTGGTTGGAGTCTGTGGAGAGTGCCGCCCCTCCGGCCAGCCCTTGGCCCTGGCACATGCTGGTGACACCAGGTTCTCCAGCAAGCCCCCTTCACTGTCTGCTCCCCTCCGAGAGCAGCAGCAGCCGGTCCGGCCTCTGATGGTTTTCCAGGGGCGGTTGTGACTGTCGAAGTCTGACCGTAGCCCATCCTCTTTGGATCGTCTCCCGCGACCTTGGTTTTCCGCCCACCCGGTTCTTTTCCGTCCCCACTCTGGCGGGTGCGCTCGGGATTGTTTTTGCAGGGGGGAAGTGACATCATATGGTGTCCTGGGCTGGAGGGGTGGGGGTGGGGACCCTGCAGTTGCGTGTGCTTTGAATTCAGCCGACGGTTGTACATTCCAGTAGCCGGCATCTGGCGGTGAATTCATCAGCCAGTGTATCACCCTTGATCTCAAACCCAGATGTTGTGTTCACAGCAGAAGGGAAAGAAGGAAAAACGAAATCTGAGACGCCCAGGGAGAGGCCGTGGTTTCTGGGCTCAGGGCAGTTAGAACGAGAGTCTTTATAAAGACTCCCCCTCTCGCAGCTGCCTCTGGCTCCTTGGGGAAGGGGCAGAGGAGCAGAGCAGCCCCTCTCGGGGGCATGGACAGGAGATGGGCTGACACCCACCCCAGTGCCTAACACCAGGCCCAGCACCCAGTAGGTGTTCAGTAAACGTGTCTGTGCCACAATTTTCATTTCTTCCCAGATTCCTTATGTCTCTTCGCTTTCCCCAGCCCTGTTCTTCACATGGCCTGGGACTCGGAGAGGCCCTCCCTCTTTTGAAGTGGCCTGCTTTCCCCTACAGAACTGGTGGTCCATCCTGGAGCTCAGAGTGCGGACCATTGCCATTGGCATGGAAATGTATTCCGGAGAGCTCTCTCTCCCTCCTCCTCTGTCCACCACTGGGCATTGGAAACTCTCCTTCTCTGTGTTCCTATCCATCGTCTGTCATCTTGCCTGGATTGGATGCTCCTCCCAGGCAAGGCCTGCTGTATGCAGGATTCACCCTGTACCCTCTCTTCACCTGCTGTCACCTCTGGGCAACAACCCCCGACAGGTACCCGCTGCTCTGAGCAGGTCAGCGGTGCAGATCCCGCTATGCCAACTGGTGTGCACCGATCAGAGCTGTCAGCTGGCCCCTCTCCTTCATGTCTGCGGCGTGCTGGTGCTTTGGGGAAGGTTGCCGTGGAACTGGTCCTTCTTTGCCTCTCTTGATTCCCATTTTCCTTCTTTCATGTAATTTCTCATTTTGCAAAGTGGGGGAGGAGGTGCCCACCCCCAATTTAAAGGGACCCTGAAGAATCTGAATTCTGTTCCCCAGGGGCAGACTAAAGCAGCCCAGGGGAGATGGAGATGCCCTCAGGCTCTGCTCCTCCAGGCCCCTCACCCCCACTTCCCTGCCCCTCACCCCCACTTCCCTGCAGGCATCTGGCGGCCTCCTCGCCAGTTCACTTTCTAGTCCTAACCCCACGTGGCTACCCTGGACCCTTGATTTGACCAGCCTCCTCTTTTCTGACACTTTAAAGAAGGAAAGTGTGTAATCTGCAGCCCCCAGGCAAAGCTAGCACGCTGGGAAGCTGCATCAAATCGAGAGTCTGTGGCCTGCTGACCAGGACCGGGTCTGTGTACCTGAGTGGCATGATGCCACCGTCCCAATCCCTCACCCACGGGAGCGGGAGAATTCGCCCTGCTTGTCTATGCGATGCTCGTGGTCCTGAACTGTACACGCATTAGTTCCCGGGCACCGCAGCCTCCACACCAGCCCCTCTAACAGTCACCACGACCTTGTGAAGTGTCAAGACTGTTGTCATCGTCTCTGTCTTAGGTGTGAACAACTGTGGCTCAGTGAAGTCAAGGAGCTTCTCAAAGATCACGCAGCCATCCAGGGGTGAATGCAGGATCTCTGTCTCTTGCTGCCTCCTTCAAATAAGTGCCCAGCTGCCACCTGGGAGCCTTAGGCGTTTTTGTAAGAGAACAGCATGTGAACCTCAATGCCCATGGTAGGATGCAACATTTTGGCCGTTTTGAAGTAATCTTTGCTTATTTTCTGAACTCCAGTGACATGCTTGTTGAGTGCCTATTGTGCGTTAAGCATTGTGCGGCTTAGTGGACCATTGAAAGGCAGCTCCAAGGCCGGGCGCGGTAGCTCATGCCTGTAATCCCAGCACGTTGGGAGGCCGAGGCAGGCGGATCACGAGGTCAGGAGTTCAAGACCATCCTGGCCAGCATGGTGAAACCCCGTCTCTACTAAAATAAATACAAAAAATTAGCCGGGCATGGTGGCGCGTGCCTGTAATCCCAGCTACTTGGGAGGCTGAGGCAGGAGAATTGCTTGAACCCAGGAGGCGGAGGTTGCAGTGGGCCAAGATTGCACCATTGCACTCCAGCCTGGATGACAGAGCTAGACTCCATCTCAAAAAAAAAAAAAAGAAAGAAAGAAAAGAAAAGCAGCTCCAGAAATTTCCAAAATAACATACAGAATTCAGCAGACTGTAATAAAGGCCGGCTTGCTGCTCCTACTGGAACTGTTGATTCCTTTGGATTCTGCTGGCTTGCTTTTTTTCCTTTTCTTTCTTTTCTTTTTTTAAAAGACGGAGTCTCACTCTGTTGCCCAGGCTGGAGTGCAGTGGCATGATCTCAGCTCACTGCAACTTTCACCTCCTGGGTTCAAGCGATTCTCCTGCCTCAGCCTCCCAAGTGGCTGGGATTTTTGTATTTTTTGTAGAGATGGGGTTTCACCATGTTGGCTAGGCTGGTCTCAAACTCCTGACCTCAAGTGATCCGCCCGCCTCGGCCTCCCGAAGTGCTGGGATTATAGGAGTGAGCCACCGTGCCTGGCCCTGGTTTGCTTGTGAGCTGGTGACTCTGCTACATGAAGAGCAAACTTTGACCAAGTTAATCTGGCACATTGACTAATTTGCATAAACATTTTTGGTGCAGCATTGTCGTAAGGTATATAGATTAGGCAGGGAGCAAGAGAGCCAAGGACAAACTGCACCTGGGCCACCAGCCCAAAGTTGTCAGCGTCATCTCAGCTCCATCTGGCAAAGAGTTAGTGAGCACCAACTGTTCTGCAGTCAGAATCTAGCCTCAACCTGTTAGGACCTCCCAGGGCCCTGAGCAGACAGGTGTGCAGGAACTGACAGCAGGATGGAAAAGAGATGGGGAATATACCAAGTGCTGCAGAAGGACAGGATTTCCCAGAGGAAGACAGAAAAGGGCTATTTTAGCTGGGTCTTGAAGAATGAAGAAAAGTTCTCCAGGCAGAGAGGGGAGATGGCATTTGGGGCGGAAGAAACTTGCCTGTTCAGGCTGGGTGTGGTGGCTCACACCTGTAATCCCAGCACTTTGGGAGGCCAAAGTGGGCGGATCACTTGAGGTCAGGAGTTCGAGACCAGCCTGGCCAACATGCTAAAACCCTGTCTCTACTAAAAATACCAAAAAAAAAAAAAATTAGCCTGGCAAGGTGGCAGTTACCTGTAACCCCAGCTACTCAGGAGGCTGAGGCAGGAGAATTGCTTGAACCTGGGAGGTGGAGGTTGCAGTGAGCTGAGATCAAGCCATTGCACTCCAGCCTGGGTGACAAAAGTGAAACTCCGTCTCAAAAAAATATATATGGTAATTAGCCAGGCATGGTGGTGCCCACCTGTAATCCCAGCTACCTGGGAAGCTAAGGCAGGAGAGTCATTTGAACCTGGGAGATGGCTGAGATTGCGCCACTGCACTCCAGCCTAGCAGGGGTGGGGATGACAGAGCAAGACTCTGTCTAAAAAAAAAAGAAAGAAAGAAACTTGTCTGTTCAGAGGTGTGGATGCACCTGGGCGTGTTCAGGGCAGACAAGTATTATGAAGTGGTAGAATAGTGGGAGCATGGGTGGGGGGTGTTGGGCACAGCAGCTGAGGCCCCTGGCTGACTTCAGGTTGCAAAGGCGCTCATATTTTAGGGGAGGGCAGGGGGCAGCCAAGGATGATGTTTGAGCAGAAACGAACGTGAATAAAAAAAGACAGCTGGTTGCGGTGGATGAGAGGATGGTTAGGAGGGCACTGGAAATAGGGGGCCGTCAGGGCAAAGCCGTCTGTTCTGGAGTGGCCTGCCGGGAGACATTTCCTAGATGTGGCTTTTCAGGATGAGGCATGGATTAGCCTGGGAAACAGGAACCTGTGGCCTTGGCCAGTCATGACTCAGCTCCAACAGAAGAAGAAAGAAGAAAGGGGTTTGTGCCCAGGCGAGGCAGTGGGGCTGTGGTGTGGGACTCTGATGCCAGCCTGGGATCCAGAGAGCATTGGTGGGGCCCAGGGGGATGGACACAGATGGAGCACCCACACGCCTGAGCCTCCTTGCCCCTGTGGGAAGAGACAGCCCTGCCTAAGGGGTTCTAAGAGATTTGAGCCGACCACGTGGGGTGGGGCTGGGGCTGGGGCTAGGAGGCTGCCTGGAGCCTGGCGTGGTCTGCTCCTTACCTCTCTGTTTTGCTCATATCCACCGTAACATAACACTTACCCAGAGTGACCCTGAAGAGCTGAGTTTGGGAGGGCAAAGCTTTTAAAGCCATTAAAACAGACCATGTCACCAACTAATGGCCTTGAAATTAAGAAAGGGAGGGCTCTACCCAACCCTGCCCAAGTGACAGCATGAACTACTGATCTGCTTGTCCTCAGGTTACCAGGAGTGGAACAGAATCCTGGCTTAATTGCTAGGAGAAAGCCCTGTGTTGCATGGCCTGTCAGCAACCTCAGGCTCCAGAATATTCTGGAATTGCCCCAGCCCAGCCTCTTCCCCAACTCCTTTCTGTTTGGTTGGGGCTTAGTTGGGATCCTCTTTCCTTCTGTTTGTCCTTCCTCAGCATCTGTCCCTTGGGTCTGCCAGCTGTGCCTGCCGATGTCTCCTTTGGGTGAAACTTCCTGCCCCTGCCCCTGTTGTGCCCCTGATAGACTCTGTGTTACTGTAAAGAATCACCCAGGCTGGGCGCAGTGGCTCACGCCTGTAATCTCAGCACTTTGGGAGGCCGAAGCAGGTGGATCATTTGAAGTCAGGAGTTCGAGAACAGCCTGGCCAACATGATGAAACCCTGTCTCTACTAAAAATACAAAAATTAAGGTTGGGCACTGTAGCTCATGCCTATAATCCCAGCACTTTGGGAGGCTGAGGCAGGTGGATCACCTGAGGTCAGGAGCTCAAGACCAGCCTGGCCAACATGGCGAAACGCTTTCTCTACTAAAAATACAAAAATTAGCTGGGTGTGGTGGCAGCTGCCTATAATCAGAGCTACTTGAGAAGCTGAGGCAGGAGAATTTCTTGAACCCAGGAGGCAGAAGTTGCAGTGAGCCAAGATCATGCCACTGCACTCTAGCCTGGACGACAGAGTGAGACTCCGTCTGAAAAAAAAAAAAAATTAACCGGGCGTGGTGACAGACGCCTGTAATCCCAGCTACTTGAGAGGCTGAGGCAGGAGAATCACTTGAACCTGGGAGATAGAGGTTGCAGTGAGCCAAAACGGTGCCACTGCACTCCAGCCTGGGCAACAGCGCGAGACTCCATCTCAATAACAACAACAACAAAAATTACTCATAGAACATTTTCCAGGTCAGGAAAGATGAGAAGAGCTGGATAGACCTTTCCAGATGTAAGACCCCCAAAGCTAAATATGCCGGGTACGTTTAAGGCCCCTTTAAGGTGGATAACTCCCCCTCTGCCCTCAGCCCAGAAAAGCTTGTTTCCAATAGGCCGTGGCTGGAGGGTGGGGAAATGTCCCATCCTTCGCGGAATGTGTGGGATTGTGGGTCAGTTCCATGGGGTACCTGCTTGCCCCAGCCACCAGTGAGTACCCACTGGAGAGAAGGAAAAAAAAAGCCAAAAGCACTCAAGCATGATATCAACAGATGAGCTTCAGTCAAATCAATGACTGCCTCCCACTGTTACAGAAACTGCCTTGGTCACAAGGGACTCTGGGCTTCTGGCTTGGGCCCCTGTCAACAAAGAAGGGATTCTTGTTGAAGAATCGTGGAAGGAGGAGGAGGAGGCTGGGCATCATCTCTCAGCCTGGAGGAGGAGACGCCATGCCGGGGGCTGGGATCACCATGCCCCTTGCCCGTCTCGCACCTTGCTGCTGTCTGTAACCCCCCAGCACCTCCCGCAGGCCTGGACGTCTTATCCCTCTCCTTAGCCCCAGGAGCGTGTTTCAGGAACTCTCCTCACCTCTGTGTCTTGTGTTTTGCAGTGATCAGGGCCAAAGCGGTCAGTGAGAAGGAAGTGGACTCTGGAAACGACATTTATGGCAACCCTATCAAGAGGATCCAGTATGAGATCAAGCAGATAAAGGTAATAGTGGCTGCCGGCATCCCGGGCTGCACTGTGGGCACAGCTGTGGGGTGTTGGGGTTGGCAGAGAGCCTGGGTCCCTGGAACACGATCTGGCCACCTGTGGACTAGAGCAGAGGATGAGGTCATCAAGCTGCAAATAGATCCGATTTCCCTTAATCCTCGAATGCCTGAAAAGTTGTGTGGAGATGACATGCTCCCCACAAATTCAATTCCTTCAGAAACCTGTCCGGGCGTTGCGGCTCACACCTGTAATCCCAGCACTTCGGGAGGCCGAGGTGGGCGGATCACTTGAGCTCAGGAGTTCAAGACCAGTCTGGGCAACATGGTGAAAATCCATCTCTACAAAAAACCAGCCAGGCATGGTAGCGCCCACCTGTGGTCCCAGCTATTCGGGAGGCTGAGGTGGGAGAATCGCTTAAGCCCAGGAGGCAGAGGTTGCAGTGAGACATCTCACCACTGTATTCCAGCCTGGGTGACAGAGTGAGAGCTTGTATTAAAAAAAAAAAAAAAAAATATGTGGCAGGGAGGGCAGGGAGGGCAGGGCCTGGCCTGGGGCAGGAGAGGTGATGCTATTGTCATTGACAGTAACTAACATGGTCTGTAAGAGAGACGAAAATTCATGTCGCAGGTGGAGGGACAGCCGTGTGATATGGTGGTAGTTGTAGTCATCGATATTTAATTTTGTCATTAAAAATAAAAAGTAAACCAGGCACAGTGTCTCATGAGTATAGTCCCAGGTGAGTGGATCACCTGAAGTCAGGAGTTCAAGACCAGCCTGGCCAACATGGAGAAACCCCATGTATCTACTAAAAATACAAAAATTAGCTGGGCGTGGTGGCGAGTGCCTGTGATCCCAGCTACTTGGGAGGCTGAGGCAGGAGAACACTTAAACCTGGGAGGCAGAGGTTGCCGTGAGCTGAGATTGCACCACTGCATTCCAGCCTGTGCGACAAGAGCGAAACTCCATCTCAAAAAAAGAAAAAAAAAAAAGTAGCTGAAAATCAATGTTATCAGAAGGTCAGTGGAATGCTTCATCATCACATGTATGTCAGTTTAAGGGGATGACCTAGTCTCTCAGTGCCTGAGTCTCTTTCTTTACGAAGCAGGAAAGAGGATCTGCTCTTACGACCTCATAAAGGGGTCGTGAAAAGGCCAGTGCCAGTGCCCAGGAAATGCTTTTAGCCTTTTGGCAAATGATGTCATTTAGTACAGCATCAACATAACCTTTCCTGGTACAAGCTGGAGTGTCACTCTCAAGCCATTTGTCATGACATCAGGCATGCTTCCATTCCATTTGGGTTTGCTTATTGAAACTCTTCGGGGGGAAAAAAACAGCCTCCCTGAGTGCTGAGAAAATGCCATTCTTCACCTGGGCAGCAGGTGCGTTCCTGAAAGGCTGTGAGTAAATCACATGTTGAGAAAGCAAACTCTTCTGGCCCATGGAGTTATGTCCTAATTCCTGAGGTGCCTCTCTGCTCTCATTGCCATCAAGTAGACAATATTTGACCAAAATTCCTGGAAATATAGGTTGGGTGGAGTGACTTATGCCTGTAATCCCAGAACTTTGGGAGGCCGAGGCAGGAGGATTGCTTGAGCTCAGGAGTTTGAGACCAGCCTGGGTAATAGAGCGAGACCTCGTCTCTGCTAATTAAAAAAAAAAAAAAGCCAAGCATGGTGGCATGCGCCTATAGTCCCAGCTACTCGGGAGGCTGAGGTGGGAGGATCACTTGAGCCTGGGAAGTTGAGGTTGCAGCCCCAGCCTGAGCAACAGAGTGAGACCCTATCTCAAAAAAATAAAAAATTCCTGGAAATATGCAAAAGTCATGGTCCTTCATGGTGGTCCAGAGTCACGTGGAGGTACAAAAGCCCCTCCCCATAGATTCAGAAATGACCTCTTTGGGGTGGGGGGTGAGGGAACAGAGGTGTTGTCTGAGGATGTCATGCTCCAGATGACAGTCTTTTTTTTTTTTTTTGAGATGGAGTCTTGCTGTCTCCCAGGCTGGAGCGCAGTGGCACGATCATGGCTCACTGCAAGCTCCGCCTCCTGGGTTCACGCCATTCTCCTGCCTCAGCCTCCCGAGTAGCTGGGACTACAGGCGCCCGCCACCACGCCCAGCTAAATTTCTGTATTTTTAGTAGAGACAGGGTTTCACCATGTTAGCCAGGATGGTGTCGATCTTCTGACCTCGTGATCTGCCTGCCTCGGCCTCCCAAAGTGCTGGGATTACTGGTGTGAGCCACTTCGCCCGGCACAGATGAGTCTTGTGCTCACCTGCTGTGATCTGCCACACTAAAAGTTGAGTGACTCCAAAGAATCACTTTGCTATAAGAAGTCTTTTTCTTTTCTTTTTTTTTTTTTTTTTTTTTGACGGAGTCTTACTCTGTCATACAGGTAGGAGTACAGTGGCGCCATCTCAGCTCACTGCAACCTCCACCTCGCAGGTTCAAGCGATTCTCCTGCCTCAGCCTCCCACATAGCTGGGATTACAGGCGCTTGCCACCATGCTCAGCTAATTTTTGTATTTTTAGTAGAAACAGGGTTTTGCTACGTTGGCCAGGCTGGTCTCAAACTCCTGACCTCAAGCGACCTGCCCACCTCAGCCTCCCAAAGTGCTGGGACTACAGCCATGAGCCCTGAGCCCAGCTGGAACGGTCTTTTCCTAACCCATGTATTTGCACTTCCTGGTCCTCTTGGGTGCTGGCTGTACCCCAGCTACAGGTTGTGCCGCCCAGGGTGTTCTGGATGGGAACGGAATTCACCAACTGTGTGGCCTCCCTCTGCTTACATGTCCTCCTCCTTGTCTTTCCAGATGTTCAAAGGGCCTGAGAAGGATATAGAGTTTATCTACACGGCCCCCTCCTCGGCAGTGTGTGGGGTCTCGCTGGACGTTGGAGGAAAGAAGGAATATCTCATTGCAGGTGTGTATGAGTGGGGCCATCAGCCGGAGGCTGGCACAGAAGTGGGGCTGTTCCTAGACGCGGTCCAGGGCTCGTTTCCCAGGCTCGGGGGGTGGGGAGGCGGAGTAGCTGAGGAACAGTGAGGCAGGGTACGGAGCCCTCTCGGCCACTTCCCGTCAGAGAATGCTAGTGAATGTTCACTACCTGCCAATTTCCTGGGAAATTTGAGATTGGTGGACAAAAAAAAGGGAGCATTTTTGCCTTTTGTTCCTAAAAGGGAGGCGAGTGCGGGATGCTGGAGACATGCAGGGCAGAGAAACCCTTTCTGCCGTCGGGAGGGCCAAAAGCTCGCGTAACATCTGTGGATACTATGCACGAGACCTGCTTGACTTATTCATTCATCTGTCTCCTTTTTTTATTGTGGTAAAATAATACGTAACAAAATGTAGCCATGTTAATTAACCATTTTCTTTCTTTCTTTCTTTCTTTCTTTCTTTTTTTTTGAGACAGAGTGTCGCTCTGTCGCCCAGGCTGGAGTGCAGTGGTGCGATCTTGGCTTACTGCAACCTCCACCTCCTGGGTTCAAGCGATTCTCCTGCCTCAGCCTCCCGAGTAGTTGGGATTACAGGCACACGCCACCACGCCCAGCTAATTTTTGTATTTTTAGTAGAGATGGGGTTCTACCGTGTTGGTCAGGCTGGTCTCGAACTCCTGACCTCAGGTGATCCACCCACCTCGGCCTCCCAAAGTGGCAGGATTACAGGCGCGAGCCACCGCGCCCGGCCAACCATTTTCAAGTGTACACTTCAGTGGCATTAGATACATTCGCTATTGTGCAACCATCACCACCATCTGTCTCCACATCTTCCCAAACCAAAACTCCGTCCCCGTTAAACACTAACTCCCCCTTCTCTCTTCCTCAGCCTTGGCCCACCTCCATTTTACTTTCTGTCTCTGTGGATTTGACTACTCCAGGGGCCTCACATGGGTGGAACCCTGCAGTGTTTGTCCTCTCTGTCTGGCTTATTTCAGTAGCATCATGTTTTCAAGGTTCGTTCACGTTACAGCATACATCAGAATTTCCTTACTCTTTTTTTTGTTTTTGAGACAGAGTCTCGCTCTATTTCCCAGGCTGGGGTGCAATGGCACTATCTCGGCTCACTGCAACCTCCGCTTCCCAGGTTCAAGCGATTCTCCTGCCTCAGCCTCTCAAGTAGCTGGGATTATAGGCACACGCCACCACACCTGGCTAATTTTTTTTTGTATTTTTAGTACAGACAGGGTTTCACCACGTTGACCAGGCTGGTCTCCAACTTCTGACCTCAGGTGATCCGCCCACCTCAGCCTCCCAAAGTGTTGGGATTACAGGCGTGAGCCACCACACCCGGCCCAAAATGTCCTTACTTTTTAAGGATGAATAATATTTCATTGTATGAATGTAGCACATTTTGTTTATTGTTGCATCTCTTTGTTTATAGTTTTTTGGTTTGTTTTTTTTTTTTTTGAGACAAAGTCTTGCTCTGTTTCCCAGGCTGGAGTGCGATCATGACTCACTGCAACCTCGATCTCCTGGGGTCAAGTGATCCTCTCGCCTCAGCCTCCCAAAGTGCTGAGATCAACTACAGGTGTGTGCCACCACACCCAGCTAATTTTTTTATTTTTTGGTAAAGAAGTCTCACCATGTTGCCCAGGCTGGTCTTGAACTCCGAGGCTCAAGCAATCCTCCTGCCTCAGCCTCCCAAAGTACTGGGATTATAGGCGTGAGCCACTGTGCCCAGCCTATATTTTTATTCCTAAGTAAAATTATTTTCCCTTACTTCCTTCTACGGCCTCCTCTGCTTGCCCAGCTAGGCTGAACCACAGGAGGCCAGGACAGGATTCTCAATCTCAGCACTATTAACATTTGGGGATGGACCATTCTTTGTTGTGGGGGCCTACCTTATGCATTATAGGATATTCAGCTGCATCCCTGGCCCCCACCCTCTACATGCCACAGCACCCGCTCCAGTCGCGGGGTCTCTGGACATTGCCACATGTGCCCAGGGGAGGTGGGGTAGATTGCCCCTGCTTGAGAACCACTGGGCTCAAAGAGCTTTCTGCAGTGATGGAAGCGGTCTCTGCACCATCCAGTCCAGCAGCCCCCAGCCTTGTGGCTCATGAGCACCCGAGATATGGCTAGTGCAGCCGAGGAGCTGCATTTTAAATTTTATTTCATTTCAAGTAATTTTAGTATAAATGTAAACAGCCACATGTGGCCGGCAGCCGCAGTCTAGCATGGCACTGACTCAGCCAGTTAAGGAACATTATTCCCCTCCTCCCTGGGGAAGTAGGAATCTGATCACAAACTTAAGAAAAAAAGAATAGACAAGGCCTGGTGCAGTGGCTCATGGCTGTAATCCCAGCAATGTAGGAGGCTGAGGCGGGCGGATTGCTTGAGGTCAGGAGTTCAAGACCAGCCTTGCCAACATGGTAAAACCCTGTCTGTACTAAAAATACAAAAATTAGCTGGGCGTGGTGGCAAGTGCCTGTAGTCCCAGCTACTCAGGAGGCTGAGGCATGAGAATCATTTGAACCCAGGAGGCAGAGATTGCAGCAAGCTGAGATCACGCCACTGTACTCCAGCCTGGGTGACTGAGCAAGACCCCATCTCACAAAAAAAAAAGAGAAAAGAAAGAAGAGACAAGACAATTCCCCTAGCCTGGTACTATAGTTTGTTCCAAAAGGCAACTGTAATCATAAACATATACTCCAAATCCAAATATCCATGATTGGGGGATTTTCTTCTGGTTTAGGTGACATGTACTTTTTTCCCTTCTAAAAATCAATGTGTGCTTAGTGAGCACCTGTTAGGTGCCCAGCCCCGTGTTAGAGACAATGGGAGATTCCCACGGTGAGATCCTTGGCTCTGGTCATCATGGAGCACACAGATGTTCCGAATGGGGAGACTGGAAAAGAAAGAAAATAGATTTTGCTTGTGGAGAATTGTGAATAGTAAGTGAATGCTTAGAAGGTGCAAAAGGGGCCGGGCGAGGTGGCTCACGCCTGTAATCCTAGCACTTTGGGAGGCCGAGACGGGCAGATCATGAGGTCAGGAGATTGAGACCATCCTGGCTAACACAGTGAAACCCCGTTTCCACTGAAAATACAAAAAAAAAATTAGCCGGGCGTGGTGGCGGGCGCCTGTAGTCCCAGCTACTCAAGAGGCTGAGGCAGGAGAATGGCGTGAACCCGGGAGGCGGAACTTGTAGTGAGCCGAGATCGTGCCACTGCACTCCAGTCTGGGCGACAGAGTGAGACTCCATCTCAAAAAAAAAAAAAAAAAAAGAAGGTACAAAAGGAAGAGAGACTCTCACAGGTCCAAGGGTCTAGACAGACTTGCTGCTGGAAGAAGGTGGTGTCCTTGCCTATGGATGGGGAGGAGGTCATTGCAGGGAGGAAGATGCAGGGCTGTGAGTTGGGCAGGGAAGACTCCTGTTATCTCCCCTTGGGTAAGATCTTCCCTCCCTTCCTTAACATGCTCACAGCTCCTGCTTTGCTGGGTATCTCGGTCATCAAGACTTCTATCCCTCTCCTTGGGGATAATAGGAGACTTCCCCCCCTTTTAAGATGCATTTCTGGACTTCCTAAAATGTTTTATTATGAGCACTTTTCTTATTCTCATTCCAAGACAGAGTCTCCCTCTGTTGCCCAGGCTGGAATGCAGTGGTGTGATCTTGGCTCACAGCAACCTCTGCCTCCTGGGCAATTCTCGTGCCTCAGCCACCCAAGTAGCTGGGATTACAGATGTGTGCCCCCATACCTGGCTAATTTTTGTATTTTTAGTAGATACGGGGTTTCACCATGTTGGCCAGGCTGGTCTTGAACTCCTGACTTCAGGTGATCTGCCCGCCTAGGCCTTCCAAAGTGCTGGGATTACAGGCGTGAGCCACCGCGCCCGGCCTACAATTCAGTGGTTTTAGTATGTCACAGAGTTCTGCAACCATCACTACAGTCAAAAAGAAATCCTGTATTCTTGAGCTATTACCCTCCTGACTCCCCTCCCCCTCCCCCAGCCCTAAGCAGCCACTGGTATACTTCCCGTCTCTATAGATTTCTCTATGCTGGGCTTTCCTGGGAACGGAATCATACGTGTGACCCTGTGTAACCGGCTTCTTTCGTGTTTCCAAGGGTCATCCATGTTACAGTGTGTATCAGAATTTCATTCCTTTCTATGACTGAGTATTCCACTGTATGGATAGACCACGTTTTGTTTATCCGGTCATCATTTGATGTGCATTTGGGTTGTTGCCACCGTTTGGCCATTGTGACAAATACTGCAATGAACATTGGTGTGTGAGATTTTGCAGGGACCTGTTCTCATTTTTCCTGGGTGTATCCCTGGCAGTGGAATTGGTGGGGTCGGGGGTGGGGAGGGGTTGGGTGACTTTAGGTTTAACCATTTGAGGAGCTGGCAGACCGTTTTCCAAAGCAGCTGCACCATTTTACACGCCCAGTATTATCTATGATTTTTACAATAAGAAAAAAAAAATCAAATGGAGAAGGGTAGAGGGACAAAAACCACCTGTGGTGCAAAGATCTTACCAGCTAACTAATGCCCTCAAAAAAAACACAGAGGAGGCAGGAGAGCTGGGGTGGCCGCACAGCACGCACGGTGGCGCGTGGCAGAGGCATGGTCTGCAGTGTGGCATTCGGGGGCTGCTGCAGCTGTGCACAGAACAGAGCACGGGAGGAAATTTCCCAGCGTGTCAGCATCTGCTGTGTCTCCTTTTCAGTTCTTTCCTGTATTAAACCTTTAAAATTATGGCATTTATTACGTTTGTCATCAGAAAAATAAAATCTGGAGAGACAAGAAAGGAGACAGAATCCCCCGTGGTGCAGGGAACTTACTTCCAGTTTTCTGCATCCTGTTTGTTCCTATCCACAGGGAACAGCCTTTAAAGTAAGTCCCAGCCGTCCCAGCTCAGTTTCGTCACACTGCCCTCTAGGGGCTTTCTGGCCAAACTGCAGCGCTGCGGAAGGACTCTTGGGTGCAAAAGTGACCTTGGTCTGAGCCAGCACCGGTGTCCAAACATACCCAGCTGAATCCTCGCCCATGCTGAAGCTCTCTGTTTGTTTTTGTTTTTGTTCGAGATGGAGTCTCTCTCTGTTGCCCAGGCTGGAGTGCAGTGGCACAATCTCGGGTCACTGCAATCTCTGCCTCCCGGGTTCAAGCAGTTCTCCTGCCTCAGCCTCCCAAGTAGCTGGGATTACAGGTGCCCAACACCACGCCCAGCTAATTTTTTTTTTTTTTTTTTGAGACAGAGTTTCTGTCTTGTTGCCCAGGCTGGAGTGCAATGGCGTGGTCTCAACTCACCACAACCTCTGCCTCCCGGGTTCAAGTGATTCTCCTGCCTCAGCCTTCCGAGTAGCAGGGATTACAGGCATGTGCCACCACGCCTGGCTAATTTTGTATTTTTAGTAGAGACGGGATTTCTCTGTGTTGGCCAGGCTGGTCTCGAACTCCTGACCTCAGGTGATCCGCCCACCTCGGCCTCCCAAAGTGCTGGGATTACAGGTGTGAGCCACCGCACCTGGGCGGCATTAAGTACATTCACAGTGTTGTGTAACTATCACTATCTATTTCTAGAAGTTTTTCATCATCCCAAACTGAAACTCTCTCCCCATTAACCAATAATTCCCTGTTCCTCTGTTTGCCCAGCCCCTGACAACCACCTTTCTACTTCGTCTCCATGAATTTGCCCATTCTAGACACCTCGTACAGGTAGAGTCATACCTCCTTCCATAGCTGAAGCATTGCACTTAGCATAATGTCCTCAAGTTCATCCATGTTGTAGCATGGGTCAGATTTTATTTTATTTTATTTATTTATGAGACGGAGGCAACAAAGCCCAGGCTGGAGTGCAGTGGCGCGATCTTGGCTCACTGCAACTTCCGCCCCCCAGGTTCAAGCAATTTTCCTGCCTCAGCCTCCTGAGTAGCTGAGGTTACAGGCATGCACCACCACGCCCAGCTAATTTTTGTATTTTTTTAGTAGAGACGGGGTTTCATCATGTTGGTCAGGCTGGTCTTGAACTCCTGACCTCAGGTGATCCGCCTGCCTTGGCTTCCCAAAGTGCTGAGATTACAGGCTTGAACCACTGCACCCGGCTGGTAGATTTTATTTCTTTTTATGTGCATACATTTTAAAGTTTCCAAAATATGTAATACTCTTCTAAGTTGAATTCTATATATGTTTTCAAATTGTTAACATTTCCATTAACTTTTTAACTCAGATACTACTTAGTATCTCAAGGAGGAGGCACGAGGTTTTGATGAGGACACAGAACTAAAGGTGCCAAGTGCAAACAGTTTATTGCATAAAGAAAATAAGGAAATGGGCTGACCATAGTGGCTCACACCTGTAATCCTAGCATTTTGGGAGGCTGAGGCAGGAGGATGGCTTCAGGTTAGGAGTTCAAGATCAGCCTGGACGATATAGCAAGACCCTATCTCTACAAAACAGGAAGGGAGGAAGGAAGGAAGGAAGGAAGGGAGGGAGGAAGGGGGAGGGAGGCATGGAGGAAGGGAGGAAGGGAAGGAGGGAGGGAGTGAAGGGAGTCAGGGAGAGAGGGAGAGAGGCAGGGAAGAAAGGAGGGAGGGAAGAAGAAGGAAGGAAGGAAGGAAAGAAGAGATGAGCTGGGTGTGGTCATGTGCACCTGTAGTCCTAGCTACTTGGGAGGCTGAGGCAGGAAGATCTCTTGAGCTCAGGCATTTGAGGCTGCAGTGAGCTAGGACTGCACCACTGCACTCTAGCCCAGGTGGCAGGGCGGGACCCTGTCTCTGTTTTAGAAGAGAAAAAGATAACGACTAAGTGTCATGAAAAGATGTGAAGAAATACAATGAGATGCCCGAGTGAAGGCTCTGAAAACACCTGCTCGAGTTCGAATGTGTGCTCTGACACCTGACTCGTTAATGTCCTTGGCCAAGTAACTTTACCTGTCTGTGCCTCCCATGCCGATCCGTACATGGGGGATGATGACAGTAGTATCTGCCCCACGAGGGGTTGTTGAGAGGATGAAAGTGGGAGTAGGAGACCAGAAATGATGATCACAGAGATGCTGGTTATCTTGGTCAGGCCCCACTCAAGGGTAGCTGATAATTTTATGTCTTACACTGGAGATGACAGTGACCCATACACGCAGCACAGCACTGCATGAAAAGCTGGTGAGTCGATACAGAGAGTCATACTGAAGGTCTAAGGAGGGCTAGGGTAGCCTGTAGCAGAATGAGCGTGAAGGCTCTGCTGAAAGGGCATTGCTCCCTGGACCTGTGGCGGGATCCTCGGTAGAAAGCTGACATTGAAAGATTTTGAAGAGCTTTAGTTAAAAAGTTAAAAACAGCCCAGCGCAGTGGCTGACGCCTGTGATCCCAGCACTTTGAGAGGCTGAGGCGAGTGGATCATGAGGTCAGGAGATTGAGACCATCCTGGCTAACACAGTGAAATCCCGTCTCTACTAAAAATACAAAAAATTAGCCAGGCATGGTGGCGGGCGCCTGCAGTCCCAGCTACTTGGGAGGCTGGGGCAGGAGAATCACTTGAACCCGGGAGGCGGAAGTTGCAGTGAGCCAAGATTGTGCCACTGCACTCTAGCCTGGGCGACAGAGCAAGACTGTCCCCCCACCCAAAAAAAATAAATAAAAAATAAAAATAAACCAATGTTGGCAAGGCTATGGAGTAAAGGGAACGCTTAGGAACGCTTATGCGCTGTTGGTGGGAATGTAAACGAGTTCACCCACTGTGGGGCACACTTTGTAGATTTCTCAAAGAACTGAGAAAGCAACTAGCATTTGACCCAGCAATCCCACTGCTGGGTGTATACCCAAAGGAAAATAAATCGTTCAACGGCACTGCGCCCGTATGTTCATTACCGCACTATCTGCAATAGCAAAGACACAGAATCAACCCAAGTGCTCATCAATGGTGACTTGGATAAAGAAATGTGGTGTATATATACTACGGAATACTACGCAGCCGTGAAAAGGAGGGAAATCATGTCCTTTGCAGCCACATGAGTGCAGCTGGAAACCATTATCCTAAGGGAACTAGTGCAAAAACAGAAAACCAAATACCACATGTTCTCACTTAAAAGTGGGAGCTAAACATTGGGTACACATGGTCATAAAAATGTGAACAAGAGACACTGGGGAATACAAGGAGGTGGGAGGGAGGAAGCAGGATAAGGGCTGAAAAAATTCTACCTATTGGGCGCTATGCCCACTACCTGGGCGATGGATCCGTTCATATGCCAAACCTCAGGGACACACAATATACCCATGTAACAAATCTGCACATGGACTTCCTGTTTCTAAAAATCAACAAAGATTGTGAGACCTGCCCAGTGGCCAGCTGGCTGTGTATCTTCTCCACCAATGAGGCTGCATTACTTCATCCTCCTCTCCCTGGGAGGGGGAGCAGGGGTGAAGCTGTTAATGGCCACAGTGGCTGACTCACCTCATGGCGAGAGGAACCTCTCTCATCTGACTTCTTTCCCAGCCTTGGTCAGATGACTCCACATTGAATCTGGCATTTATTTCCCGAGGCAGGAACCTAGATCCAGTTTGCCTCGAGTCAGGATAGACCCTTTATCCAGGGGCTAACCAGAAATCACAGGGCACAGTGAACCACTCAGCTCTGGCTGGCTGTGGCCAGTGAGTGACCGCATGGCCTGAGCGGGCCACCTCCTCCTGGACCGATGACTCAGTCTCACGTGTCGAGTCGGGCACCAGGAGACTCATACAGAGTTGGCCCTGTAATTTTCTTCTACATTCCTCTTCTCCAAAAGGAAAAATAAACATACAACCCTTCGTTACAAATTTTAATTCCCGGTTTTCTGTAACCCAGACTCATGCCTCGCTTTTCTCGGAGACAGACATAAGTAGAACATCGCTGCAGATGCTCACGGTGTGTACACCCAACCAAGTCTTAATCAGACCAGAGGCGGTCCTCTCTTCACATTTATACATGACAGCCACGTTCATGTTAGCCCAATAACTAGGACCATTGAAAAGATACAATTTTTTGGCTGGGCGCAGTGGATCACTTGAAGTCAGGAGTTCAAGACCAGCCCAGCCAACATGGTGAAACCGTGTCTCTACTAAAAAATACAAAGATTAGCCATGGGTGGTGGCGCATACCTGTAATCCCAATTTTTTGGGAGGCTAAGGCAGGAGAATGCTTGAACCTGGGAGGCAGAGGTTCCAGTGAGTCGAGATGGCACCGCTGCACTCCAGCCTCGGTGACAGAGCAAGACTCCGTCTCCAAAAAAAAAAAAAAGAAAAAATACAATTTTCACTTCATCTCTTCTTCCTGCCATTGCTTACCTCCTGAGGAAGCCAGAATTGGTGGTAAAAGGCCAAAAGAGAAGATGGCAGGAAAAGGCAGAATGTGAAGCATATCATTAGAACAAGCACGGGTGTGTCTCATCAGTAAACTTATTGAGCAATTACTATGTGCAGGGAACTGTGGAAACAAAAGGGTTAAGACACAGCCCTTACTCTCTATACGTACTCTCTGATTAAGGAGCGAGATGCAGAAGAAAGGCAAATCTAATAGAAAGTGGGAGTTAATGCTGGTCAAGTGATACATACAGTGGAAATCACCATAGAAGCTGGGAAGCCAGGATAGAGCTTCAGCCTGTCTGTAGTGGCAGGTGCCCAGGCTGGACAGGGAAGGGGCTGCGGTATACCTGTATGGGCGCCAAATGCCAGAATCAACCAGGATACAGGAATGGGTTCCTTTCCATCTGTCTGTTTTGCTCCTTCCTGATCTATTCTGAACTCACAGAAAATAGCTATAGGTCTAGTGGGGAAAGTTATATATCTAATTTTGATTTTTTTTTTTTTTGAGACGGAGTCTTGCTCTGTTGCCCAGGCTGGAGTGCAATGGCGCGATCTTGGCTCTTTGTAACTTCCACCTCCCGGGTTCAAGCGATTCTCCTGCCTCAGCCTCCTGAGTAGCTGGGATTACAGGCATGCACCACCACCCCCAGCTAATTCTTATATTTTTAGTAGAGACGGGGTTTCACCGTGTTGGCCAGGTTGGTCTCGAACTCCTGACCTCAAGTGATCTGCCCACCCTGGCCTCCTAAAGTGCTGGGATTACAGGTGTGAGCCACCATGCCCAGCTAGTTTTGAATTGTTTAAGGCCACCCAAACATTTACCTTATGAAGTTATAGGATTTGGAATAAATGTTACAGGAGTAATTCTACTTTCTCATCCTGTTCCTCACCTGGAATGTCACATAAGTCTAAACGGAGAAAAGGACCCGAAGATAAAGGAACAGCTAGAACAGGAAGTGCGAGCATAAGAATTCAAACCCAGGGAGCTGGCACAATGAGTGCCCCGTGCCCAGGACAATGGAGGCCACTTGTGTCTGCTTGGAGCCCCAGGCAAGCCATCCACATTTCCATGGCACAGGGGT
Organism: Homo sapiens; assembly: GCF_000001405.40. Lineage (NCBI taxonomy): Eukaryota > Metazoa > Chordata > Mammalia > Primates > Hominidae > Homo > Homo sapiens. The sequence goes on along the minus strand of NC_000017.11, from coordinate 78,860,458 downwards.
GCAGTCGATGAGCTGCATTAGTCCTTCGCTGGGCTGTGTTTCTATTAGTGGATCCTCTGAGGCTGGTGCTGTGCCTGAGATCATTAAGTCAGATGCGCTGAAACTTTGTCAAACAAAAGTGCTTAGGGCACAGCCTGAGGCTCTGTCTGCTTCTCAAGGAATTGCCCATCAGTCTCTGCCAGGCGTGGGTGCTCATCACTGACACCTGTGTCTCTTCACAAGGGGCTGTTGTAGCAGGAGGGATGAGGTTTTTTTTGTTTTTGTTTTTGTTTTTTTTGTTTTGAAGACAGAGTCTTACTCTGTCACCCAGGCTGGAGTGCAGTGGCTTGATCTTGACTCACTGCAACCTCCACCTCCTGGGTTCAAGTGATTCTCCTGCCTCAGCCTCCTGAGTAGCTGGGACTACAGGCACCCGCCACCACACCCGGCTAATTTTTTGTATTTTTTTTATTTTATGTATTTATTTGAGATGGAGTTTTGCTCTTGTCACTGAGGCTGGAATGTAGTGGCATGACCTCTTCTCGCTGTAACCTCTGCCCACTGGGTTCAAGCGATTCTCCTGCCTCAGCCTCCCGAGTAGCTGGGATTACAGGTACCCACGACCATGCCCAGCTAATTTTTGTATGTGTAGTAGAGACGGGGTTTCACCATGTTGGCCAGACTAGTCGCAAATGCCTGACCTCGAGTGATGTCCCTACCTCAGCCTCCCAAAGTACTGGGATTACAGCCATGAGCCACCATGCCCTGCCTGAAAGATTAGTTTTTATTTTATTTATTTTTTATTTATTTTCTTTTTTGAGATGGAGTCTGTCTCTGTCGCCCAGGCTGGAGTGCAGTTTGCAATCTCGGCTCACTGCAACCTCCACCTCCCGGGTTCAAGCGATCCTCCTGCCTCAGTCTCCTGAGTAGCTGGGATTACAGGCATGCATCACCACGCCTGGCTATTTCTTTTTGTATTTTTAGTAGAGACGGGGTTTCGCCATGTTGGCCAGGCTGGTCTCGAACTCCTGACCTCAAGTGATCCGCCCACCTCAGCCTCCCAAAGTGCTAGGATTACAGGCATGAGCCATCGCACCTGGCCTGAGGGATGAGTTTTTAAATGACTTCCATAGCTGTCATTAGGTTCTGTCAGCCACTGGAACACACTGCTTTGTTCTTTTCCTCCTGCTTGTAAAACGCCAAGGCTATTGCCAATGTAGTATCTTCAGCAAAGGAAGGAGGCAGCTGAGTCAGGAGCCGGAAGTACAGAAAGAAGCCACAGCTCATCATGCCTGATGAAGGGAATTCAGAGCAGATTCCTAATTTTCAAAAATTCCATGCTTTGGCTCTTCATAATGGAAAAATGCAGAATTATAAGTTTAAACTCAAATGGGAGAAGCACCTGTGAATTAATATTTTGTGAAAAACAAAACAGGAAACAATATAATCTACATACTGCATGACGTTTTATGTGTGAAGATGCACATAGAAGAGAATATTGGCCGGGCGCAGTGGCTCACACCTGTAATCCCAGCACTTTGGGAAGTCAAGGTGGGAGGATCACTTAAGCTCAGTTCAAGACCAGCCTGGGCAACATGGTGAAACATCGTCTCTATCCTTTTTTTAGAATAAAATTTAATTTAAAAGAATATTGGGGCCAGGCGTGGTGGCTCATGCCTATAATCCTAACACTTTGGGAGGCCAAAGTGGGGGTATTGCTTGAGCGCAGAAGTTTAAGACCAGCCTGAGTAACATAGCAAGACCCTGTTTCTACAAAAAAAAATATAAAAAATTAGCAGGGTGTAGTGGTTCACACCTATAGTCCCAGCTATTCAGGAGACTGAGACGGGAGGATCGCTTGAGCTTGGGAGGTCAAGGCTGCAGTGAGCTATGATCATACCATTGCACTCTGGCCTGAGCGACAGAGCAAGACTGTCTCAAAATCAATAGTGGAATATTGGAAGGAAATACATCAAAATATTAGCTGTGGGTAATGAAAGTAGGGAATTTTTTTCTTTTCTTTTTTTTTTTTAGACTGAGTCTCGCTCTGTCGCCCAGGCCCAGGCTGGAGTGCAGTGGCACCAACTCGGCTCACTGCAACCTCCGCCTCCCGGGTTCACGCCATTCTCCTACCTCAGCCTCCTGAGTAGCTGGGACTACAGGTGCCCGCCAGCACGCCTGGCTAATTTTTTGTATTTTTAGTAGAGACGGGGGTTTCACCGTGTTAGCCAGGATGGTCTCGATCTCCTGACCTTGTGATCCACCTGCCGCGGCCTCCCAAAGTGCTGGGATTACAGGCATGAGCCACCGCCCCTGGCCAGGAAGTTTTTTCTTTGTTTCCAATGTTTAAGTTTCTGTCAGTGAACATGCATTATGGCTTTCTTTTTTTTTCCACTTTTTATTTTTTTGAGACGGAGTCTTGCTGTGTCACCCAGGCTGGAGTTCAGTGGCGCGATCTCGGCTCACTGCAACTTCCGCCTCTGGGGTGCAAGAGCGATTCTCCTGCCTCAGCCTCCCAAGTAGCTGGGATTACAGGCGTGTGACACCACACCCGGCTAATTTTTTGTATTTTAGTAGAGAGGGGGTTTCATCACGTTGGCCAGGCTGGTCTTGAACTCCTGGCCTCAAGAGATCCACCCGCCTCAGCCTCCCAAAGTGCTGGGATTACAGGAGTGAGCCACCGTGCCTGGCCACCCACTGTGTTTTAACTCAGAATAGACAGTGCACAGGATTGTTGCAACGAAATCCCAGCGCCCCTGCGCCGGGTGGAGGAGCTGGGCAGGAGGAGGACTTTTCCCTCTCCCTGAGCTCGGTGATCCCCGTCTCTCCGCAGGAAAGGCCGAGGGGGACGGCAAGATGCACATCACCCTCTGTGACTTCATCGTGCCCTGGGACACCCTGAGCACCACCCAGAAGAAGAGCCTGAACCACAGGTACCAGATGGGCTGCGAGTGCAAGGTAAGCAGGTCCTGCCTCTGCTGGAGCATCGCCTCCTCCCAGTGTCTCCAGATGGACGGCAGGGATTTTGATCCCTGGCTTTCCAGGACCCGTTAATCCCCGGCTCCTGATCTAAGACCAGGCTCTGGGAAGGTAGAGTCATCCCAAGAGTAAGGCTGTCTGGCTGGGGACAGAGCCTTTGACCCCTGGTCCCTGGAGAGCCCTGAGGCACATCTCTGACAGGGGATGTCTGGAGGCCGGGCGCTGCGGCTCACGCCTGTAATCCCGGCACTTTGGGAGGCCGAGATAGGTGGGTCACTTGAGGTCGGGAGTTGGAAATCAGCCTCACCAACATGGCGAAACCCTGTCTCTACAAAAATACAAAAATTAGCCAGGTGAGGTGGTGCACGCCTGTGATCCCAGCAACTTGGGAGGATGAGGCTTAAGAATTGCTTGAATGTGGGAGGTGGAGGTTGCAGTGAGTTGAGATCACACCACTGCACCCCAGCCTGGGTTGACAGAGTGAGACTCTGTCCCAAAAAAAAAAGAGGGAGATGTCTGGAAGGCTAGGAGATTTGAGAGTAAGAGCATGAATTCAGCTCTGTTACCTGTAGCTTCCAGAAAAAGGAGCTGTATGGGGAGAGAGAATATGGTCCCATGGAGAATTTTCTACAAATGTGCAAGTGCAAACGCCTGTGTGGCTTATGAGAAGGCACTGCAGGCCTTACGCTGTTTCCAACATTCCCGACATTTTCACACCTGGGTTGGTGTCTATGTGGGGTCTGTGTGTTGAGAATACCTGAACACCTGCTCCTCTTAAAATGAGCCCGGAGGTTGTGCCAGGCACAGCTGGAGCAGTGCAGCGCCTAGATGTGGCTGTGGAAGGTGAGATTACCGCCTCCAGGGCTCCCAGGCTGGCTCCTACCCTGTGGGCTCCTAGCACCCTATCCCCACCCTCCCTGCAGGAAGCATGGCTGAGTGCTGGGCACCTCCCACCCTGGGTCACTCCCAGTGAGTCTGGGACCAGGAGACTCTGGTGAGGCTGTGGGGATTGGCCTTCCCTGGGGAGCTGCCTGGGGCTGCCCTCCCTCCTGACGGCCCCCAGCCCCTTCTCCGCATGTTCAAAACAGGAATTCTGAACTCATAGTCTCCAGCCACACGTATGTTAAGCGAAACTCCTCTGTGCCCAGCATGAAATCAAAAGCAAGTTTTTCCTTTTTCTTTCCACGGTGGTGAAGGCGGTCATCCTCTTGTAGCCTAGGGTTCCTTGGCCAAATTGCTAGTTGCCGATGACCTCGGGGCTCGGCTTGCGAGCAACACTGGGCTGGAATCTGTCTCCAGGAAACCCAGGCCCTTTTATTGTTGCTGTGTCCCCCAGAGGGCAGGGCCAAGCTGAGGCCATTCTGTCATGCTCAGGAAGGTAGAAGATGGCCCAAAGGGAAGCACACCTGCAGTAGGAGGGGGGGCAGCGGTGGGCAGGGCACAGCTTCCCTGCAGGTTAGACCCCCTCGCAGGCCAGCTGCCTGCCCCTGCAGGAACCGTGGGTCTCGGGAGAGGCTGCCATCCCTGCACATGACAGGTAGGCACATTGCCGGGTTCTGGACATGCCCCCAGAGCAGCCTCTGCCCACCCCTTCCTGGGTCCCTGACTCCGTCCCCCTCCGTGTGCCCCTCCCCAGATCACGCGCTGCCCCATGATCCCGTGCTACATCTCCTCCCCGGACGAGTGCCTCTGGATGGACTGGGTCACAGAGAAGAACATCAACGGGCACCAGGCCAAGTTCTTCGCCTGCATCAAGAGAAGTGACGGCTCCTGTGCGTGGTACCGCGGCGCGGCGCCCCCCAAGCAGGAGTTTCTCGACATCGAGGACCCATAAGCAGGCCTCCAACGCCCCTGTGGCCAACTGCAAAAAAAGCCTCCAAGGGTTTCGACTGGTCCAGCTCTGACATCCCTTCCTGGAAACAGCATGAATAAAACACTCATCCCATGGGTCCAAATTAATATGATTCTGCTCCCCCCTTCTCCTTTTAGACATGGTTGTGGGTCTGGAGGGAGACGTGGGTCCAAGGTCCTCATCCCATCCTCCCTCTGCCAGGCACTATGTGTCTGGGGCTTCGATCCTTGGGTGCAGGCAGGGCTGGGACACGCGGCTTCCCTCCCAGTCCCTGCCTTGGCACCGTCACAGATGCCAAGCAGGCAGCACTTAGGGATCTCCCAGCTGGGTTAGGGCAGGGCCTGGAAATGTGCATTTTGCAGAAACTTTTGAGGGTCGTTGCAAGACTGTGTAGCAGGCCTACCAGGTCCCTTTCATCTTGAGAGGGACATGGCCCTTGTTTTCTGCAGCTTCCACGCCTCTGCACTCCCTGCCCCTGGCAAGTGCTCCCATCGCCCCGGTGCCCACCATGAGCTCCCAGCACCTGACTCCCCCCACATCCAAGGGCAGCCTGGAACCAGTGGCTAGTTCTTGAAGGAGCCCCATCAATCCTATTAATCCTCAGAATTCCAGTGGGAGCCTCCCTCTGAGCCTTGTAGAAATGGGAGCGAGAAACCCCAGCTGAGCTGCGTTCCAGCCTCAGCTGAGTCTTTTTGGTCTGCACCCACCCCCCCACCCCCCCCCCCCCGCCCACATGCTCCCCAGCTTGCAGGAGGAATCGGTGAGGTCCTGTCCTGAGGCTGCTGTCCGGGGCCGGTGGCTGCCCTCAAGGTCCCTTCCCTAGCTGCTGCGGTTGCCATTGCTTCTTGCCTGTTCTGGCATCAGGCACCTGGATTGAGTTGCACAGCTTTGCTTTATCCGGGCTTGTGTGCAGGGCCCGGCTGGGCTCCCCATCTGCACATCCTGAGGACAGAAAAAGCTGGGTCTTGCTGTGCCCTCCCAGGCTTAGTGTTCCCTCCCTCAAAGACTGACAGCCATCGTTCTGCACGGGGCTTTCTGCATGTGACGCCAGCTAAGCATAGTAAGAAGTCCAGCCTAGGAAGGGAAGGATTTTGGAGGTAGGTGGCTTTGGTGACACACTCACTTCTTTCTCAGCCTCCAGGACACTATGGCCTGTTTTAAGAGACATCTTATTTTTCTAAAGGTGAATTCTCAGATGATAGGTGAACCTGAGTTGCAGATATACCAACTTCTGCTTGTATTTCTTAAATGACAAAGATTACCTAGCTAAGAAACTTCCTAGGGAACTAGGGAACCTATGTGTTCCCTCAGTGTGGTTTCCTGAAGCCAGTGATATGGGGGTTAGGATAGGAAGAACTTTCTCGGTAATGATAAGGAGAATCTCTTGTTTCCTCCCACCTGTGTTGTAAAGATAAACTGACGATATACAGGCACATTATGTAAACATACACACGCAATGAAACCGAAGCTTGGCGGCCTGGGCGTGGTCTTGCAAAATGCTTCCAAAGCCACCTTAGCCTGTTCTATTCAGCGGCAACCCCAAAGCACCTGTTAAGACTCCTGACCCCCAAGTGGCATGCAGCCCCCATGCCCACCGGGACCTGGTCAGCACAGATCTTGATGACTTCCCTTTCTAGGGCAGACTGGGAGGGTATCCAGGAATCGGCCCCTGCCCCACGGGCGTTTTCATGCTGTACAGTGACCTAAAGTTGGTAAGATGTCATAATGGACCAGTCCATGTGATTTCAGTATATACAACTCCACCAGACCCCTCCAACCCATATAACACCCCACCCCTGTTCGCTTCCTGTATGGTGATATCATATGTAACATTTACTCCTGTTTCTGCTGATTGTTTTTTTAATGTTTTGGTTTGTTTTTGACATCAGCTGTAATCATTCCTGTGCTGTGTTTTTTATTACCCTTGGTAGGTATTAGACTTGCACTTTTTTAAAAAAAGGTTTCTGCATCGTGGAAGCATTTGACCCAGAGTGGAACGCGTGGCCTATGCAGGTGGATTCCTTCAGGTCTTTCCTTTGGTTCTTTGAGCATCTTTGCTTTCATTCGTCTCCCGTCTTTGGTTCTCCAGTTCAAATTATTGCAAAGTAAAGGATCTTTGAGTAGGTTCGGTCTGAAAGGTGTGGCCTTTATATTTGATCCACACACGTTGGTCTTTTAACCGTGCTGAGCAGAAAACAAAACAGGTTAAGAAGAGCCGGGTGGCAGCTGACAGAGGAAGCCGCTCAAATACCTTCACAATAAATAGTGGCAATATATATATAGTTTAAGAAGGCTCTCCATTTGGCATCGTTTAATTTATATGTTATGTTCTAAGCACAGCTCTCTTCTCCTATTTTCATCCTGCAAGCAACTCAAAATATTTAAAATAAAGTTTACATTGTAGTTATTTTCAAATCTTTGCTTGATAAGTATTAAGAAATATTGGACTTGCTGCCGTAATTTAAAGCTCTGTTGATTTTGTTTCCGTTTGGATTTTTGGGGGAGGGGAGCACTGTGTTTATGCTGGAATATGAAGTCTGAGACCTTCCGGTGCTGGGAACACACAAGAGTTGTTGAAAGTTGACAAGCAGACTGCGCATGTCTCTGATGCTTTGTATCATTCTTGAGCAATCGCTCGGTCCGTGGACAATAAACAGTATTATCAAAGAGAACGTGGGCTCTCTCCGTGTGGCTGTATCCGATGTTCAGAACGGCCACTTCCTAGCTCAAGAATGGGAATCAGCCTCTGCAAGGAGCCTCTCCTGTCCGGCGGGAGGGGGCGCCCTGTGTCCTCCAGAGAAACAAGGCCAGTGAGCTCTGAGTCAAATATGGGATGCAGACCAGGTGTGGTGGCTCACGCCTGTCATCCCAGCACTTTGGGAGGCCAAGGCGGGTGGATTGTTTGTGCCCAGGAGTTCGAGACTAGCCTGGCCAACTTCGCAAAACCCTGTCTCTGCAAAAAATAGGCGTGGTGGCATGTACCTGTGGTCCCAGCTATTCAAAAGGCTGAGATAGGAGGATTACTTGAACCTCGGAGGCAGAGGTTGCAGTGAGCTATAATTGCACCACTGCATTCCAGCCTGGGCAAGAGAGTGAGACCCTGTCTCAAAAAAAAAAAAAAAGAAAAAAGAAAAGAAAAGTGCGATGCAGTGGCAGAGACGGGGCAGCAGAGATGGGACAGGTAAAAGCAAATGTGGTTTCCTTAGGTGGATGAAGGGGCAGAAGTGTAGGAGAGGGTCCCCTTCATTCAACACATACCTCTGGCTTTTTATTATAGAGACACGCAGAGCCATGCACCCGTCTCACAGCTTCGACACTGAGGGCTTCATGGCCAGCTTTAGACCTACACTCAGTCTTCACCCACCATTCACGAAATTATTTGGAAGAAAAAATTCCAGGCATGAAGCAGTCTCATTTATAAATATTCCAGTACACATATGTTTAAAAAATAAAAACTACTTTTTTTTTTTTTCAGACGGAGTCTCGCTCTGTTACCCAGGCTGGAGTGCAATGGCATGATCTTGGCTCACTGCAACCTCTGCCTCCTGGGTTCAAGTGATTCTCTTGTCTCAACCTCCTGAGTAGCTGGGATTACAGGTGTCCGCCACAACGCCCAGCTAATTTTTGTATTTTTACAAAAATACAAAAAGAGACAGGGTTTCACCATGTTGGTCAGGCTGGTCTCGAACTCCTGACCTTGTGATCCGCCCGCCTGGGCCTCCCAAAGTGCTGGGATGACAGGCGTGAGCCACCGTGCCCAGCCAAAAAATAAAAACTACTTTTAAAACCTTTTTCCAGGCCAGGTACGGTGGCTCACCTATAGTCCTAGCACTTTGGGAGGCCAAGGTGGGCGGATTGCTTGAGCCCAGGAGTTCAAGACCAGCCTGGACAACATGGAGAAACCCCAACTCTACAAAAAATACAAAGATTAGCTGGGTGTGGTGGTGCATGCCTGTAGTCCCAGCTACTCGGGGGGCTGAGGTGGGAGGATCACTTGAGCCCAGGAGGTGGAGGTTGCAGTGAGCTGAGATCGCACCACTGCACTCCAATCTGGGTGACAGAGTGAGATCCTGTCTCAAACAACAACAACGACAAAATCCAAAATAGCTTTATCACATGTCAAAAACTTACTTAGAATTCATCAATGTCATCAAATATCCAGTCAGTGTTCTAACATCTCTGACTGTCTCATAGATGCTTTTGCGTGGTTTATGGGTTTGAATCAAGACCCAAATAAGATCCATCCATTGCAGTTGGTTGATCTAACTCCTAGGTCTCTCTCTCTCTCTCTTTTTTTAAATAACTATTGAAGCTCCCCCTTCTTTCTTTCTTTTCTTTTCTTTTTTTTTGTTTTTTTTTTTTTTTCAGACAGAGTCTCGCCTCATTGCCCAGTCTGGAGTGCAGCGGTGTGATCTCAGCTCAACGCAACCTCTGCCTCGAGAGTAGCTGAGATTACAGGTGGGCACCACCATGCCCGGCAAATTCTTGCATTTTTAGTAGAGGCGGGGTTTCACCGTGTTGGCTAGGCTGGTCTCACACCCCTGGCCTCAAGTGATCTGCCCACGTTGGCCTCCGGTAAGCCACAGTGCTTGGCCTCCCGGGTCTCTCTTATTCTCCAGGTTGTTTCTCCCTGCCCCCACCCTATCCTTGTGCTGAGAAAGATGTTCCCATCATAATTCAAACTTCAATCAAAAGTCTCATAATACTTCACCATATGAAATTTTTTTTAATTTAATTTTATTTTTTTTGAGACAGAGTCTTGATCTGTCGCCCAGGCTGGAGTGCAGTGGCGCGATCTCGGCTCACTGCAACCTCCACCTCCCGGGTTCACACCATTCTCCTGCCTCAGCCTCCCAAGTAGCTGGGACTACAGGCACCTGCCACCACGCCTGGCTAATTTTTTGTATGTTTAGTACAGACGAGGTTTCACCATGTTAGCCAGGATGGTCTCGATCTCCTGACCTTGTGATCCGCCCGCCTCGGCCTCCCAAAGTGCTGGGATTACAGGCCTGAGCCACTGCACCCAGCCATGGACATTCTTCAATGGTGTATTTGAACAGTTAGCTGCCCCCTGGCCCATGTGCACACTGTTGTGCAGAATCTGTTATTCCAGGGGCAGCCAGAAGAATCGTGTTTCCTACTGTGTGCAGTTACTGCCCAAAAAGCAAGAACAAACTTACGACATCTGAAGTTTGCTCCAATGTCACATTAAATGTGATCCACTTAATATCTACTGCAGAAATATTTGGATTATTTCTTCTGTATGTCCAAATATGTAGGGAAAATGGTTGAGTGGTATACTATAATAATAATATCAAAACTTTCCATTTCATACAAATGAACTTACTTGGCATTTGCAGCCCACATTTGGAGTTTTAGTAAGCAGCACGCCAGGTGATTTATACCCTTTTCATATATTTATGCATTTAAGTCAAACTTAAAGTCATTATGGAAAATTTAAAACATATACAAAAATGCAGAGAATGGTATGACCAACTCCATGTGTCTATGATCTGTTTTCAACAATTATCCATGTTTTGCTGATCTTTGAAAACGATTTAAGATTAGTTTGTAGGCCGGGCGCCATGGCTTACACCTGTAATCCCAGCACTTTGGGAGGGCAAGGCGGGAGGATCACCTGAGTTCAGGAGTTCGAGACCAGCCTGGCCAAAATGGCGAAATCCCGTGTCTACTAAAAATACAAAAATTAGGCCTGGCACGGTGGCTCACACCTGTAATCCCAGCACTTTGGGAGGCCGAGGCAGGCAGATCACCTGAGGTCAGGCGTTCAAAACCACCCTGGCCAAGGTGGTGAAACCCCGTCTCTACTAAAAATACAAAAATTAGCCAGGTACAGTGGTGGGCGCCTGTAATCCCAGGTACTCGGGAGGCTGATACAGAATCGCTTGAACCCGGGAGGCGGAGGTTGCAGTGAGCCGAGATCATGCCATTGCGCTCCAGCCTGGGCGACAGAGCGAGACTCCATCTCAAAAGCAAAACAAAACAAAACAAAAAAATTAACTGGGCATGCTGGTGCACGCCTGTAGTCCCAGCTACTCAGGAGGCTGAGGCAGGAGAATTGCTTGAACCCAGGCAGCAGAGATTGCGGTGAGCTGAGATCGCACCACTGCACTCCAGCCTGGGCAACAGAGCAAGACTCTGTCTCAAAAAAAAAAGAAAAAGAAAAAATCAGTTTGTAGACTCACATATGGGGTAACGACATTGTTAGGGACACAACTAGACACCATTATTTCCTCTCAGTCTTGTTTACCCTGTGGAAGAAAAATGCATGGGGACAGGTGAGGTCAGCCTCAACCCATCAACAGAGATGTGTGCACCCATGATGGAAAAGCAGCAAGAGACCCTGCAAGATCCAATCTGAAGGGACATGGAGCCTGGTGGTGGAGCTGGGGAGCCACCAGGACTGGTTAAAGAACTTTGGAGCTGGCCGGGTGCGGTGACTCCTGCCTGTAATCCCAGCCACTTGGGAGGCCGAGCCAGAAGAATCACTTGAACCCCAGAGGTGGAGGTTGCAATGAGCCAAGATGGAGCCACTGTATTCCAGCCTGGGTGGCAGAGCGAGACTCGATCTCAAAAAAATAAATAAATAAAAATAAAATACTTTGGAGCTGATGGAAGAACTTGAGCCTAGTTATAGGACACACAGTAGCAGTATCTTTTCCCTCCTAATTTTTAATGGATATTTTTACCTGATCTAACTTTAAAAAATAATTAAATCCAAACAGTGGAATTACAATATTTTACTAGCATCAATTTTATGATAGGCAATTTGCTGTGACTATAGATTTTTTTTCTTTTTTTTTTTTTTGAGACAGTCTCGCTCTGTCACCCAGGCTGGAGTGCAGTGGCACAATCTTGGCTTACTGCAATCTCCACTCTGGGGTTCAAGCGATTCTCATGCCACAGCCTCCCGAGTAGCTGGGACTACAGGCACCTGCCACCACACCCAGCTAAGTTTTGTATTTTTAGTAGACACGGGGTTTCACCATGTTGGCCAGGATGATCTCGATCTCTTGACCTCATGATCTGCCCTCTCAGCCTCCCAAAGTGCTGGGATTACAGGCATGAGCCACCGCTCCTGGCCACCTTCTAACCATTTTTAAGTGTACAATTCAGTTAATTACACTTACAATGTTTTTATGGCCATCACCACTATTTCCAAAACTTTTTCACCACCACCCAGAAACTCTGTAACCATGATGCAATAACCCCCGTCCTCCTCCTCCTAGCCCCTGGTAACCTCTAGTCTACTTTCTGTCTCTATGGATTTTCCTATTCTAAATATTCTATCATCCTGCATGATTCCACCTATGTTATGTCCAGCTCACTTTGCACGTCTTCAAGGTCCATTGGTATTATAGCATGGATCCATGCTTCCTTCTTTTTCATGGCTAATATTCCATTGTGTGCATCTATTACATTTTGTTTATCCATTCATCCATCAGTAGACACTTGGGTTGCTTCCGCCTTTTGGCTATTGTGAAGAATGTGGCTATGAACATGGGTGTGCAAATATCTGTGTCCCTGCTTTTAATTGGCGTATATATACACACACACTTAGTATATGTATATAGATATCTATACACTATAGATATATGTAGATATATATCTACTATAGATATATAGAGCCATATATGTATATTCAACATTAACCTACATTAATACAACATTAATCTTTGAAGGAAAGGACATTAAGCTTGTTTCAAATTCAGCTTCTCTGATTCAGCATACATATATCTAAACTACTATATATTTATATATCTATATATACAGTATATATGTATATACACAATATTATGTATATTTGTATATATGTAGTATTATGTATAATTATTGCAATACAGTCCAGGCGCGGTGGCTCACGCCTGGAATCCCAGCACTTTGAGGGGCCAAGGAGGGTGGATCACCTGAGGTCAGGGGTTCAAGACCAGCCTGGCCAACATGGTGAAATCGCATCTCTACTAAAAATACAAAAAACTAGCCGGGCATGGTGGCGCGACACCTGTAATAGCTACTCGGGAGGCTGAGGCAGAAGAATCCCTTGAATCCGGGAGACAGAGGTTGCAGTGAGCTGAGATGGCACCACTGCACTCCAGACTGGGTGACAGAGCAAGACTCCGTCTCAAAAATAAATAAATAATAAAATTACAATATAATTATACATAATAGTACACAAAAAATTGTATTGCAATAATTAAGTCTGGAAGCATAATATATATATAGATAGTATCTATATCTACATACATAGTATATACGTATATCTATATGTATATACTATGTATATATACTGTGTATATACTATGTATATATACTGTGTATATACTATGTATATATACTGGGTATATACTATGTATATATACTATGTGTATATACTATGTGTATATACTATGTATATAGTGTAGACATATATACTATGTCTATACTGTATACATAGTGTATATATACAGTTTATATAGTATGTATAGATAGTATGTATAGTAGTCCTATGTTTCGCTTTTGGAGGAAGCACTGTCCTGTTTTCTGCAGTGACTGCACCATTTTACATGCCTACCAGCAGTGTCTGAGGGTTGGTCCGCTCTAAAGTTATTCTTCCTACACCTCCCAAAGTGGAATTCCAAAACCGCCTTGTTAGACCAGCCTGACAATTTACAATATTCATGGAAAGACACGTCCTAGTATGTTCAAAATTCCAAGGTTAAGATGCCTGGAAGTTATATTAAAAAAGTAAAACTGCTGTCTTTGCCGCATCTACTGTGAGAATGAAGACCGTTCCCAGCAACCAACCCATGGATATTCCAGAAAAGGTCAACATTACTCTAAAGGAACACACAGTTATTGGGAAGGGCCTGAGAGGAACCCTGAGGAAGGACTTTATTTATTTATTTATTTATTTATTTATTTTATTTTTTTGAGACAGGGTCTTGCCCTGTCGCCCAGGCTGGAGTGCAGTGGTGCGATCTTGGCTCACTGCAACCTCCGCCTCCTGGGTTCAAGCAATTTTCCTGCCTCAGCCTCCCTAGTAGCTGAGACTACAGGCATGTGCCACCACGCCTGGCTAATTTTTGTATTTTTAGTAGAGACATGGTTTCACCATGTTGGCCAGGCTGCTCTCAAACTCCTGGCCTCAAGTGATCCGCCTGCCTCTGCCTCCCAAAGTGTTGGGATTACAGGTGTGAGCCACTGCACACAGCCTTGAGGAGAGACTTCAATCACATCAATGTAGAACTCAGTCTCCTTGGAAAGGAAAAGAGGCTCCGGGTTGACAAACGGTGGGGAAACTGAAGGGAGCCGGCTGCCGTTGGGACTGTTCATAGTCGTGTACGGAGCATGGTCAAAGGGGTTGCCCTGGGTTCCATTACAAGATGACCTCTGTGGGTGCTCACTTCCCCAGAAACGTCGTTATCCAGGAGAACGGGACTCTCGTTGAAATCTGAAACATCTTGGGTGGAAAATCCATCTGCAGGGTTCGGATGAGGCCAGGTGTTGCTTATTCAGTATCTCAAGCCCAGAATGTCGAATTAATCTTTGAAGGAAGCGACATTGAGCTTGTTTCAGTCTTGTTCAAATTCAGCTGCTCTGATTCAGCAAGCAGCAATAGTTAAAAACAAGGATATCAGAAAATGTTGGGGTGCTGTCTACGTCTCCTAAAAAGGAACAGTTCCGCAGGCTGCTGAGGAGGTTCTAAGAGTTGTCCAGCTACAGAAACACGATGTTGGATGACTCCTCAGACCTAAGTATCTGTGATATTTAGATGATTCAATAAAAGACCTATAGATTTGGAAAAAAATAAAAACAAGTCACATTGAAAATCACAAAGCATAAGCCATCTACACCTTTTTTTTTTTTTTTTTTTTTGAGACAGAGTCTCGCTCTGTCACCAAGGCTGGAGTGCGGTGGCGCGATCTCGGCTCACTGCAACCTCCACCTCCCGGGTTCAAGCAATTCTCCTGCCTCAGCCTCCTGAGTAGATGGGACTACAGGCAAATGCCACCATGCCCAGCTAATTTTTGTATTCTAGTTGAGACAGGGTTTCACCATGTTAGTCAGGCTGGTCTTGAACTTCTGACCTCAAGGTGATCCGCCCGACTCGACCTCCCAAAGTGCTGGGATTAGAGGCATGAGCTACTGCACCCAGCCCATCTACACCTTTGCAGGGGATTCTGGAGAATTCCGTGTAGCAGGATGACCTATGGAGACAAACTTGCCTCTCACCCGAGGCACCACTCACCTGTCTGTAGCCTGCGTGCTTCATCTATAGTTGGGACCTCTTGCCTGTGGGGCACCTGGTCCACCCTTCCAGCCTCAGCCATCCCAATGGCCTCCTTTTCTTTCCTTTTTTTTTTTTTTTTTTTTTTTGAGATGGAGTCTCGCTCTGTCTCGCAGGCTGGAGTGCAGTGGCGCGATCTCAGCTCATTGCAACCTCCACGTGCCAGGTTCAGTGATTCTCCTCTTTATTTTCTTGAAGGTGCCAAGCTCGCTCCTGTCTCGGGCATTTTGTTCGTGCTGTTCTCTCATTCCAGAACCTCCTTCCCTTGCTCCTCTTACAGCCGGTCTCTCATCTTCCCACTTTCAACGGAGGTAGCACATCCTCGCAAGAGTTTCCTCCGATGCCCCAGGCCAAGGTATTCTCCATCACCTCATCCTGCTCTTGGCCTGGTCACCGTTGGTCATAAAAATTATGCAAAAGTGTTCATTTGTTCATGACCTGCGTGTTCTTAAGTCCTTTGTGGGGAGAGTCCAGGGTTGATTCACTCACCACCATGTGGAACAGAGTAAATAAGAAATATTCGCTGGATGAATCAATTTGTTTGGTGCCACAGGGCCACAGGAAGGGGTGCCAGCCCCAAGAGAACAGTGGAGGCTTTGTGCGGCAGAGGCCTGGATCCTTCTTCCCCAGGAGTTGGAGACTGGAGGCCTTTAGCAAGTGCTTCCTAGGGAAACTTCAGGTCCCTCTGGGCAGAAAGGAGCCCAGAAGGGTGGATATTTGGGGGAGATGGCTGGCACCAGAGATGGCTGGCACCAAGGGGGCTGGGACTGCAGGAGGCTGTGTGGGGCGGGGACTTGGAGGGAAGTGACAGAGCAAGGGAAAGGGCTGGCGAGTGTGAGCGTGAGAGTCGGTGGATTTTGAAAGTGTGTGAGTGTGGTGGGGTGTGTGAGTGTGTGTGAGGATGTGAGTAAGAGAGAATGTATGTGTGTGTGTGTTGGGGGAATCCCTGGGACCGAACTTATTGTAGAAAGGGTGGCATCCTGCCCAGCTGCATTTAGGGGAAGGACCTCTGCCAGCCTAGGGCACATCTGGCTGAGGTGACCCTTGAGCTTGAGAGCAGTACCAGGGGAGCGATGCAGGGAATCCGCAGACTAGAAGACCAGGGTGCACCTCCCCAAACAGCCGGCTGCCTGGAGTGGCTCTTCGGAGCCTGGGTAAACCCCTGGAGATCTGTCCTATTCAAAGGAGGCAGAGAGCCCCCAAAATGATTGAGGTGGGGAATTCCAACCACCGATGGGGTAGAGGTATTAAACTAATTTAGTTTACCAAAATGAAACAAGAGAAAAGGCCGGGAGGTGGGGTGCGGTGGCTCACGCCTGTAATCCTTGCACTCTGGGAGGCTGAGGGGGGCAGATCACCTGAGGCCAAGAGTTCAAGACCAAACATGGCGAAACCCCATCTCTACTAAAAATACAAAAATCAGCTGGGTGTGGTGGCGTGCACCTGTGATCCCAGCTACTCTGGAGGCCGAGACACGATAATCGCTTGAACCCGGGAGGCGGAGCTTGCAGTGAGCTGAGATTGCACCACTGCACTCCAGCCTGGGCGACAGAGTGAGACTCCACCTCAGAAAAATAAAAAACAAGAGAAAACTACAAAATACGTATCCTGACTTGTGCCAAAGCATCTCGGAGCAGCTGCTGCTCTTGCTAGTGCCCTCTGTGGTCCCAACTCCTGGCCGCCACCTGCCCGGGCCTGGGCTGCCGCCTTGCACAGCCATTCTCCTGGCACGGTCAGATGTCTGAGAGTCAACACCATTTAGGAAGGATGACTTTCTCCACCCCTTCTGAGACTAGAAACAAAATGGAAGGGTCATAAGAATGGTGCCAAGCAGCCAAAAGAGCCACTTCCTTTGGGTACCAACAGGTGGCGTGGCGTCATGGCTCCTGTCTTCCCCAAGTGCCTGTGCCCAGCAGCTGCCTCTGCCTGTGCATCTTCTAGGGCGATGCTAATGGCAGATTTCCTGAGAGCCCTGTCCCATCTGCATGGATGGGAAGGACGACATACATTGCTGTTCTTCCTAAGGAAAGTGGCATCCCTCCCAAACCTGGGAACTCGGGTCTCCATGGACCGCACAGACACCTGAGAAAAGGTTTTGCATCAGAGGCTGATGGCAGAGGCTCTACCAGTCCAGCAAGTCACCTGACTGATGTGAAGGGTTCCCCTAGAGCAGGAGGGACATCTGGGCTGAAAACCCTCATGTGAAAAGGCCTGGGCCCCCCAGGCACTCGGCACCTATGAAATGCAACCCCAGCGGGTGGAAAAGCAAGTCCACGATTGCACTCCCCTGCCAGGCTAGGGAGAAATTCTGCTATTGCAGTTCAGGGGCAACACACCCACCCCCGCAGACCTGAGGGTGGCTGCAACTGTCAGCCACACCCAAAGAATGCAGGGCAGGCTCACTGTGGATAAATGTTTATGAAAGAACCACATGGAAATTGAAATATTTGAGATGAGACTGAATGATCTCTAAATCCTAAAAGAGAAAACTAGAGAAACATTAAAGATGAAAGAATAAAATATTCTGTTATAGAAAGCTGTAACCAAAACGGATCACATTAGAACTTACCTCAAGAAAAAGGTGCATTAACAGAATAGTTGTATTGTCACCCAAAAATTACCTGGTCCGCTCCCTGCCTGGGAGGTCAAGGTAAGATGGACTCAATTCCTCTCCTGGTTTCACAGCCTGTAGAAGATGGCTGAAGATTTGGGCTAATTTCGTGAGAGACCTACGTTGCATTTCTTTCTTTTTTTTTTTTTTAGACCAAGTATTGCTCTGTTGTCCAGGCTGCTGGAGTGCAATGGCACGATCTCAGCTCATTGCAACCTCCACCTCCCAGGTACAAGCGATTCTCCTGTCTCAGCCTCCCTAGTAGCTCGGATTACAGGCGTGCGCCACCATACCCAGCTAATTTTTGTATTTTTAGTAGAGACAGGTTTTCACCATGTTGGCCAGGCTGGTCTGGAATTCCTGACCTCAAGCGATCTGCCTGCCTCGGCCTCCCAAAGTGCTAGGATTACAGGCGTGAGCCACTGTGCCCTGCCTTTTTTTCTTTTCTTTTCTTTTCTTTTGAGACGGAGTCTCGCTCTGTCGCCCAGGCTGGAGTGCAGTGGCGACATCTCAGCTCGCTGCAACCTCCGCCTCCTAGGTTCAAGGGATTCTCGTGCCTCAGCCTCCTGAGTAGCTGGGATTACAGGCGCCCACCACCACACCCAGCTAATTTTTGTATGTTTAGTAGAGACGGGGTTTCACCATGTTGGCCATGCTGGTCTCGAACTCCTGACCTCAGGTGATCCGCCCACCTTGGCCTCCAAGTGTTGGGATTACAAGGGTGAGCCACCGCGCCCAGCCCAAGGATTCTTACAGATAGGGCATAGTCTCAGCATCAGACTAATATGGTTATCTTGTTTGCTTTTTTCAAAAAACACCAGCGCCCAGGTAATAAATACAAGGTGAATTTTGTTCCAAGTACATCTAGCCTCTCTCCCCATCTCCAGTCCCTGCTTTAGGATCCGTGGGGAGGGCATGGAAATTCGTTTTGGGTTGTTTACCTGTGACTTCACCCTACTCATCATTCCTACTTACATCAAAAAAGACACAGCAGATACGACTGTGTTTGCAAAGTTCTGCCTTTTGGATAAAGTAGTTTATGCCCATCCTGTGCTTCTCTGAGTTTCTGAGGTCAGGCCAGGAACCAACACTCTCAACCTGCCCAAGGGAATGGGGAGGAAGCCAGCGAAGTTGCCTCAGATCAAGAGGATTTTTAAAAATACTGCAAAAGAAATACGTGCTCACAAATACTCAGCTAAAACCTTCGCAGAGCTGTCAGAGGACAAAGCTTTTGGAGGGAGTGGGTGGAGCTAGAGATTGCACAGCCGCCACCAGCCTACAAAGGTCAAATCTCACACTCTCAGATCCCTAATTCCGAAGAGCCATTTCCTCGGCAGCCCCAGGCTTTGGCCGATCGCTCCCAGATCCCTCCCTCCCCAAACTGCAGGTGCTCCGCGTGTGGGAGTCACGGATGGCCCCAGAGCCCGGGACGTTAAGGCCGAGCGCCCGCGCCTCCGCTTCTCCACAGCCACCTGACGGCCAGGGGCAGGTGGGGGAGCCCAGCCTTCTCCCTGCCCGGGAGACAGCGCGGGAGGGCTGTTGCAGGGGTGGGCAAAGTCCCTCGAGTCCCCGTTCTGGGGCGGGGGCGCGCGCCACTGTCACACTTCAGGCGTCCGCCACGCCGCCAGGTGTGCTCGGCCGACCCGGAAGTAGCGGCACCTCTAGTGCGCTGCGGAGACGTCACCCTGCCGCGGCACAGGGGCGGGAGCGCCTGTGGCTCTGCGCACTTGCGTCATCACGTAGGCTGGCGGGGTCCCGTGATGGGGAGGTGACGTAGGCGACACGGAAGCGGCGGTGGGCGGGGACAGGGAGTTAGCGGAATCTAGCCCCGCCTCTTAAAGCCTCCCAACCCTTTCGGAGTTAGCGCAGCGCGAACGCTGGGTGCGGCGCCTTTAAGCGTCGCGGTGACACGTGTGTGAGGCGCCGGAGGCCCGGATGGTGCGCGTGCTGGGCCGCGGGCCGAAGGAGTCGCCAGGGCTGCGTAGGCTTGTGGCGCGCCCGCGGAGAGGCCGGGGTAGGCTGGGGTCGGGTCGGGGCGGTGCGCAGGCCTGGGGACGAGACCGGGGCGGGGGGTTCCGCGAGGCCTGGGGCGCGGGAAGGGCTGGCGGGCGCAGCCGGGACGCTCAGGGAGAACGTGGGCGCGGGTCCGCGCAGGGCTTCGGCCGTCCCCGAGGAGGACCCGGGATGCTCCGCCCGCTCGCGAGCTCGCTTCTCCAGAGCCCGGGTATTCCCGAGGAGGGTCCGGGGCCGGGCTGTCCTCGCCGGTCTCCGCCGTCCCCCGGGCTCCGGGCCGGTGATGGGGGTCGCCGGGGCCCGCTGTCTGTGCAGGATTCAGGTCAACTTCGGAGAGGTTGAAGTCGGAATCAGGGCGAGGGCGTCGCGTGCGGCCGCAGAGCTCAGCGGGGCGGGTGCGGCCCCGGGGCGGGCACCTTCCTCGTGGTTGCGGAGGAGGCCATGGAGCCCGGGGCGGGGTGCGGTTCCGATGCTGCTGCTTCTGGCGGGTGGCGTGGGGGTCCTGGGCCTGGGGCTGGAGTGGCGGCCGCCAAACCCAGACACACGAGAGGGGAGACTCCGCGCGCCCCCGTTTACGTAACGCTCGCCACGGAGCCATGCTCGGGGAGAGGTGCTCGGGTCGCTGTGTCCGCGGCCGGGCTCGGGGCAGGCGCTGCGGAGTCGCCCGGGAGGCCCCTGGAGCGCGGCGCTGGGCCCCGGGAGGCCGCTGCTTCCGTGGGCTCCTCTCCCCAGCACGTGGTTGACCCTGCGAGCGTCCGTTGCAGTTCATCCTGGAAAAGTGACTTTAGAAGGAGGAGGGAGCGGGAATGAGCCTAAATGGTGCTGGCTGGGGTTCGCGCAGGTGGAAATGTGGATGAGGCCTGTGCTGTCCTTGGACAAGAGAGAGCATCCTTCCTGAGTTGGGTAGAGTGTGGATGGTGTGTGCGTCGGAGGGATTGCTAGTGATTACAGGAACACTTGTCTCGGGCTCCTACACGTCAGAGAGCGAGCGAGCGTTGTTTAGGTTATTGCTTAATGTTTTAGGTGGAATTGGTGAAGTAGAGATTGACCTGTCCCACTTGAAAAATTGTGTTCAAAATCTCTGCATCTACATTAAGGAGTGGGTTAAGTTCAAAGTTACTTATCTCGAGTGAAACTGGGTTACATCTCCCAAGGTTCGTTTATCCCCTCCCTAAGTGGTTCTCAAGCGTTGGTTGTGCATGACAGAGTTCTCACCTTCCAGGGTAGATGTGAGTCCTAACCGAAAGCAGTGATATTGTGGGGAGTTTTTAATACGACTGGATGTCTTCACTTTGTAGATGGCTTTTATTCTGAGATCATTTCCTTACACATTTTTCGGGAGTTGGTATGCTTTTATTTATGGATGAAGTCATAGGTCTGAGATTTGCTGTAGAATTACCTGGGGATGGGAAGTGACTCAGGATGGGTCAGATGTAGTTACTGAGGCTGAATAAGGGGGGCTCATGTGCTCCCTGTGCGGTTCTCCATCTGTGTGTTTGAATGTTTTCACTGTAAACTGTTTTTACGAACCTTAATTTTATGTAATCATAGTGATCGTAGATGGTAATGAAAGAGAAAATCCACACTTAGCAAAGCAAAATTTTGGCAACTCCTATTACTCCCTGAGGTTTGTTGTTGTTGTTATTGAAGTTTTACTGGTTCATTAAATCCAAAACTTGGGGATTTATTACCTCTTACTCTTTGGAAATAAGATTAGACTGGAGCTGACTGGCAGGTGTTGGGGAGGTTTTCCTTCTCTGGGCTTGTCTGGGGTCAAGGTTAAGGTGTTCATATCGTGTGCATTACAACAACTGGTGATGAGGTAGTACGGTCCACCCGCCTCATCCTGAGTGCACGCGTGGATGCTCCTTGGACGGCTTTTTCGTGGTAGAGGGTTCCCGGTGCGCGCCGCATCCCTGGGAAGTAGCTGAAGAGAAGGCACAGGAAGAGTCGCCTCCACTGATGGTCTCCCTGTCCCTCCCACAGGCTCTGACGCCCGCTCTGCGGCTTCGGTGTTTGAACAGGCCACAGTCCAGGAGCGCTTACATTCAGGAGCTCCGCGTAGCACCTGCCCAACCAAACTCAGCCCTCCGTTAAGATCCTGGTTCCATGCCGCAGTAGGACAGCAGGCCCAAGTCTGCACATCCCAGGTGAGTCTGCGAGGCTTCTGTGTATTTTTTGATTCCGTTGAATTGTCTGCATGTGACGCAGCAGTGATTGTTCAGTTGGTGAGAAGTCTTTGATAATTCTCATGAGAAAAGGCTCTTTTATTTTCTCAAATCAGACAACTTATAATGCTTTTTTTTAAATAAGCTTCTGAAATTTCTTTACAGAAGTTTTTTGTTTTTTGTTTTTTTTTTTTTTTGAGACCAAGTCTTGCTCTGTTGCCCAGGCTGGAGTGCAGTGGCGCGATCTCGGCTCACTCCAACCTCTGCCTCCCGTGTTCAAGCAATTCTCTGCCTCAGCCTCCTGCGTAGCTGGGATTACAGGCGCCTGCCACCATGCCTGGCTAGTTTTTTTGTATTTTTAGTAGAGAAACATCTTCGCCAGGCTGGTCTTGAATTCCTGACCTCCTGATCCACCCGTCTCGGCCTCCCAAGTGCTGGGATTACAGGCGTGAGCCACGATTTTTTTTGTTTTAAAGATGGGGTCTCACGATGTTGCCCAGGCTGGACTGCACTGGCTATTCACAGGCGTAATCATAGCTCACTGCAGCCTCAGGCTCCTGCCCTCAAGTTATCCTCCCACCTCAGCCTCCCAAGCATCTGGGACGACAGGCCCAGGCCACTGCACCTGGCTTTTCTTTACAGAAGTTTTTGTAGAAAAAGATACTTGATCCATGTATAGAATTAGATGATCCACAGTGATAAATTTGAATGGCTTAATATGAGGTGCTGGAGGAAGTCCTTACTTTCACTAGAGCAGAATTTTGGGGCACACTTGACTTGTTGATTCTCTGAGGGCAGGCTGGGTACTGAATACCAGAGGAAGTCATCATTTTTCTGATGTGAGTGAGCAATTTAAGGGACATATTTTTGAAATTGTGACTCAGATAGTCTGTGCTGTGTTTGGGAAGGTTAAGTTGAGAGGTGGTGGGTAGGGGAGGGCAAGTGGTGGATACAAAGGTAGCGATTGGAGAGGTGCAGGGGTCTCTTCTTGGTTACAGTTTCCATGCAGCTGCACCAACAGTATCGATCCTCTGTTAGGGACTGTAGTATGTAGCAAGCTCTAAAGCACTTCCCAAGCCTATTATTTTTGTTGCTATTTTACAGTAGAATAGGGGGTTTGGAGAAGTCATAGTAGTTGTCCCTGGGTTTCATAGCTAAGGATGATAGAACCTCCCGGGGCCACCACATTCCAAAGCCTGTGATCTCCCCACTCTCCTGCTTGGCTTTTCTTCTTCTCTTTTGATAAGAGTCCTGGGAAGACATTTGTTTAAGTTTAGGTGTCTAATGGATACTAGTCTCTAGGCCTGCTACTTGCTTTTCTTCTCCTTCCTCACTTTTAAAAAGATAATTTGTACTCCAAGCACTGTGTAATGGAGATTAATACAAGCCACAAATATAATTTAAAATTTTATAGTAGCCACATTAAAAAGAAGCAGGTGAAATTCATTTTCATAATTTATTTAACTCAATATATATAAAATATTACCATTTCAACAGGTAACTGATCTAAAAATTACTGGGATGTTTTACATTCTCTTCTTATACTAGTGAGTATTTCTCTTCAAAATCTGGTGTGCATTTTACACTTATAGCACCTCTCAACCTGGACTAGCCTCATTTCACATGCTCAGTAGCCACGTGTGGCCTGTGGCCTTCATATTGAAGAGTGCAGGTCTGTACAGACATGCATGCTCATCTGACCTGCATGCTAATTCATTTATTGCGTGGGTGTGTGTGTGTGTGTCCGTTTGTGTGTGTGTGTGTGTGTGTCCGTGTGTGTATAACCAGTTTGTATGTGAGAATTAGTGTGCCCCTGTTTTGGAGCAGACATTTGGACCACGTGATGACCTTTGGAAGGAAATGGCACCAAGAATGATGTCCAGAGCCACTTGATGAGTATCTGATGAAGAGATGCACATGGCAGGGGCTGTCTGGCTGCCTCAGGGCCACTGTTGTCTGCTCACCTCTATTTGTAGTGGCATCTTATCTTTTTGTGGGGGAAATGTGAACTAATATGTCCAAGTGATTAGTGCTGGGTCTCCCTGTTTCCTTTGTGCAGCTGATCCAGGGGATCACTGATCCAGGGGAGCTTTTGTGGTGGCTAGCATCCATAATGACCAAAGAGGAGATCTTAAGAGATGTTTTTGTCCCGGGATTTCGTTATCTATGGCTCTATGTTTCTTCTTGTCCCCACAGTGATGCACCATGCCAATAGTGGATAAGTTGAAGGAGGCCCTGAAACCCGGCCGCAAGGACTCGGCTGATGATGGAGAACTGGGGAAGCTTCTTGCCTCCTCTGCCAAGAAGGTCCTTTTACAGAAAATCGAGTTCGAGCCAGCCAGCAAGAGCTTCTCCTACCAGCTGGAGGCCTTAAAGAGCAAATATGTGTTGCTCAACCCCAAAACAGAGGGAGCTAGTCGCCACAAGAGTGGAGATGACCCACCGGCCAGGAGACAGGGTACAGATGTGCAGTGTGCTGGCAGAGAGGCCCTCACTCCGGGGTGACGAAGTGGATGGACTTAAATATTGACTAATTAGTAGGAAAAACAAGAGAATGTGGTCAAAGAGTTATGAATTTTTACATGGGGTCAGTGGATTTCAGTTATAGAAGTAATGATACAGGGTTGGTAGCAAGGAAATCTGTGTGCTTGGTGGATCTGTGTACTTGGTGGGTCCTTGGACTTGCTGTCCCCCTATCCCAAGTATAATACAGTCGAAAGTCAGGCTTGGAACTAAGAAAGAGAAATGGGGTGGGCTGCATGTGGGCACAGTGTGGTGCAGAGTGCCAGGCCTGGCTCCTTCCGCCACTCAGTCTCTGAGCTGTGTCCTCCATCTATAGAGGGGCCCTTGAATTCTTTAGCCAAGCAGCCTAGGAGGTCCGTGGGATGGCTGGGTTTACTCCTGAGCTTTCCAGGAATGTCCTGTAAACCAGAACACCAGTTCTTCTCTGGTGCCATGTTCCGAGTCACTGCATGCTAAGTGTATGCTTCAGGAGTTTCTTTTTGTGGACGACCTGTGTGTGGACTTACGTCTTCCTCTTTTCTTCCCTTGTCCCTTTCTTCCTCAGGCAGTGAGCACACGTATGAGAGCTGTGGTGACGGAGTCCCAGCCCCGCAGAAAGTGCTTTTCCCCACGGAGCGACTGTCTCTGAGGTGGGAGCGGGTCTTCCGCGTGGGCGCAGGACTCCACAACCTTGGCAACACCTGCTTTCTCAATGCCACCATCCAGTGCTTGACCTACACACCACCTCTAGCCAACTACCTGCTCTCCAAGGAGCATGCTCGCAGCTGTGAGTGTGGGTTTGCAGCAGTGGGGTGGCTGTGGGTCCTCTGGATTAGATAAGCCCATGCACTTGTGGCACTGCTGCTCTCAGTCTGGGTCAAATTTAGGAGGGTAGTTCATAATGTATAGTAACTGATGAAACCTAAATTTGAATCATGCCTGCTGCAGAATGGGCCATGAAGGTGAATCGGTCAGGTGGGGCTGTGTTCGCCAAGCTTTTCTGTAAATAATTACCCAGACAGAAACGTTTTCAAAAGATACTTCCAAAATATATATATATATATATATACAAATATTATTTTTTTAGAGACAGTATCTTGCTCTGACACCCAGGCTGGAATGCAGTGGCTCCATCACAACTCGTTGTAGTCTTGAACTCCTGGGCTCACATGATCCTCCCATCTCAGCCTCCCAAAGTGCTGGGATTATAAGTGTGAGCCACCATGCCTAGCCCAATTGTTTTATGCATCTGTTGTTGTATCAGCATATCTTATGTGTATTATAAAACGTGCAGCCTGGACAACACAGCAAGATCCCATCTCTACAAAAACAAATCAAGGCCGGGCACGGTGGCTCACACCTGTGGGAGGCAGAGGTGGGCAGATCACTTGAGGTCAGGAGTTGGAGACCAGCCTGGCCAACATGGCGAAACCCGGTTTCTACTAAAAATATAAAAATTAGGCGTGATGGGGTGCACCTGTAATCCCAGCTGCTCGGGAGGCTGAAGCAGGAGAATTGCTTGAACCCAGAAGGTGGAGGTTGCAGTGAGCTGACCAAGATCATGCCGCTGCACTCCAGCCTGGGTGACAGAGCAAGACTCCATCTCACACACACAAAAAACAAATCGAAACAATTAGCTGGATGTGGTGGTGTGCTCTATTTGATTAAAATAGAGGTGAAATAAGATATAACTTACCAAAACTGAAAGAAATAGAAAGTGAAGAGTCTTTTAACTATTAAAGAAATTAAAGCATTGGTTAAAAATCTTCCCATAAAAAACCCCAAGCAGAGACAATGTTATTTCTGTGTAACTTTTTTTTTTTTTTGAGACGGACTCTGTTGCCTAGGCTGGAGTACGGTGGTGTGATCTCAGTTCACTGCAACCTCCGCCTCCTGGGTGCAAGCAATTCTCCTGTCTCAGCCTCCCAAATAGCTGGGACTATAGACGCACGCCACCACGCCTGGCTAATTTTTGTATTTTTAGTAGAGATGGGGTTTTACCATGTTGGTCAGGCTGGTCTTGAACTCGTGACCTCAGGTGATCCAACCGCCTTGGCCTCCTAAAGTGCTGGGATTACAGGTGTGAACCACTGTGCCCAGCCAATTTCTATGTAACTTTTAAGAAACAATTCCAATCCTTTACACGTTCTTCCAAAGAATAGAGGAGGAGAGAATCTTTCCCAGCTCATTCTATAAAGTTCCTATAACTCGGATAACAATAATAAGGAAAATGCGAGAAAGAAAATGGATAACCACAACTTCTTCACGAACATAGATATAAAAATTGTAGGAAAATACTACCAAATGACACAGTTTCTAAAAAACTGTAAGCAACTTATGTTTATCCTAGGAATGCAGGATGTTTTCATCGCAGAAAATCTCTAAGTAGAATTCTGGAGGGAGCAGAGCAGTTGAAAACACAGCTCAGGAGCCTGGCCTGTAGGGTTTGCTTCCCAGTTTGCCCCTTAGTAACTGTGAGTTTTTGAGAATGTCCCTGGTCTATGGAAGAATGAGACTGTCTTCCTTACAGAGTTGCGTGAGGCTCCGATAAATTCTGAGTGAGTCAAGTGCCTGGAGTAGCAGCCCGCAAAGAGGGAGTGCTATAGAAGTGACTGCTACTGGCTGGGCACGGTGGCTCACACCTGTAATCCCAGCTACTTGGGAGGCTGAGGCAGGAGAATCACTTGAACCTGGGAGGCAGAGGTTGCATTGAGCTGAGATCACACCACTGCACTTTAGCCTGGGCAACAGAACAAGATTCCGTCTCAAAAAAACATAAAAAAAAGAACACAAGATGGCCATGCAGTGGGAAGTGTTTGTAAACATCTTGCTAATTGCGATGGCTTCATAGCAGCAAAGGTTAATTATCAAGGCATAGTTGTTGAGATGAAGCAGCACATTGTTTGGGGGCGTTTTTTGGAGATGGAGTCTCGTTCTGTCGCCCAGGCTGGAGTGCAGTGGTGCAATCTCGGCTCACTGCAACCCCCGCCTCCTGTGTTCAAGAGAGTCTCCTGCCTCAGCCTCCCAAGTAGCTGGGACTGCAGGTGCCCGCCACCACGCCTGGCTAATTTTGTATTTTTAGTAGAGACGAAGTTTCACCATGTTGACCAGGCTGGTCTTGAACTCTCGACCTCAGGTGATCTGCCTGCCTCTGCCTCCGAAAGTGCTGAGATTACAGGCATGAGCCACCGTGCCCTGCAGAAGCACATTGTTGAGATGGCTAATTGTAGCCCCTATTTCCAGTGGTGACCTTGGTAATTTTGAGGTGGTTCTGGGTGGACTTTCAGTAAGATTTGACTAGATGGCTGTTGTTTTCGTCTCATGGTTTTGGCAGTAAGACTCTGCTATCCCAGGCCTGTCAGGGCTCTTCCACTGTAGAGCTGCCTTCCATTCTTGGTTTCTCTGCAGGATCTTTTTGAGCCAGTTGCCAACTTTGTGAGGATTAATTTAGTTAAAACTAGATAATATCTGTAAATCCCCGTAACCTGGCACAGGTAAGCTGCAGTTTGTTGCAGCATGTCAGCAGCAAGCGTGTGAGTAAGGCAGCCATGGCCATCCCTTCAAGGGGAACGCCTGGTCTTCCTTCCAATACCGGTCCCATGGGCCAGTATCACTGTGAAATATTAGTGCATCTTACTATCTTGGAACATATGAAGAGACGTTGTGGCCTTTTTTTCCTGCACCCCACTGGATCCTGAGTGACCCCTAAGTGGGCTTTGGCTGTGGTCTCCCCCTCCTAGCACATGGCATTTGAAGAGTTGAGGATCCTAAGGGGTGTTTGTTCTGACGAGGGTCCACTGTGCACGTGGCACGGAGCAGCAGCTCCTGCCGTAGGCTGGACTGTCTCTGGCGCTAATATTTAGCTAGAAGAGAAACACTGTGTAAATAGTCTAGGAGGAACGCAGTTCAGTCCTGTCCTTTTGTTTCCCAAATCTCTCTATGTCCGTGTAGTCATGGATTGACTTTTGAGTTATATTTTCCTAAATTACATGAATAAATATTTGTCCATGTGCCACTTAAATTAATCTCATATATTGCTGGAGAACCTGGCTTAGATTGTTATTTACCCTGTTAAGAGTGATATTTTATTAGGCTGAAAGAAGCTTTTTTTTTTTTTTTTTTTTGAGACAAGCTCTCACTCTGTCACGCAGGCTGGAGTCCAGTGGTGTAATCATAGCTGACTGCAACCTCCACCTCCCAAGCAATCCTCCCACCTTAGCCTCCCAAGTAGCTGGCACTATAGACTCATAGCACCATGCCCAGCTAATTTTTTTTTTGTATTCTTTGGGTAGAGATTTGGTTAGGCAGTGTTGCCCAGGCTGGTCTCAAACACCTGGGCTCAGCGATCCTCCTGCGTCAGCCTCCCAAAATGTTCGGATTATAGGTGTGAGCCACCATGCCCAACCAGCAGCGTTTTATATATAATGATTAGAGGCTTAATTTCTACACAGTTTTTTGAGACAGAGTCTCTGTTGCTTATGCTGGAGTGCAGTTGCCACAGTCTCGGCTCACTGCAACCCCCACCTCCCAGGTTCAAGCGATTCTCTTCCCTCATCCTCCCAAGTAGCTGGGATTACAGGTGACTGCCACCACACACGGCTAATGTTTGTATTTTTAGTAGAGATGGGGGTCTCACCAAGTGGCCAGGCTGGTCTTGAACTCTTGACCTCACGTGTTCCACCCGCCTCACCCTCCCAAAGTGCTGAAATTACAGGTGTGGGCCCCCATGGCCATTTTCTTTTGTAGTAAAACTGTATCTTACCTGAAGTTAGGTTTTGGAAAAAAAAGAGCTCTTCAATATTTATGTTGTCCCTTTTTTTTTTTTTTTTTTTTTTTTTTTTGAGATGGAGTTTCACTCTGTCGCCCAGGCCGGAGTGCAGTGGTGTGATCTTGGCTCACTGCAACCTCCGCCTCCCAGGTTCAAGCGATTCTCCTGGCTCAGCCTCCCGAGTAGCTGGGACTACAGGCACGTGCCACCATGCCTGGCTAATTGTTTGTATTTGTAGTAGAGACGGGGTTTCACTGTGTAAGCCAGGATGGTCTCAACCTCCTGACCTCGCGATCCACCTGCCTCGGCCTCCCAAAGTGCTGGGATTACAGGCGTGAGCCACTGCATCTGGCCTGTATTTTCTTTTAAATGACATAATTTTTGCCTAATTTTGAGTTCACCAATCATTATTGTCATTTTAAAAATAAAAGTAATAACATGGATATAGTTAGAAAAGGCAAGCAGAAGTCTAAAATGAAAAAAACCTCCCCTTTATGTAAAGGCAATCTCATGGAGAGTTTTTTACATCTCTTCAAGAAGAATTTTGTGTAAATAATAGCATTTTAATGTCTATTTGCTAAGCAGGCTGCATGCTGTTGCATTATTGATTTTGAAGTCTAAGGAGTTGGAGATATTGCGGGGAAATGATTTGGGTTGAGTTTTGTGTTATGAGATGGATCTATTTGATAATAGATAATAGGTAATGCACTGTGTAGTAGACAACAGTATCTAGCAGATTTGAAGGCGTGCTTGCCCTTTGGTCCAGAAATTTGTCTTCTGAGCGTGTACTTTAGAGAAACTGACCCATGTGCTCAAGGAGACAGGTGCAGGATTGTTCATTGCAAAATGTCTATGATAGCAGAGAAAATGGAAAGGCTAAATGTGTGTTAGTGGTGGATACATAAATAACAGTGGTCTCTTCATTCAGTGAAATATTCTAGCTGGAAGATTTGAAGGAACTGGAGCTATGTCTAGCAACATGGATTTTTGTAAAGCCATTGCTGAATGATACGTAACTGCATGATACGATTTATAGAAAGGAAGTTTGGAAACATGTAGCTACAGTGCCATTTATTGTTCATGGATACACATGTGTGTGATAATACATGAATGAGAACGATAATTGCCTAATTCAGGATAGTGGTGACTTTGAATGAAGGTACATGGAAAATGGGGTTGAGAGAGATTGAGGGGAGTTCGGCGATCACAGCAGTGTTTATTTACATCATAATTTGAAAGGTAAAAATGTACCACTGTCGGGGCTGGGCTCGATGGCTCACGCCTGTAATCCCAGCACTTTGGGAGGCTGAGGCAGGTGGATCACAAGGTCAGGAGTTCGAGACCAGCCTGGCCAGCATGGTGAAACTCTGTCTCTACTAAAATACAAAAAATTAGCCTGGCATGGTGGCACGAGCCTGTAGTCCCAGCCACTTGGGAGGCTGAGGCAGGAGAATTGCTTAAACCCGGCAGGCGGAGGTTGCAGTGAGCCAAGATTGTGCCACTGCACTCCAGCCTGGGTGACAGTGAGACTCTGTCTCAAAAAAAAAGGACCACTGTCTAGCCTAATGCCTAGTGAGGCGTTTTATGTAGCGCAGGGGTGGGCAGACTCATCTGGCCTGCTCTCTGTGTGTGTAAATAAAGTTTTATTGAACACGTTCATACCCCATTGTTCATATATTGTCTATGGCTGCCTCCTCTACAATACAGGAGCATAGTTGTGACTAGACTGTATAGCCCTCAGATAGGAAAGGATTTGCTATCTGGATCTTCCCAGAAAACATTTTCAACCCCAGATGTATCCTAGCGAGGTGTTTACTAGAACCAGTGGAACAGACGGTCCCATATCTGAGGCACTACTAAGGGGCTGTCAGCCCTAAAATATTTTAGCCTATTTACCATGTGATGCAGCTTAGAAATTCGAGAATACATCGTTTAAGCTTCATTTTGAAAATCTGCCTTAGTCTTTTTATAAGTAAATAATACTAGTGAAATCTGAAAAGGATCATGCACAGGTCAGCATTAATGTGGGGTGATGGTGTGAGGTTGTGATGGTGAGAGTTTCAGCTTTGGATGGATCATAGCTTCCAAACGCCATCCAGCAGAGAATAACATTTCCTTGGTGGTCACCCAGTCAGCAGAGGTCTGGGATCTCTGGCTCAGCCGTTCTCTCACAGCCTGGTTTGCTCTTACCTGCTTGTGTTTCTGGCTGTGTTAACGTTTGGGGTGGGGGCCTCACCGTGAGTTCTTTGAAAGCTCTTGTCTTAAAATTGCTCCTCCTTCCACGCCGGCAGGCCACCAGGGAAGCTTCTGCATGCTGTGTGTCATGCAGAACCACATTGTCCAGGCCTTCGCCAACAGCGGCAACGCCATCAAGCCCGTCTCCTTCATCCGAGACCTGAAAAGTAAGCATCAATCCATGTTAAAATTTTTGTGATTTATTTATTTTTTAATTTTTTGTAGAGATGGGGTTCTCGCTATGTTGCCCAGGCTGGTCTTAAATTCCTGGCCTTAAGCAGTCCTTCCGTTTTGGCCTGCCAAAGTGTTGGGATTACAGACACGAGCCACTGTGCCATTCTCCATCTGTTACTGAAGGCCTGCTAAGTGCTCGCCCTGTAGGAGGTGCTGGGGAGTTGGTAGAAGGGAGAGAAGAGTGAGTCATGGATGAAGTCTTGGGAATCCCTCTGTGCTAACAGCCCTGCATGTGGTGGTGCAGACTCAAGGAATAGCAGTTTAGAGACATGTGGGCTGGGGTCAGTGGGGAAGCCTCTTAGTGGGGGCAGGTCAGGACAGGTAGCTTTTCCTTTGGGCAGGTGGAGGAGTTATTGTGTATTTGGGGCAGGCAGGTGGGCCTGAGGGAGAGCTGGGAGGAGGGATGGATGAGGAATGTACCAATTCCATTCTGAATATCAGGAATCAGTTGCCTATGCTATAAAAAAGTCTCATTCACATTCACTTGGCAGAAAGAAGAGGCCTATTACCGGTTTTTGAAATCTGTGTAAATTGTAGCACTGTGAAATACTTACTCACCTGTGTTTTATATTGGCTTTTGGAGAGATATTCAATGGATTTTACATTCTTTTTGTTTGAGACAGGGTTTTGCTCTTATACCTAGGCTGGAGGACAGTGGTGCAATCACAGCTCGCTGCAGCCTCAAACTCTTGGACTCAAGCAGTCGGCCTTGGCCTTCTGAGTAGCTGGGATTACAGGCGCACCACACTTGACTGTTTTTGTATTGTTTGTAGAGATGGGGTCTGGCCATGTTGCCCAGGCTGGTCTCCAACTCCCAGCTCCAAGCGATCCTCCTGCCTTGGCCTTCCAAAGTGTTGGGATTACAGGCATAAGCCATTGCATCCTGCCGGATTTTACATTCTTTATTCTTTTTCTTTCTGAGATAGAGTCTTGCTCTATTGCCCAGGCTGGAGATTGCAGTGGTGAGATCATAGCTCACTGCAGCCTCAACCTCCTAGGCTCAACCCATCCTCCTGCCTCAGCCACCTAAGTAGCTGGGACTACAGGCACATGCCATCATGCCTGGCTAATTTTTTTATTTTTTATTTTGGTAGAGATGAAGTCTCCCTATGTTACCCAGGCTGCCCTCGAACTCCTGGGCTCAAGTGATCCTCCCACCCAGGCCTCCTGAAGTGTTAGAGTGACAGGTGTGAGCCACCTCACCCAGCCGGCATTTTACATTTTTGAGGGCTTGGTGTTCTTCCTTGTCTGTGCAGTAGTGAATGCTCAAGCCTGCAATCTTATTGAGAAAGTGGTGGCCATGATGAATTGTGATTGGGATATAGAAAATCCATGTAGAGCTCTTGTTTTCCTCACTTGTTCCTTTGAAAAGTTGCAGTATTTTCCCCTTATAACAGCCAGGAATGGCCATTCAGGAAAGCAGCCGCAGGCCGTTTGATGAGAAGACACGAGCTCTTCCCTCCCTGTTTCTTCCTCTTTTAGAGATCGCCCGACACTTCCGCTTTGGGAACCAGGAGGACGCGCATGAGTTCCTGCGGTACACCATCGACGCCATGCAGAAAGCCTGCCTGAATGGCTGTGCCAAGTGCGTGCTTCCCCACCCACCCTCCCAGGGCTTTGGACACCTTTTCTACATGGTGGCAGCAGAACATTCCTATGGCAACAGCCAGCCCGGCACCTTTCTACCCAGGCTGCCCTTGGGTAGACGTGGCAGAATTTGCCTCTGGGTACTCAAACTGTTGGAGCCCAAATAGGGGATTGCCCTTGCTTCCTGGGAAAGGGCTGTCTCCGGAGACGTCCTGCTGGTCCGGGGCGGCTTGGTAGGATCGGGTGGCTGTGGTGGCGGCAGCTGTGTCTGAGCAGCTCAGTCAGGGGGAAATATGTTAGCAGACCTTCTTAGGGGCATTCAGTTCTTACCATGGACTTTTTCAGTCTCTTAAAAATCATGTCGTTTTTGAAAAGAGGTTGGGGTGGTAGGAATGAGGTCTCTGCAGTATAATTTATATGTACATGTATATGTACAAACAGGGAGCTTTAACATGAGGAGGTTTATAACTTTAGGATCTGACTGTGCCTGGCTGCTGTTTCTTATTCACACGCCACGTAAGCCCTTATATGTGATGGTTGCCATCACAAATTGTCTTTGTGTCATTCCTGAGTTCATAGGTTCAGACCAAAGAAAACAGGCAGGAAATGCTTAGGACTTCCTTGTATTGCCTCAGCTTAGGATCGTAGAAATACTTTAAATAGTTTAGGGAATATACCTAGAATGTTCTTTAGAGAAGTTGAGTTGTGGCAATAAGTGATTGAAATGGCAAAACTACTGGCCTCAGTGGATGATATTCTTACGTAAATAAGACTTACAGAAAGAAAACTGCTTTTGAGACAGGAGTCTTGCTCTGTCGCCCAGGCTGGAGTGCAGTAGCTGGGATTACCACCGTGCCTGGCTAATTTTTGTATTATTAGTAGAGACAGAGTTTTGCCATGTTGGCCAGGCTGGTCTCCAACTCCTGGCCTCAAGTGATCTGCCTGCCTTGGCCTCTTAGTGCTGGGATTACAGGCATGAGCCACCATTCCTGGCTTAAGAAAACTTACTTAAATCACTTATATGAAGGCAACTTTCACTGCACTCCTAGGATGCATTCCTTTTTGTCTGTTTTGAGGGTTTGGTCACGCGTTCTTCCCCTTCTCCTGAAGGGGCTCAAGCTTCCTTGCTCCCTGTATGATCCCAGGTCTGCCCTTCAGTGAACTGGGTAATTGAACTGCTGTTCCCTGTGTGCTGGGCCCCATAGCTAGCACTGGGAACTGAGAGGTAGAAGCCATGGTCCTGGAGTCTGTGGAGCTCATGGTGTAATTGGTGAAGACAGTGGACCCCAGCAGCGTTTGCAATGTGGTGTGGCCAATGCTGTGATAGAGGGATATTACCTCACCCAGAGGCGGCTTCCTGGGAGAAGTGACCCCCGAGGGCCTGCAAAGGCAAGTAGGTGTCCCCAGGAGGAGGGTTGCGGTGTCCCCAGCACCTGCAGGGGGAGTGCAGCGAGCCTATAGCAGGGGGCCTGGCTCTGGGCACAGGGTGCAGCCACCTGGAGCGCTCTTAGGACAGAAACTGACCCCTGGGCTTCAGTCAGTCCAATTAACCAGAGTCTACGGTGGAAGAAATTCGTGAGGAGTAGGATGGGAGGTAGAATGAATAACGGTTTGGATTTGGGGCTGTGAGATGGGAGGAATGCAGGTCTGCGGTCTGGGCATTGGGGTGGGTGGTGGTGAGCCATTCGTTGGTACCAGGATTGCTGGAAAGAGGAGGGAGGCCAGGTGTCAGGTGGCCAGGCATTGCCAGGGGAGAGATGAAGGCTCACCAGATGTCGGTCCATGAGGGAGCTTTCACTGGTCTGTAGTGAAATGTGGAGTGAGAAAAAATAAGAATGACACCAATGGTGAGCTTCTCATAAAGCAAATTATTCCATTTAATTTGCAGGTGGAGGGGCCTTTTTGTCTTTTGCTTCTGTAGATGACTTTTGATGTTACTTGCATTATGATCAGAGCGTGTTGATAATATTTCTACTTCATGGAACTTCCTGATGTTTTCTCCGTGATTATAGGTGACCAGCGTTTGTGAATGTTTCCTGCATGCTTGGCGGTGGCTGCTGAGACTGCCAGGGTGTTGGTTTGCTCCTCTGTCCATGGATGGGTCTACTGATGATGCAGTTTTCATTTTCTATATCCATGTGCTCTTGTCCCCTTCATCTGTTTGGAATAGTGTGTTAAGTCCATGATTACTGGAATTCTGGTGGGTGCCTGTCTCCTTGCATCTCCTCTAGTTTTGCTCTATACAGGTGGTTGTGGTTAGATATTCGTAACTGTCATGTCTTCATTGAGGATCGTTGCTTTTAGCATTCTGAGTGTCTTCACTTGTCACGTGGAGTGGCTTTTGTTCTGAATTCTGCCATGGCCAGTGTCAGTGCTGCAGCCCCTGCTTTTGCAGGGTTTCCGCCGGCCCCTTGCTGTCACTTTCTGAACCCTTTCTTAGAGGCGTTCTTAAGATCTGTCTTGTTTTGTAAGCCAAAATGACCATCTTTTAATAGGCAGGTTAAGCCCCTTCACATTTCCTGTTATGACTGAAAAGTTTGGTCTCAATTCTGTCATATTTATGTATTTTATAGTAATTATAGGTAGCATATTTACTGTGCTTATTTCTGATTTTTCTTTATTTCTCAAATTTCTTTGGATATTAGGAAGATGTGTGTTTTTGTTTTAATGGCTACCTTTGTACATAAACCATTCTTTTTGAGACAGGGCCTTGCTCTGTCTCCCAGGCTAGAGTGCAGTGGTGCAATCTCCGCTCACGGCAGGCTCCACCTCCTGGACTCAAGCAATCCTCCTGCCCAGTAACTGGAACTGCAGGCACGCTCCATGCTGCCTGCTGGTTTCATACGCCCTTTTGAAATGCACCTGGTCCTGTTTTCCTCGCTCCTCACTGTCTGATTTGGCAGTCCACCGTGGTACCCTTTACTTCCTAGCTCTTTTCCTCTCCTCTCTCTCTTGCCATTTTAGCGTGCATGATTTCATTTTTTTTGTTGGCACCTGTAAGGTGGTATCTTTTTCTTGCCCAGCCTTGGGTTATGGTTACATCTTCCCATTGCTCATTGCCCACCCTCCAGTTGGCACCTCTGGTGCGCTCCTGGCTGGGTGAAGCCCGGCCTCTCATAAGTTCCTCCAGGAGGGCAGCTGTGTGTGGCACTCTAGTTCCAGAAATGAGGCCACTCTCACTGTGTTGAGGACGTTCGGCTTGGAGTTTTGGTGGCTGTGTCCTTGGCATCATGTCTGTTTTCTGGAGCTAGTTTGCATCCCATGAGGTGTTTTGATTCTTGTTCATTGCTGCTTTGTGCTTGAAGCACTTTGCATAGACTGGGCCTGCTTTCATTTATCTTGTGGGTCGGCTGGTTTTCAAGATTCGTATCCAGAGCGCCTCCTCTGTCTGCCCCGTGCAGTGCACTTTCATGGTTGGCTTTTCCTCTGGCAGCAGAAGGGTCGATAGTCTAGGATAGTTTTGAGTTTTTTTCAGGACCCTGATGTTTCCCCTTTTGCCTCTCTTGCCCTTCACTGCCCTTCTAAGGCTGCCTGCCTGCCTCTTTGCCTTCTCCCCCTGAGAGCCCATGCCTGTGGAGACTGCTACTCCAGCTGCGTGCCTGTGAGACCCCATATTCAGCACTTCACTTCAGGGTGCCCTTTGCAGCTGTGATTCCGGGTGGCTCTCGGGCCACCTCCTGCCCCCTCCTCCATTCTTGCCCAGCTGTTCTCTACTGCCCTTTGTCCCCAGGCTCAGTGGGATGCCTGTGGGAGCTCGCTGTCACTCAGCTTGCCTTTCCTCCTCCTGGGGAAGGTGACAGTTGTGCTTCCTCTGCTTTGGGTTATGCAAGAGGGGATTCCTTGTGGCCCTGCGGGCGCTGGTGCTTGCGGGCTTCTGGATGACAGAGGGGTTGTGGGGGTGGTCTGGATTTTGGTAGCCGCCATCACACGCAGCTACCCACAGTTCTCAGTCCATGCAGAGATTACGTCCTTGCTAGTATTTGCAGTTAAAAGGTCACTTTTGAAGAATGGTGGGACAGTAGATGGTGGCAGTTGATTTTTCATTTTCTAACTTTGCAGAATAAAAATTGAATGATCCTGTATTGGTCCCCCAAGTATTTCAGAGCTCCCGGAGTCTGGGAAGTGCCATGGTAAATAGTCACACAGGCCAGATGAGAGACTGAGGTGTGCATGTTCTGTGGGAGGGGAAGTGTAGCCTGCGGGTGTGGAATGGTCTGGGTGGCCGTGGGAAACGTGGAGAGAGCCCTGGAAACAGCCCCGCTTTGTGCCAGTGAGGAGTCGGGGAAGCAGCTGGGGAGACGGGGCTGGAGAGCCTGGGGAGAGGGGAAGCTCTTCTGGAGGGAGTGGGTGCACCGGCGCACTGCGCAGCCTCCTAGTAAAGGGCCTGCAGACCCAGCTGGCCTCATGCCTGGAGGCCTTAGGCGACTCTGAGGAAGGCAGTTCCAGAGCAGTGAGTCAGGACCAGATGCAGTGGGTTGCAAGTAGAACCAGGAGCAGAGACTGGATGTGGTGTATTGTTTCAGAACCTTCCAGCGTGAGTAGCTACCATATGGATACGTAGGCGTGGGAGGCGCCAGGCAGCCCCGGGTCCGGGTGAGAAGAGGCCCCAGAGCTCAGAGTGCCTCAGATCCCAGTTAGTGAGCGGTGCGGGGGACATGAATGAGGGCAGGGCTCCTGACCCCGAAGCCCACGTCTGACTCCGCTGTCCTCTCTGAGACGGGTGCAGAGCCGGGGAGATTTGGTCCTGTTTGTGCCTTTGTTCCCACCCCCACCCCTCTTCCCAGATTGGGGACCAGCTGTCTGTGACCAGCAGAGAAGTGGAAGGGTGGGCTGGGTGGGCGCCCTAGCTCAGGGGGATGTTTGGCCTCCCGCCTCACTCTAGATTTGGGTACTTACTTTTTATTGAGACCAAAAAGAAAAGGCAACACTGGGTGAGGATACACGTACATTTCTCGGGGCTTTTATTTTCTGTGAAGTGGGTGGCAGTGGGCATTGTGAAGGTTTGAAATGGCTACTGTGGGTAGTGGGGCCCTGAGGAGGTCAGAGCTCTGCAGAGAGACTGCCAGGCAGCGTGGGCTGAGGATGGAGGTTAAGGGTCTGTGGTGACTCGGGTGGGGGGTGGAGTTTCCCAGCCTCACGCTGAGCTTGTGACTGGTGGGCATGGGGCTGCTGGGATGGGGCCATCCCTCGTGTCATCTTGCTGAGCCCTTCCC
This sequence comes from Homo sapiens, assembly GCF_000001405.40. Lineage (NCBI taxonomy): Eukaryota > Metazoa > Chordata > Mammalia > Primates > Hominidae > Homo > Homo sapiens. Next base: position 78,822,029 of record NC_000017.11, on the reverse strand, counting down.
TTAAAGGCTGGGGTCTCCTTTTCAGGTTGGATCGTCAAACGCAGGCTACTACCTTGGTCCATCAAATTTTTGGAGGGTATCTCAGATCACGCGGTAAGTGGAGACGTTTGTTCTACTGCTTCTTGCCAGGATTAGAACATGAACCCAGGAAACCCTAAGAGTTGGAACGCAGGCTGGGGCTCTTTCTTCGCTGTGCAGACCTGGGTCAGTCTCTGAGGTCTTGAGCCATGGTTTCCTCTGAGACTCTTGGCCCGCCTGGCCACTGGAGCAGTTGTTAGAATATTCCCACGAGGGCTGGGTGTGGTGGCTCACGCCTGTAATCCCAGCACTTTGGGAGGCCGAGGCAGGAGGATCACCTGAGGTCAGGAGTTCGAGGCCAGCCTGGCCAACCATGGCCAACATGGTGAAACCCCGTCTCCACTAAAAATACAAAAATCAGCCAGGCGCGGTGGCACATGCCTGCAATCCCAGCTACTTGGGAGGCTGAGTCAGGAGAATTGCTTGAACCCAAGAGGTGGAGGTTGCAGTGAGCCAAGATCCCACCACTGCACTCCAGCCTGAGTGACAGAGCAAGACTCTATCTCAAAAAAAAAAAAAAAAAAAAAAAAATATATATATATATATATATATATATATATATATTCTCATTAGGAAGTGCCGTGCACGCGTGCAGGGAGGAGGCAGCTCTTCCCTCTGCTCTCCCTCAGCAGGAGAGTACCGCACGTGGTGGTCAGCAGTCCAGGCAGGGAGGGCCCTGTGAGTGCAAAGATATTGACATCCATCTTTGTGAACTTCAGTGGTGAAAGAGAGCTCTCTGTTCGGACACCAGGATGCTTCAGGGGCTAGTGGGAATCTCATCTTTGGCCAAAGCCCTGCTGAGAGTCTGCCTCCCTGCTGGGTCTCGGTCTTGGGAGCTGGGAGTGCCTCTGCCAGGCCCCACCTGCTCCACTGCCTCTGTTCTGTTGCAGTGAAGTGCTCCGTGTGCAAGAGCGTCTCGGACACCTACGACCCCTACTTGGACGTCGCGCTGGAGATCCGGGTACAGATCTGTCCTGCCCTTCACTTTTGCAGTAGGAGAGCGAGGCCAGAGGGTGAAACAGAACCCGCAGAACAGTAAAGGCATCAGATCAAAATAGATAGGGAGAAAACTCCTTTGCTCCCTGCCGCCTTGCAGTACAGACCATTGTCTTTACCTGTTTTTTTCTAGAGTTTTTCCTAAGCGTATCCTTTTATTTAAAGAAAAAAATGGTAAAATTGGGTTTTGTGTCCTGAAGCATGAACAGGAACAACGCTGTCCCCAGGGCTTGAGGAGAGTCTGTTGTGTGCTCTGGGCGGCGTGCAGCCTTTGGAGCTTGGTGGCTCTGTGGGCCTCACCTGGGAGAGCAGCCTTGGCTTTGTCGCACATCCTGCTGCAGCTACAGGGTGCGGGAGGGTGGTCTGCCTTTGCTGGGCCAACCCAAGCTCCAGAGCAGGTCCAGCTACAAGATCATCCTGATAAAAGTGACTGATTCATGGCAGACCTGCAGCTGTCATTTCTTTGCTTTGCTTTTTTTTTATAGGGGCTTGAGGGACAGGGTCTTGCTCTGTGGCCCAGGCAGGAGTGCAGTGGCGCAATCATAGCTCACTGTAGTGTTGACCTCTAGGCTTAAGTGATCCTCCCACACAGCTGGTACTACAGGCATGCACCACCACGCCTGGCTAATTTTTTAAATTTCTTTGCAGAGACAGGGGTCTTGCTATGTTGCCCAGGCTTGTCTCAAACTCCTGGCCTCAATGATCCTCCTGCCCCGGCCTCCCAAGGTGCTGGGATTATAGGCGTGAGCCGCTGTTCCTGGCTGCTTTCATTTCTTGTCTCTGGAGAAGGAGTCCCAATCTGGCAGCTAGTGGGCAAATTTTTATGCGAGTCTAAGTTCTGTGATTTGCTGCCTCAGCCTAAAAAAGACCTTAAATTTGGCATTTCTTGAATCAGCCTTTTTCCTCTGCTGTGTATTTTACTCCCTGTTTTTGTCCTCCTCAGCAAGCTGCGAATATTGTGCGTGCTCTGGAACTTTTTGTGAAAGCAGATGTCCTGAGTGGAGAGAATGCCTACATGTGTGCTAAGTAAGTTTCACGTTGCTTGTGGCAGAAGACTGATACCAGACGGGAAATAAGTCCCCTCACCTGACAGTGTTGTGCCCACCCACTCTTCCTTAGCGGTGACCGCTGCTCGCATTTCTTGAGGAACCTATGTGTGTCCTAAAAACTCAAACTTCTAAATAACACGAATGAAGCAATAGCTATGATTTTTATAGCTACAGTTTACACCATACCTGTTCTAAAGATGCCGCATATATTGTGCAGTAGGGGCTGTGGTTTCCCATTGCTAGGGATGGTGAAACTGAGGCACAGAGAAGTGAAGTGACCAGCCATGGGGCCACACCAAGAGGACGTGGCAGAGCACGAGCTCACATCAGTTCACACTGGCTGGCACCGGGCGGCCGCCCCAGGGACTGTGCCCAACCAGCTGCTCTCTTGCCTCTTAAGGAGTGTTTTCTTTGGCTTTCATTTTTTACTTAACTGGTTTTGGACATTTTTCCGTTTCTGCAGATAGAACTCTTACTTTGTCATTTGTTGCATTTTTAGTAGTGACAGGGTTTCACCTTGTTGGCCAGGCTGGTCTCGAACTCCTGAACTCAGGTGATCTTCCTGCCTTGCCTCCCAAAGTGCTGGGATCACACTACTACAGCCGGCTGAATATCTTTATATCTAGGTCCTTGTAAAGCTGTAGGCACTAAAGAATATATTCTTAATTCTGCTTTACTCTTCTTTAGGTCTGTTTCCTGCAGCTCTCCAAGCTGCGCGCCTCTGCTTCTGTTTTCTCTCCCTGTGTTTGCGCATCTTCTAGCTTTGCTTACGTTGACTTCCTGCCTGCCCGTTTTATCACTCAGCCACATCTGCTTTAATTTGCTCTTTCCTGTGTTGGCCCAAAGCAACTTTTTCCTGTATTTTATTTAGTTTCCTGGTGGGTACAGTACTTTTATTTTTTTGCTTTAGAATCTTCCCACTTTCTGTAGTCTTATTTCCCTGTGGTAGCTTTCCTTTACTTGAGGCATGCTTAATGTGATTTTGAGAGGAGCAGAAGGTCGAAATCTCATTGATGAAGATTCCACTATTACAGAGCAGTTGTTGCTGTTATTAACTTAGCGTTAAGACAACATTTTTCAGAGCACGAATCAATCATTCATTAATCTTTCTCATCACCTTCTTCATAGATGCAAGAAGAAGGTTCCAGCCAGCAAGCGCTTCACCATCCACAGAACATCCAACGTCTTAACCCTTTCCCTCAAGCGCTTTGCCAACTTCAGCGGGGGGAAGATCACCAAGGTGAGCGCTCGTGACACCATCCCAGGCAGCTCCGTGGGCCACAGTCGGCATCAGAATAACACGAAGAAAGTGATAGCCACGAGTTTGATAGCTGCTGTTTACACAGTACCTGTCCCTGTTCTAAAGGTTCTACACATATTGTGAAGTAGGGACTGTAGTTTCGCCCTTGTCCAGGACGGGAAGACAGTCACAGAGAGGGGAAGCAACCTGGGACGCCTTTTAAAAATAGACGTTTCTGGGTTTATCCCAGTGCCAGTGAATTTGAATCTCTGGAGGACAGGGCCCAGGAATCTGCATTTTTGCAAAATCCCTGAATGCTTGTTATACACAGTCAAGTTCCAGGGCCACTGTCTTAATGGATTTACCGCAGCTTCTGGTTGTGCTTGGGCTGGTCCTGGCAGGGACTTTCAGGGTTCTCCAGATGAGTGTGATGAGCACTGGGCGGTGGGACTTGCATTGTCCATGTCCTTTTGATGTCTAGAACAGGTGCCGTTGCATGCTCTGGCTTTTTATGAAATATGGAGTTTAGAAAAACTACTTTTGACACGATGGTATTTTATTGTTTAAATTTCATTTTGTTTTAAGACAGGGTCTCACTCTGTCACCTGGGCTGGAGTGCAGTGGCATAATCAGCGCTCACTACAGTCTTGACCTCCCAAGCTCAAGCGATCCCCCTGCCTTAGCCTCCTGAGTAGCTGGGACTGTGGGCACATGCCACCATGCCTGGTTAATTTTTTAAAAAGTTTTTTGTAGAGACAGCATCTTGCTGTGTTGCCCAGGGTGGTCTCAAACTCCTGGGCTCAAGTGACCTGCATGCCTTGACCTCTCACAGTGCTGGGATTACAGGTGTGAGCCACCATACCTGGCCTATAGTGGCATTTTCATAGAAGATGTGTTTCTTTTTTCTTTTTTCTCTTTTTTTTTTTTTTGAGACAGAGTCTTGCTCTGATGCCCAGGCTGGATTGCAGTGGCGCTGTCTCCACCTTCTGGGTTCAAGTGATTCTCCTGCATCAGCCTCCAGAGTAGTTGGGATTAAGGCGCCCACCACCACACCTGGCTAATTTTTGTATTTTTAGTAGAGATGGGGTTTTGCCATGGTGGCCAGGCTGGTCTCGAACTCCTGAGCTCAGGTGATCCGCCTGCCTCAGCCTCCTAAAGTGCTGGGATAACAGGCATGAGCCACCGTGCCCAGTAGATGTCTGTATCTCATAAAAATCTAGAGTTCTGTTCTGAGAGCCTGGTTATGTGGTTTGGAATGACACCCTTGGCTGAGCCTCCGTTTCCTCACTGGTAGTGGTGGGGGCTTGCTTAGGTCAGCATTTCTCAAATGTGTTTGCAGATTCTTAATGTCGTAGACTCAGGTGTCGTGTAACCACAAGGGCATGTTTTAAGAAATGTGTCACCAGGCAATTCTGTCACTGTGTGAACATCATAGAGTGCATTTACACAGACGTAGATGACGGAGCCAGCTGTATGGTATAGCCCATTGCTCCTAGGCCACAAACCTACACAGCCTGTTCCTGTCCTGAATACTGTAGGCAGTTGCAACACAATGGGAAGTATTTGTGTATCTAAACATAGAGAAGGTACAGTGAAAATGCAGTATTATAATCTTATGGGATCGCTGTTGTATATGTGGTCTGTCATTGACCAAAACATGTTATGTGGCACATGACTGATGGTATGTGACGTTTAAGAACAGGCAAAATTAATGGTGACAGAAATCAGAACAGTGAATATTTGAGATGGGGGCAATGACTGGGATGTGGGAATTTTCTAGTTGATGTTCTGCATGTCCATCAGTATATACTTGTCAAAACTCTTTGATCTATATACTGAAGATCTATGCATTTCAACAAATCCCACAACTCAGTTTAAAAAAATGATTTAGGCTGGGCACAATGGCTCACAACTCTAATGTCAGCACTTAGGGAGGCTGAGGTGGGAGGATTGCTTGAGACTGGGAGTTTAAGACCAGCTTGGGCAACATAGTGAGACCCTGTCTCTACAAAAAAATTTTGGTTTTTTTGTTTTTTTTTTTGAGACGGAGTCTTACTCTGTCACCCAGGCTAGAGTGCAGTGGCACCATCTCAGCTCACTGCAATATCTGCCTCCCAAGTTCAAGCGATTCTCCTGCCTCAGCCTCCCAAGTAGCTGGGACCACAAATGTGTGCCACCATGCTTGGCTAAATTTTGTATTTTTAGTAGAGACGGGGTTCCACCATGTTGGCCAGGCTGGTCTTGAACTCCTGACCTCAAGTGATCCACCCACCTCGGCCTCCCAAAGTGTTGGGATTATAGGTGTGAGCCATCATGCCCGGCCTAAAAAATTTTTATTAATTGGCCAGTCATGGTGGCGCGTGCCTATAGTCCCAGCTACTTGGGAGGTAGAGATAGGAGGATTGCTTGAGTCCAGGAGTTTGAAGTTACAGTGAGCTATGAATGTACCACTGCACTCTAGCCTGGGTGACAGAGCGAGACTGTGTTTCTTAAAAAAAAAAAAAAAAATTATGCGTATGTTTTTCGGAGTTCCTAAACACACGTCTGTATATGACCCAGAATAATGGCAATCCTGTCATGTGGGCTCTGTGCTGTCCTGGTGCACTCAGCCTACAGCTGCCATGCCAGGCACTATTACTGCTAAGAATATATGTGTGTGCATGTATGTATATATGTGTGTGCACGTATTATATGTGTGTGTATGTATATGTGTGTGCATGCATGTGTGTATATGTGTGTGTATGTGTGCGTATGCATGTGTGCGTGCATGTATGTGTTGTGCATGTATGTATATGCGTACATGTGTATGCATGCATATGTGTGTGTGTATGTATATATGTGTGCATGTGTGTATACGATGTATGTATGCATGTATGTATATATGTGTGCATGTATTTTATGCGTGCATGTATGCATATATGTATGCATGTTATGTATATGTGTGCGTGTATTTTTTTCTATGAAAAATTGGTCAGTTTTGGGAAGACATTTTAGCATGACCTTTCTTCTGATCCAGTTGATTAAAAGTCTTACTTGCGGTAGCAGTTGGCTATATTAATTCAGCACTTTTATTTCTGAAGATCTAAAACCCAGCATTCTCTCCCTTTTCTCCCACCAACAATGTTCCTGTAAAGTGGAGGGAAAGAAAATGAGTGACCCTTCTCATTTGATCGTTAGGAACCAGGTGGTGAGAGAACTAATGGAGATGCTTGACAAAGACAAGAACAGATCCTGCATTGCTTGATGGGACAATAAAGTTTCCCATAGGCTGGCTGGAGAAGACTCACTTCTCAGCATCTTGGTGTTTTTTCTTTGTTTGTTTGTTTTGATTGTTTTGAGATGGAGTCTCGCTCTGTTGCGAGGCTGGAGTGCAGTGGTATGATCTCGGCTCACTGTAACCTCCACCTCCTGGTTTCAAGCGATTCTCCTGCCTCAGCCTCCTGAGTAGCTGGAACTACAGGCACGTGCCACCACGCCTGGCTAATTTTTGTATTTTTAGTAGAGACAAGGTTTCGCCATCTTGGCCACGATGGTCTCAATCTCTTGACCTTGTGATCTACCCGCCTCGGCCTCCCAAAGTGCTGGGATTACAGGCGTGAGCCACCGCACCTGGCCAGCATCTTGGTTTTTAATCATTGCCTGGGGGAGCTCCTGCACAGCGTTGCTGCACACCCATTCGCCCCAAATTGTCTTTTTCTTGTTTGTGGCGGGGCAGTTTTGAGACAGTCTCGCTCTGTCGCCCAGGCTGAGTGCAGTGGCTCGATCTCGGCTCACTGCAACCTCTGCCTCGCGGGTTCAAGTGATTCTTGTTCCTCAGCCTCCTGAGTAGCTGGGATTACAGGCAGTGCACCACCATGCCCAGCTAATTTTTTGTATTTTTATTAGAAGTGGGGTTTCGCTATATTGGTCAGGCTGATCTCGAACTCCTCGAGGTGATCCCCCTGCCTCAGCCTCCCAAAGTGCTGGGATTACAGGCGTGAGCCACTGTGCCCGGCCCCCAAATTGTTAAAGACCAGACAAGCTGGGCATTTTGTGTGGTTGTGGATGGAAAGGGCAAATTGATCTTTACTCTCAAAGTGAATTTTATTTGTCTTTTCCTTGATTTTTCAAACAGGATGTAGGCTATCCGGAATTCCTCAACATACGTCCGTATATGTCCCAGAATAATGGTGATCCTGTCATGTATGGACTCTATGCTGTCCTGGTGCACTCGGGCTACAGCTGCCATGCCGGGCACTATTACTGCTACGTGAAGGTGAGAGGCTTGTGTCAGTGCAGCTGCCTCCTGGGACAGGTTTCAGCACCCATGCACATCCAGATGCGGCCTCTGTAGAGCACTTACTTTGTGAAAAGTGTGATGTTTTGTGGTTGTATTCAAGTCCTCGTTGTTGCCTCTCTGCGTGGAGTGAAAAGATGCCCTTTACAGAAGTGTTGCACCAGAATCTAGTGTTCTCAGACTTGCAGGGAGACACGGAAGAGGCAGCCGCTTCTGGTGCCATCCTTAGAACCCTGGCAAAATCGGCCATGGTGATGACACTGCCTGAATGTCCTTTAGAAGGGACAGTTCCTATCTGTTGGGGCACTAGGAAGGAACTGGGACGCAGAGCACACTTTGGGGTCACATTCCGAGTTATGAAAATATTACACGTTTTAATAGAAGTTGTTACCTGTTGATTATTAATAGTGTTTGGAAATGTAGCAACTAACAGATTTTTTATTCCCTTTTTAAAAAGTGAGGATAATGGGATGCTTGTTGATTGTTTTGTTTTCTGCAACATCCTTGGCTGCTTCAGGCAAGCAATGGACAGTGGTACCAGATGAATGATTCCTTGGTCCATTCCAGCAACGTCAAGGTGGTTCTGAACCAGCAGGCCTACGTGCTGTTCTATCTGCGGTAATAAACTCACGCCCTCCCCAGATGAGCTCACTCCCTCTGCTCTTTTCTTATACCGGTGGGCCTCCCTAACCTTTTTTTGTTTGAAGGTAATTGGGAATTCCACTGGAGGGATTTGTCATGTGTCATAGAGACCGTCCACAGGGAAGGACACTTTTTAGTAAAGCCAGAGCCTTGGGAAGGTCAGGACAGGATCCCATCTGCCCTCACATTGATGCTGTTTTGAATGTAAACAGGAAAGTCACCATTTATAGTATTGCCCCAAATTAGAGGTACTGCTCCCTGGATGGTAGCCAGCCAATGCCCCTTCCCGTGTGGGGAAGCTGCCCCTGTAGGGATATGCTGGGAAGGACGTGTTTGTGGGGGTGCTGCTGCAGAGCTTCTCTGGAGGGGCCTTCTCCTGGAGCTGGCTGTCACTGACCTGGAGGCTGGAGACCGTGGCAGCTGAGGCATTTTTGCTGCTTTGTACGTCTCTGCAGAGTGTGGCTGAGGTGTTTGAGGTTCTTGCTTTCTGGTGCATTGAACTCTGATCTTGGAGGAATTCTGACTCTAATTTGCCCTTGCTCTGCTTATATTCAGCAGATACTTGGGGCTGATCTCTCAGCCTCACTGTGGTTGAAAGGCAAAGGGAGATTCCAGAGAAGTGGTTAGGACTGGCAGGGTTTCCCCAGGCCGTGTTTCTGCCTTTGCCCCGCCTTAACTTATTCTAATTCTCTCCGTTTCTGTAATGCCTAGTAAGAGAATTCCCTACTTGTTTTCTTCCTTTGACAGAATTCCAGGCTCTAAGAAAAGTCCCGAGGGCCTCATCTCCAGGACAGGCTCCTCCTCCCTTCCCGGCCGCCCGAGTGTGATTCCAGATCACTCCAAGAAGAACATCGGCAATGGGATTATTTCCTCCCCACTGACTGGAAAGGTATTTGTGAGAATGATGGAGGCCAAAGTGGCTGGTCTTGGTGCTCCTCACAGACCTCCTCACACTTGGGAAGTTGGCCACAGTGGAAGGAATTTGCAGGCAGTTTGCACTATTCTAGTTGATGTTATTTCTTTTCTTTTCTTTTTTTTTTTTTTTTTTTTTCGAGACAGAGTCTCGCTCTGTCATCCAGGCTGGGGTGCAGTGGTGCGATCTCCAATCTCGGCTCACTGCAAGCTCTGCCTCCCGGGTTCCCGCCATTCTCCTGCCTCAGCCTCCCTAGTAGCTGGGATTATAGGTGCCCGAACCACGCCCGGCTAATTTTTTTTGTATTTTTAGTAGAGACGGGGTTTCACCGTGTTAGCCAGGATGCTTTCGATCTCCTGACCTCAGGATCTGCCCGCCTCGGCCTCCCAAAGTGCTGGGATTACAGGCATGAGCCACCGCGCCCGGCCAATGTTATTTCTTAAACTGGTCATCAGCTGACATTGGCTATAGAGAAAGAGGAGACATGAATGAGAAAATTCTGACCCAACAAATTAGAATTGTCATTCACAGATCTGTTCTACTCATGAGACCAGCACCACTTACAGGTGTCGTGACAGGTGTGCCAAGCAAACTTTCTGTGTGCACTCCTTTTATTTCCTTTATAATGCCAAGCAAACTTTTTTTTTTGGAGACAGGGTCTCACTCTGTTACCCAGACTGGAGTACAGTGGCACAATCATGGTTCAGGGCAGGCTTGAGCTCCTGGATTCAAGCCACCCTCCTGCCCCAGCATCCCTAGTATTCGGGACTATCAGTGCACTACCACACCCAGCTAATTTTTAAATTTTGTGTAGAGACAGGGTCTCACTATGTTGCCCTGGCTGGTCTTAAGCTCCTCAGCCCAAGCAATTCTCCTGTCTTGGCCTCTCAGAGTGCCAGGATTACAGGCACCAAGCAAACTCTTAACCGTAAGCGTGTAGGAAAAAATATCCTTTTTTTTTTTTCTTTGAGACGGAGTCTCATTCTGTCGCCCAGGCTGGAGTGCAGTGGCGCAACCTTGGCTCGCTGCAACCTCCACCTCCCAGGTTCAAGCGATTCTCCTGCCTCAGCCTCCCGAGTAGCTGGGACTACAGGCGTGTGCCACCATGCATGGCTAATTTTTTTATTTTTAGTGGAGACGGGGTTTCACTTTATTAGCCAGGATGGTCTCTATCTGCTGACCTCCTGATCCACCCGCCTCAGCCTCCCAAAGTGCTGGGATTACAGACGTGAGCCACTGTGCCCGGCCTGTTCTCACATTTAACGGGGAAAATGTGAGTAGTTTGTACCAATGTTAATTTCCTGATTTGGGTAATTCTGCTGTGGTTATGTAAGAGAGTGTCTTTGTTCTTTGGAAATACACATGGACATATTTTGGGGTAAAAGAACATCATGTCTGCAATTTACTCAAATGGATCAGAAATAGAAATATGTGTATATGCATACGTACATAGTCATACATATATACACACGTACATATACATACAGAGAGAGGATGATAAAGGTTATGTGGTTACAGGTTAACCATTAGGAACTACCCTCTAAGTTACCTTTGTGTGTATTTGAAATTTTCTGCTAGAACTGTTAAGAATTCAGTTTCACTAAGTGGATTCATGAGCAGTTTCCTCATTAGAACACAGTGATCATTTGAAGTGGGGTGGACCCTCTTGATGACTGTTTCTTTTTTTTTTTTTTTTTTTTTTTTTGAGACAGAGTCTCGCTCTGTCACTGAGGCTGGAGTGCAGTGGCGCCATCTCAGCTCACTGCAGCCTCTGCCACTATGCAGCCTCCGCCTCTTGGGTTCAAGCGATTCTCCTGCCTCTGCCTCCTGAGTAGCTGTAATTACAGGTGCCCGCCAGCACTCCCGGCTAATTTTTGTAGTTTTAGTAGAGATGGGGTTTCACCATGTTGGCCAGGCTGGTCTGGAACTCCTGACCTCAAGTGATTCGCTCAGCTTGACCTCCCAGAGTCCTGGGATACAGGCATGAGCCACCGTGCCCGGCCTGGATGACTGTTTTTGATGGATCGTCTTCCTCTCCCTTTAGAATGAAGAGTTGAACCCCACACACAGGCAGTCAGGGCCTTTCACAGTCTGCAGGGGTTTTGGTCATTTACGTACATCTGTATTTCTCTTCACATTAAAGAAAATAGAAGCTGAAATTAGAAGCATTAGAATTGAAGTGGCAGTAAAATACATGATATAATTGCAAAGTTGGTGGTCACTGTAGCCCAGACTAGGAAGTTAGGAAGCAGCCTGGGCCTGGGACTGTGACTCATGTCTGTAATTCCAACACTTTGGGAAGCCGATGTGGGAAGATCAGTGGATCCCAGGAGTTCGAGACCAACCTGGGCAAAACCCTGTCTCTACTAAAAATGCAAAAGCTAGCCAGGTTTAATGGCACGTGCCTGTATTCCCAGCTACTCAGGAGGCTGAGGTGGGAGGATCACTTGAGCCAGGGAGATTAAGGCTGGAGTGAGTCATGATCATACCACTCCACACCAGCCTGGGCAACAGAGCAAGACCCTGTCTCAAAACAAATTTAAAAAGTAGCCTGGGCAACATAGATCCCATCAGCACAGAGAATATTCAGTAAGCTGTTGGGGGAGGATCACTTGAACCCGGGAGGTTGAGGCTGTATGCAGTGAGCCATGATCACGCTGGTGAATTCCAGGCAAGGTGACAGAGTGAGACCTTGTCTACAAAAAAAAGAAGAGGGGGGCCGGGCACTTTGGGAGGCTGAGGTGGGTGGACCATTTGAGGTCAGGAGTTTGAGACCAGCTTGCCAATATGGTGAGACCCTGTCTCTACTAAAAATACAAAAGTTAGCTGGGCATGGTGGCGTGCGCCTGTAATCCCAGCTATTCGAGAGGCCGAGGTAGGAGAATCGCTTGAACCCGGGAGGTGGAGGTTGCAGTGAGCTGAGATTGTGCCACTGCACTCCAGCCTGGGTGACAGAGCGGGACTCCATCTCAAAAAAAGGAAGCAGCCTGGGCAACATAGAAAGACCCCCATCTCCAAAACCCCATCTCCAAAAAAAGTGCAAAAATTAGCCAGGTGTGGTGGTGCACGTCTGTTGTCCCAGCTGTTTGGAGGTTGAGGCAGGAGGATCACTTAAACACAAGGCTGCATTGAGCTATCATTGTGCCACTGCGCTCCAGCCTGGACAACAGAATGAGACCCTGTCTCAAAAAACCCCAGAAAAACAAAGGAAGCCCCACTTGCCACAGGAACTCCATGGGCAGAGTGATGCCCGAGGGTGGAGATTGGCTCAAGGAGAGTCCCTGTGTCAGGCACACCTGCAGGGGCGCTTCACTGACCATGAGCATTTTCATTACAAACGTGATTTTCCAAATACACTGCAAGCAGACGAGCCGTTTTACTCTAAATGACATGGTGCAAGTTCTAGTGTGTATGGAAATGTTCAGCCAGTGAAACGGCTTTGCGGTGCAGTGGAAAGATGAATTCCTTTTAGAAAACAGTATTAACAAAGAATAGAATGTAGGGAACAAAACAAAACTTGGAAGAAAATAGAGGTAAATTCTTAACCTCTGGGAAGGGAAGAAGACTTTGTATGCTTAAAGTTGAAGGATAAAATGTAGAAGAATTATGAATTGACTAAGATTTACATTTTTGTACATAATTTACTACAAACAAATGAAGCAATAAAACCTTGTAAAATATTGTCAACAAAAGGTTAACATTTGTAAACAAAAGATCTCATTCAAATGAAGATCACTTTAGTGCATGTGCAGAGAATATGAATGTTAAAGTGGTAATAGCCCAAACGAGTGTCAAATTAGCAAATGTTTTGAAAAATAGATGTGGCTGGAGTATAGTAAAAGCAGTTTGGCATTTTGCATCAGATTTCATGAAAATGAAATCTGTAATTTCATTTCCAGAAAATTAGCCTTGTAATTCCATTTCCAGAAAATTAGCATGGAGTACTAAGTACAGGAAAAGCTCAACAAATATTTTTTAAGCACCGACTCTATACCAGACCCTTGAGTTGCTGGTGAGGGCTGCAGTGGGAACGAGAGAGATAACGGGTACAGCCTCTTGGTCAAGCAGGGGAAGGCTGACATTCAGCATCTAAATACAGAATAATAAGTTATTTCTATGCAGTTGTAATAAGTGCTCTGAAGGGTAAAGGATACACACACATATACTGTACAGTATTTTTAATTTCAACAGTTGGAGACAATATAGCTTATATAAATTAACCATACAGTTAATGTGTATCAGTAGTACATAGTATATATAGTAAAATGTCAAAGACAGGCCGACAGGCAGGGTGCAGTTGCTCAGGCCTGTAATCCCAGCACTTTGAGAGGCCAGGGTGGGAGGATTGCTTGAGCTCAGGAATTCAAGGCTAGCCGGGGCAACATAGCAAGATCCCCATCTCTACAAAATAGTAATAATTATTCGGGTGTGGTGGTCTACTCCTATAGTCCTAGCCAGTTGGGCAGCTGAAGTGGGAGGATCTCTTGAGCCCAGAAGGTTGAGGCTGCAGTGAGTTATGATGACATCATCATGCCACTGCACTCCAGCCTGGGCAACAGAGCAAGGCTCTGTCTTAAAGATATTTATTGAGAGTTATCGCCCATAAAAATGCTTGAGATAATAGCTTTAAGATAAAACTGGGATGCAACTCTTCAGGCCAGAACCATTTGGAAGAAAAGATTGAAAAAAGAAAGCACTAGAATGTTAATGCATGGTTATGTTTAGGTGATGGAACTTTGCTAAATTTCTTCCTTTATACTTTTTTCTCTTCCCAAATCTTGATGAAAATGTACTGGTTTTATAGTAAAGGTGGCCATAAAGATATGTATTCAGGCCAGGTGCTATGGCTCACACCTGTAATCCCAACACTTCTGGAGGCTGAGGCAGGTGGACTGCTCGAGGCCAGAAGTTTGAGACCAGCCTGGCCAACATGGTGAAACCCCATCTCTGTCAAAAATACAGAAATTAGCCAGGTGTGGTGGTACACGGCTGTGGTCCCTGTTCTTGGGATGTCACAGAACACCAGAATTGTTCAGAGAAGCCACAGTGTCTTTACCAAGAGTCCAGATAAATAATTTATCTTGAGCATGCTAATCAGAGGCCATGCCTGCTACTAAGATTCACTGTGGCCTTAAGAAGATGTGGCCCAGCTGAGACTTCTCGCTTCCTCAGTTGTGTTTTCTGCTTTGGTCTCCTTAGCGACAAGACTCTGGGACGATGAAGAAGCCGCACACCACTGAAGAGATTGGTGTGCCCATATCCAGGAATGGCTCCACCCTGGGCCTGAAGTCCCAGAACGGCTGCATTCCTCCAAAGCTGCCCTCGGGGTCCCCTTCCCCCAAACTCTCCCAGACACCCACACACATGCCAACCATCCTAGACGACCCTGGAAAGAAGGTGAAGAAGCCAGCTCCTCCACAGCACTTTTCCCCCAGAACTGCTCAGGGGCTGCCTGGGACCAGCAACTCGAATAGCAGCAGATCTGGGAGCCAAAGGCAGGGCTCCTGGGACAGCAGGGATGTTGTCCTCTCTACCTCACCTAAGCTCCTGGCTACAGCCACTGCCAACGGGCATGGGCTGAAGGGGAACGACGAGAGCGCTGGCCTCGACAGGAGGGGCTCCAGCAGCTCCAGCCCAGAGCACTCGGCCAGCAGCGACTCCACCAAGGCCCCCCAGACCCCCAGGAGTGGAGCGGCCCATCTCTGCGATTCTCAGGAAACGAACTGTTCCACCGCTGGCCACTCCAAAACGCCGCCAAGTGGAGCAGATTCTAAGACGGTGAAGCTGAAGTCCCCTGTCCTGAGCAACACCACCACTGAGCCTGCAAGCACCATGTCTCCTCCACCAGCCAAAAAACTGGCCCTTTCTGCCAAGAAGGTGGGTGTGTGGGGGTCTCGCCGCTGCTGTGTATCAGGAGAGCTCCAAGAGTTGCTTGGTTGTGGTTTGAAGGGAGTGAGAACATTGTCCGGGGGCTTTGGCCTCCCTCATGTTAGAGGAACAAAGTGTCTTTTAGTCGTTCCCAGCCATTTGCAATTAAAGAACGGCTATCTTGGGGTGAAGGCAGTATGGGGTGTTGAGAGAGCCCTGATCTGGTGATGCTCATGTGACTCATGGAGGTTTGGGCAAGGTAGCAGTTCCCTGTTTTCACAGTAGGTGGAAGATCCTGACTGAACCCGAGGGAGGGTGGGCCCCACCAGCACGTGTCCCTAGCAGGGGTGGGGCGGGCAGGAAGCGCAGAGCCCCAGTGGGGTGCCCGGCACCTCTGCAGCAGGAAGCTTGGGCAGCCACGGCACGTGGATGTGATTGTTGTGCTGAGATTTTTGTTTAAATTTTCTTCCTTTTTTTTGTTTCTAACCAAAAATACTTTTCTGGTTCTTCTTCTACCATTCCCCTGCCCCTCACCTCCCCTTTTTGTCTTCTTCTGTCTCCTCATCTTTTTTTCTGGGCTCTTTTGTTTTTATTTTCATTTTTTGTTACTTTTGTTTTCCCTCTTCACTCACGGAAACCTTTTTTAGACCACCAAGTTTTTATTTATGTCGATAACTGCAGGCCAGCACCCTGTGGAGGGCGACCGGCAATGACCTCCGTCCACCTCCCCCCTCACCATCCTCCGACCTCACCCACCCCATGAAAACCTCTCACCCCGTCGTTGCCTCCACTTGGCCCGTCCATAGAGCCAGGTAAGCTTTGGGCCGGGATCTTCTGGGTGCCAACTGGTTCTCCCTGTGGTTGCGTGTGCTTGGCTGGTGAGGAGTTGGACGAATCGCCAACCTCACAGGACAGACAAAGCATTGGGGCAGCCAGGAGGTACAGGGGGGCGTCACTGACCAAGATCCCCCTCTTCTGTGTTCCCCTGTGGTAAAGGAGCTTTGGGTGGTGAAGGCAGTTCGGCCTCTGCAGTCCTGATGTCTTAGTTCTGTCTTTGTTGGTGGTCTGTCTGCGACATCCTTGTGGTGATGTGGTGTGCTGGGGACTGACCTGTCCTGTATCCCTACCAGCCCCATGACAGTACTTCCCAGTCGAAGAGAAAGGCGAAGTGAGGCCTTGGCGAGAGGCTTGAGTGAGCTCGGAGTCCCGAGCGTTTTTTGTGGGACGTCTTGCCTGCTAGCGTCATGCAGGTTAAGAACTGTCTCAGGGCTCTCGGGTTCCTCTGCAGACACCTGCCAGAGATGCAGCCCCTTCCCTGTGCATGTGGGCCCTGGTCCGCAGGGGCTGCCTGCGTCTCTTAGGTGCCTCGAGTGGCAGGAAGTTGAGAGTAACTGGTAAATGGCTGTCTGGAAGCCGCTGGGAGTGGGGACGGAAGCAGTGAAAGATGGGGTGAGTCATGAGGCGGCCTGCGGGGACTGTACTGGTGGCCTCGGCGCTGGGTTCTAGTTCTAGAATCTCCAGTGCTACATGAGGGCGAGGTATGACTGTGCGTCGCCCACAGCCTCTGCCTTACTCTCCTCTCACATATACACACACAAGCACACCTCTGCCCTATACCTAGCATAAGATTTGTGTACGTGGGAGGGCCTTAAGTGTTTGGGTGTTTTTCGTTTCTTGCCTTATAAGCTTTTTTGGAAAAGATTCCAGAAGACACTTAGAGTAATCAAACATCGTGCAGCTGGCATGGCCCTTATAGTTTGTTTAGATGATGACGGGGGTCCTGTTTTCTGCAGGAACCCTGGGAGGTGGGCTTTGTGGTCCCAGCTCATTGACAAATGAGAACATGGTGGTTCAGAGTGGGAAGTTAATTTTCCTAGAGACACATAGCTGGCAAGAGGGAGCCTCACTGGGTTCGGCACTAGATCCTGTCCCGGACACGCCTTGCTCATGATTCTGCTCTACGCATCTGTGTCCCGGTTTCAGCGTCCTAATGACGGTAATGTGGAGGTGTCATTAGGCCAGCTCAACACTTGCTTTCCTTATGAGGCTCATTTCCTGCCCGGGAACACCCTGAGACTTTCGGAGGTTGGAAAATAAATCCTCACGGGATCTTTTTTTTCCTTACCATTTATTGTTTCGTGAAGGTTTCCTCCCTTAACACATTTGTATTAAAGATGTTTTTACATTAGAGCTCGCAAAAATACTTGAATTGCTTGGTGACAAGAAACTAAGGCATGGAACAATTCTTATTAACTTTGCCTTTTAAAAAAAAAAAAATTTTTTTTTTGACTTTTAAAATCACGTGTTGGCTTGCTTTTTTTTTTTTTTTTTTTTTTTTTTTTAAATCTCAGGGATCAGTTATTTTAAGTTCCAGGGTACATGTGCAGGATGTAAAGGTTTGTTACAGAGGTGCCATGGTGGTTTGCTGCACCTATCAACCCACCACCTAGGTAACTTTGTTTTTTTTTTTTTGTTTTTGTTTTTGTTTTTTTGGTTTTTTTTTTTTTTGAGACGGAGTCTTGCTTTGTCGCCCAGGCTGGAGTGCAGTGGCGCGATTCGGCTCACTGCAACCTCCACCTCCCAGGTTCAAGCGATTCTCCTGCCTCAGTCTCCTGACTAGCTGAGATTACAGGCGTGTGCCACCACGCCCGGCTAATTTTGTATTTTTAGTAGAGATGGGGTTTCACCATGTTGGCTAGGCTGGTCTCAAACTTCTGACCTCAGGTGATCCAGCCACCTTGGCTTCCCAAAGTGCTGGAATTATAGGCATGAGCCACTGTACCTGGCCAACTTTGCATTTAAATAGATGTTGAATTAATTGTTAGCTTTCTTTCAAACATACATGTAACTTAATGTGTATCTGAAAACTACAGGGTAAAAGCCTTTTCAGATTTTTAGGTGAAAGGGAGGGGAGTGAGGGTAGACAGAAGGAACAGCTCTGCTGGGTCTTTCAGAACATCCTCTCCCTGTTTCCTGGCTGTCCCCACAGGGCTGTGTCACCTGCTCCCCAATCATCCAGCCGCCTGCAACCCCCCTTCAGCCCCCACCCCACATTGCTGTCCAGTACCCCCAAGCCCCCAGGGACGTCAGAACCACGGAGCTGCTCCTCCATCTCGACGGCGCTGCCTCAGGTCAACGAGGACCTTGTGTCTCTTCCACACCAGTTGCCAGAGGCCAGTGAGCCCCCCCAGAGCCCCTCTGAGAAGAGGAAAAAGACCTTTGTGGGAGAGCCGCAGAGGCTGGGCTCAGAGACGCGCCTCCCACAGCACATCAGGGAGGCCACTGCGGCTCCCCACGGGAAGAGGAAGAGGAAGAAGAAGAAGCGCCCGGAGGACACAGCTGCCAGCGCCCTGCAGGAGGGGCAGACACAGAGACAGCCTGGGAGCCCCATGTACAGGAGGGAGGGCCAGGCACAGCTGCCCGCTGTCAGACGGCAGGAAGATGGCACACAGCCACAGGTGAATGGCCAGCAGGTGGGATGTGTTACGGACGGCCACCACGCGAGCAGCAGGAAGCGGAGGAGGAAAGGAGCAGAAGGTCTTGGTGAAGAAGGCGGCCTGCACCAGGACCCACTTCGGCACAGGTAAGGGCAGGAGCAAAGTGGCATCTGTCTACCTCTGACGAGAAACAAAGCAAAACCACAGAATCTACCCCCAAGTAGGTATGGTCTGGAAACGTAGTCTGCTTGCGTGGTTTTCTAAAATGTGGATTTGTGATCAGATGTCTCCTCTGGCTGGGTGTGGTGGCTCACACCTGTAATCCTAGCACTTTGGGAGGCTGAGGCGGGTGGATCACTTCAACCCAGGAGTTTGAGACCAGCCTAGGCAATATGGAAAAGCCCTTTCTCTACCAAAAACAAAAATTGGTTGGGCATGGTGGCATGCACCTATAGTCCCAGCTACTCAGGAGGCTGAGGTGGGAGGATGGTTTGAGCCCAGGAGGTGGAGGTTGCAGTGAGCTGAGATCGCGTCACTGCACTACAGCCTGGGTGACAGCTAAACCCTGTCTAAAAAAAAAGAAAAAAGAAAAAATATCTCCTCTGATAAATACCAGTGGATTGATCCTTGAAGCGACAGTGGTGTGGACAGTAGTGTCCATCATTGTATGTGCAGGGCCGTTCAAGGATGCTGGATCAGGTGTCCCGGGCCAGGCCAGGATCTGCCGTTTCATCAGGTCACAGTAGCCTGCACATTGGCGTCAACAGGCTTGGCTCAGTTAGGATGGGAAACGCGACTGGTTTTCCCTCTACTGTCTCCGTGGCTGCGTGTGGAGCGTCCGCTAATGCGTGTGGGGGGAAGAATGTTGCAGGGACCTGCGTGCACTGGGTCACAGCTGGGGTGGCACCTTCTCCATGTTGCAGGCGGGTGTCTGTGCGCTCCTGCTCCCCTTCCAATTTGCTCAGAGCTGACTGCTGCCTCTCACTTCCAAGCAGCTGCTCTCCCATGGGTGATGGTGATCCAGAGGCCATGGAAGAGTCTCCAAGGAAAAAGAAAAAGAAAAAAAGAAAGCAGGAGACACAGCGGGCAGTAGAAGAGGATGGGCATCTCAAATGCCCAAGGAGTGCCAAGCCCCAAGATGCTGTTGTCCCCGAGTCCAGCAGCTGCGCACCATCCGCGAATGGCTGGTGTCCTGGGGACCGCATGGGTATGCACCGGGCGAGGGGGTGGGAACCGCATGGGTGTGCACCGGGCGAGGGGTTGGGGGACCGCATGGGTGTGCACCGGGCGAGGGGTTGGGGGACCGCATGGGCGTGCACTGGGCGAGGGGTTGGACCGCGTGGGTGTGCACCGGGCGAGGGGGTGGGGGACCGCGTGGGTGTGCACCAGGCGAGGGGTTGGGGGACCGCGTGGGTGTGCACCGGGCAAGGGGGTGGGGGACCGCGTGGGTGTGCACCGGGTGAGGGGGTATTGGGGAGTGCACAGGCTGAGAGCAGCGTCTACTGCATCTGAGCTTGGGAGGGTCTGGGAGAAGATGTGGAGGGCCCTGGGACCCTACCAACCTTCACCCCCCACCCCCGAGTCTGCTCCCTTGGGTGATGGGGTTGAAGCTTCCTCATGTGTCACAGCATTTGACTGAAACAGCCCCATGAGAGAGGTTACAGTGCACATGAACTTTAAAACATTCTGTGAATGCCAGTGGGTCTTCCGATTCAAAGCTGTTCTGTCTACAGCTTCTCACGGAATGACTCCCTGAACTCCCAGCCTGAGTTTTTTTCTGTGATGGTTGAATTTAGAAGAGTTGGGTTCAAAAGTGAATCCTCCTCTCCCTCTATGTAGCTGGGCCATTCAGAACATAGCACGGTTTGCTTGCTGTTGGGGACCTGTGTGCTGTGGCTGTCCTTGGGCACCACCCCTCAATCGGAGGGTGTTTTGTTTTCTTTAGGGCTGGCTGGGGCATGCCTTGGCAGGCACCCGCCACAGAACACATTTGTTAAGTGAAGGGGAGAGAAAGTCCTGGCTGCTTGGTATAGGGGGCCGAGCTTGAGTGAGGCCTCCTCTGCAGTCTGGAAGGTCTGATTATGGCAGTGCATCTGGGGGTCAGCAGGACCTTAGAGACTGATTTGTATTTATCCAACTCTTAAGAAAGGAATTTATCGTTAAAAATGAAATGGTATGAAATAAATAGCAAAACGTGGGTGCTAGCTAGTGCCGACTGAGTTTGCTGGCCAGCATGCTCTCAGAAGTACTGCCCTGGCCGGGGGTGGTGGCTCACGCCTGTAATCCCAACACTTTGGGAGGCCGAGGCGGGCGGATCACAAGGTTAGGAGATCGAGACCATCCTGGCTGACACGGTGAAACCCCGTCTCTACTAAAAATACAAAAAGTTAGCCAGGCATGGTGGCGGGCGCCTCTAGTCCCAGCTACTCGGGAGGCTGAGGCAGGAGAATGGTGTGAACCCAGGAGGCGGAGCTTGCAGTGAGCCGAGATTGCGCCACTGCACTCCAGCCTGGGTGACAGAGTGAGACTCCGTCTCAAAAAAAAAAAAAAAAAAAAAAAAATACTGCCCTAACATGGCACCAGAGCTGTGCTCCGTGCCACCCTCGGAGCGAAGTGGAGTTGGCTTGTTAGTGCAAGGGACATCACTTGAGCACTTGCGGTGCGCCAGGGTCCATGCCAGGTGCTGGTTGTGTCTACTGAAGTGCGCCCTGGGCCCTCGGGGCTCCCTGGCAGAGCCAGAACCACACAGTAAGGGCTCATGCTCAGCAAGGAGGCGCTGGGGGCCGCATGGGCTCTTGCAGTCCTGTGCACCTGAGGAGAGTGGCTAAATGGGCAGGGCACCAGACCCAAGGGCAGGAGGCGCAGCACGTTGGGAGCAGGCAGGCTGCTCTGCATGGCCGGGTCCCTGGGCTGTGTGGATGAGATGGGAACCATGGAAGCCACTGTGTGGGGGCAGGGGACACTTAGCCTGGAGCTCACTGAGGAATTGGAGGCAGGGAGAAATGAGGTCAGATTTGTGTGAAGGGAGGTGAGTATATTCCAGGGGCTATGTGGCTAGCTGGGCAGAGGACGAGTTCAGAAAGGGTTTCTAGAACCCGATGAGGGTGGTGAGTGCTGTCCTGGTCCCGAGGTGCTGGGTGGACCTGTGCGGTGTTGCTGATGGGGACCAGGTTCCCCCTGGACAGGGCTTAGGAGGTCGGGCCCCTGATGGCAGCAGCCAAGCTTGGCCGTTCCCTCCACCCCTGTGGCCATCCAGGTGTCAGGCTGGTCCTGGGGCATGGGCCTCTCCCGTAGGTGAGGTGGATTCCATTTAGATCTAGTTCTCTTCTCTCCTTCTGTCAGACTGAGGACTTAACACTACTGGTTAAAGGGGTTTTGGAGGGTTTTTTTTTTTTTGGTTTTTAGCTTTTTGTTATTTTCCATGTTTTCTTTCTCATGAATTGACTTGGACAACAGCCTTCTCTATTGTGTCAGGTCATTAGTAAATTAAGCATGTAAGCATTAGTAAATAAGCATTTAGGCTGGGCGCCATGGCTCATGCCTGTAATCCCAGCACCTTGGGAGGCCAGTGGGAGTCCCAAGGAGTTTGAGACCAACCTAGGAAACATAGTGAGACCCTGTCTTTAAAAAAAAAAAAAAAAAAAAAAAAAAAAGGCAAGCATCCACTTACTGTAAGTTGTTTTATAATTTAAGGTGTGCGATTGCTTCCCCAGTGGGTTATTTTAAACGTCTGTAAATGTTTCTTGGCTGCTCCGATTGCAGGGCTGAGCCAGGCCCCTCCTGTGTCTTGGAATGGAGAGCGGGAGTCTGATGTGGTCCAGGAACTGCTCAAATACTCATCTGATAAAGCTTACGGGAGAAAAGGTACTGATTTGGAGACAGGACTTCTGTTTGCCTTTCATTGGTTGGTTTTGTAGGAGGGAAGGGTGTGGAATGGATCCTGGTGCACTGTGAGTGTGGCGGGCGGGCATCGCTCGGCTTTGAGAATGGGAAGAGGAATCTCAACACTGGCTGGAGTCCTCTTTAAACCCTCAGCCGTGGCACGAAGGTGGCTTCTGTCCGTGGCAGGATCCAGAACAGCTGCTTCTGAGGGTTGGGGCAGGGTGAGGAGCCCCACACATGCTGTGTCTTGGGTAGGGAAGGGGCAGAGTGACGAAGCTCTTCCAACCTGGGTAATGTCACTTCTTGCTCAGAGCATGTTTTTATTCAGACTTCGAGACCAAACATGACATCTTTGTTCCTCAGACGAGGGCATGGGTTTAGAAAGAACTGAACTCTTTGGCTGTGGTTTAGGGTTTAGCTAAGAGGGCATCGCTGGGGGTTCCATGCTGACCGACCACACATGGGCGTCGAGCCGTCCTCCTCTTGTCCTTCTCTTCACCACAAGGTGGCACTCAAAATTGTTGACTAATTATGAGTAGACTAGTTGGTAAATGACACTCTTGAAGTGAAGCCACAGGGGACCTGGGAACCTGCACTCGTGCTGACCCCCGTGTCTGCCTGGTAGTTCTGACCTGGGATGGCAAGATGTCGGCGGTCAGTCAGGATGCTATTGAAGACAGCAGACAGGCCCGGACTGAGACCGTGGTTGATGACTGGGACGAAGAGTTTGACCGAGGGAAGGTATGATGTGTGATGCTGACCACAGGCTTGAGGGAGCAGGGCGGCGTGGCTCAGCTCAGAGCCGGGGCAGTTGGAGGTGGCGGCAGTGGCATGAAGCGGCCGAGCATGAGAAGAGCCAGGCTGCCCAGGCCTGTCCGGGCGTGTGGCCATGGACAGGGCATGCATCCTCGCAGCTTCCGCCCCTTTGTCAATAGGGGGACTGCAGGTCGCCGTGCACAGGGGTCATTGTGAAGAGTGGGTCTCCAGAGAGCTCATGAGAGCCCGGCCTGTGTGCAGGACCTGCATGCAGCATGGAGCCCCGTGGGCCAGGAAAGAGCCGTTTTTGGGAACTGTGATGCCTGTGATTCTTGGTCTAGGAAAAGAAAATTAAAAAATTTAAGAGAGAGAAGAGGAGAAACTTCAACGCCTTCCAGAAACTTCAGACTCGACGGAACTTCTGGTCTGTGACTCACCCAGCAAAGGCTGCCAGCCTCAGCTATCGCCGCTGACTGTGCCCCTGTGGAAGGAGGTCGGTTCCGAGGGGGTGGGTGTAAGGGTGAGGTGGGGGTGTGTGTGCCGTGTATGTGTGTAGGGGTGTGGTGGGGTGTGGCGTGTGTGTATGATGTATGTGGGCTGTGTATCTGGCACATGTGTGTTGGGTGGTGTGTGTGGTGTGGGCGCGTCTGTGGTGTGTGTCCTAGTCACTTGGAGAAGGGTGTGTGTGGGATGCGTGTGTATAAGGGGGTGTGTGTGGGATGCGTGTGTATAAGGGGGTGTGTGTAGTGTGTGTTGGGTGTGGGGTGTGTACACCTGGCATCTGTGGCATGTGTTCTGGTCACTTGGAGAAGGGCATGTGTGGGGTGTGTGTGGGATGTGGGTTGTGTGTATATCTGGCATGTGTCCCAGTCACTTGCAGAAGGGTGACTTCTTGCCAGCCGCATCGAGATGCCATGCATTGGGTTCCTAGGTTGGACTCATACCCGAGGGTGGCAGTGGGAAGATTCGGGTCTCGTTTCTCTCTGTCAGGACTACCGTGGTTTGTTCTGCAGCCTCCTGGAGACAAGGCGTCCCTTCCCGGGAGCTGTCGGTCTGGATCTGAGGGAGCTCTCTGTGTGGGCTCTGCTGCGCTGGGAGCCTGTCACGGTAGGAGCTCTCCCGGTACCAGTGTCCACAGACCGCCCAACACAGAGGCTTTGAGGCTTCTCTAGATCGGAACCTCTTTGGTGACATTCCCGACCAGCCCTGCAAGAGAAACGACAGTGTGTGTGTGAGCAGAGGTGGCCGCACACCTGCTGGACATCTTTGCCAGGCTGTGCCTTCTCATGTTTCATAGACAGTGGTCTGTGCTGGCAGAGGCTGCTGCCCCTGGTTGGGGCTATCAGGAGAGTGGGGGATGGTGGCCACATGTCCCCCAGGTGGTCTCCCGGTGCATAGCTGGTGGCTCTGGGCAAGCCATCCCTTGCTTCTCGGGGCTGACGCCACCGTTGTGTCCGAGCCCGCCCTCCCCTGCTTCCTCAGCGGGACCCCTTCATCTGTTGGCCTTACCTGTCCTCAGAAAGGAAGAGGTGACCCCACCCAGCCACCTCTCCCTTTTATGGAACTCGAGAGGGTGGCCCTACTGTGCACCCCTTCCTTGTGAGTAGCTCTCAACTGTCCTGGAGAGCAGAGGCTATTTGGGGTCGGAGGAGCCCTCGATACCTGCGAATACATCTGCTTTCCAGGCTGCTGTTTATTCTGAGACGACTGTGCTGTAGCTTCCCTTGCAGCTGCAATAACCCGCAGGTCTTCACTGAGGTGGAGGCTTTGGGGTAGAATTCTCCATTTATTTTACTACTTAATACAAAACATTTATTTTTGACCAGTCCTGTGGCTTCCATTAGCAATATGTTTCCTTTCCCAAATATGCAAATAGTGGCTTTGTTTGCTCAATTTTGTGAGTGCTTTGGAATTTAAATGATTGTATAACTCAAGAAGATTACTTTTCTATGTTGCTCAAGCTGTGCCTGCCAACTTGTAACTTAATAAATACAGGAAATCCTCAGAGAAGGTGATATTTTCAGGAAAAAGACAAATGCCCTCATAGTAGTGGGAAGTGTGAAGGTGACCGTGAACATCCTTCCTCATCGGGTCTGTCCCCGTCATTTCCTCCCGGAGTCGTCGCAGGTGGAGATGGACAACGTGGTGTTGGACTTAGACCTCCTTCAGTGTGGCTCTGCTGGGCCAGAGGCATCCTGCTGTCCCGGGTGGCTGCCTCGCTGTCTGCACCCCCTCTCCCTGGGGCAGCTTTGCTTCCTGCCCCTGTGCTCGGGGCCTGGGTGGTTACTGGCGTGTAGATGGAATTGCTTTTTTAATATGGGAAGATACATTTATTTTTTTCCATGTGGGTGGGTGTCTCTTTTTGGATTTTCTTCTGTTTTTACGTTTCTCTTCTTAGAAGGGTGGGAGAGAATCAAGCTCCTGTGGCCACCTGTGTCCCAGCAGCAGTGAGTGGAGCTGCTCAGGGTGCCCTCTCCTGCGGACCAGTCTCTGAATGTTCAAAGATGAGGGCCTGGCTTCCGTGCTCTGGCTTTGTAACTTATCTGGAAGGGAAAGCACATGCCTTCACGGGCAGGGTATGTTCCTTTTCTTCTCGGGGTGTTGACTTGCATTCCTGTGTGAACTGTTCCCTCTGCCATGTTTACCGTGTGATGTTCTGTAGTTGAAAATGTTAGTTGTCTGCTGGCACAGAATTTATCTCGTTCCTTTCTCTCCCTTCTCTCCTCCAAATCAGTCTCTTCCCTTCTCCACTAGATAACTGTAAAACCTTTTCCTGGGGTACATACATTCGTTAACTCTTGGGCAGTGGTGAGCACGAGATGACTTTCTGCAGCGTTTATCACTGTTGGGTGGAGTCACGTCCCTTCCCTCCACCGAAGTCATCAACCAGATAGGGAAGGGAAAGATGAGGCCCAGAAAACGAGTTCAAACTCTAGGTCTTGTACACGTATGTAAGTAAATGTCAATAACCCAAGCCTTTGTCATAGCAGTCACTTGGTTGACTTAGGATCTGGGTCTGTTGAATTTTGTGCTTGGGAATGGAGCTGGAGGGAGTGGGGCCTGTGTACAGCAGCTACCTCTCCCAGGTCCTCTCACTTGCCTGCCCCGCGTCCTGGTTGCATGGCCGCACCTGTGTGTGTGCAGAGGTCTGTGTCCCATCCTCTGCACCTCCTTTCCGGGGGCCTGGGGAGCCCCACGTGTTGCCAAGATCTTGGTGCAATAAAATACTCCGGTTTTGTGAGTTCTGTGTCTTTGTTGGTTTCATTTGATTTTTTTTTTTTAAAGTACATCCCAACCACAGTCTCGCTGATTCCACCTGTCCTGGAAGTTGAGGCTGGGCTAGGAGGGGCAGGTAGGTCCCTGCAGGGAGCTCAGTGACCAGGAGGTTATGAGAGCAGCCCTAGTGAATAGGTGACCAAGAGGCTGAATGAACCCCGGGGCGCAGGCGGGTTGCCGTGCAGCGGCTCCTGTTGAGAATGCTGCTCTGCAGCTGTTACCTGATGTGTGTGGCTCCCCGCATCTCCCTTTAGCAACTTGGAAGTAAGCTTTCTCCACCCCACGGTATCCACCAAACACAGGGCATCATGTCTTCGCTTCTCTTTAGGGGTTTGGCTGGACACCCCAAAATGAGGACAGCCAAGTAAGAACAAGCGAGGTGAGGCAGCTCCTGCATCCAAACCAAAGGGGTGGCAGAGAGCAGGGCACACTGCTGACCCAGAGGCCTTCCTGCCAGCCAGGCTGTGTCTGAAGGCATTTGCGTTGTAGCCTGGGCAGCGGTTGAGGGGGTTCTGAGGCTTGGAGAGGTGGTGATCTGACACCAACGCTGGGTGCAGTGGCGACATGGGCGAGGCTGTGGTTTTTACTTTTTTTTTTTTTTTTTTTTCCCGAACAGAGTCTCCCTCTGTCGCCCAGGCTGGAGTGCAGTGGCACGATTCTCCGCTCACTGCAACCTCTGCCTCCCGGGTTCAAGCAATTCTCCTGCCTCAGCCTCCCAAGAAGCTGGGAGTACAGGCACGCATCACCACGCCTGACTAATTTTTGTATTTTTAGTAGAGATGGGGTTCCACCATGTTGGCCAGGCTGGTCTCTTAACTCCTGACCTTGTGATCCGCTTGCCTCAGCCTCCCAAAGTGCTGGGATTCCAGGCGTGAGCCACTGCGCCTGGCTGATCTCCATCTCTTGACCTCGTGATCTGCCCGTCTTGGCCTCCCAAAGTGCTGGGATTCCAAGTGTGAGCCACCGCGCCTGACAGGCTTTTCCATTCTTAACTGCCGTTTCCCAAACACTAGGGCCACTTCTGGGTGTGTATAAAAGTGAACACACTCACGTCGTCTCGCAGGCGGCGGGCAGAGTCCCACCGGCAGGACTGACGGCTCCAGGGCAGGGTGAGTGCTGTTAGGGAGATGCAGGGAGGCCATGAGGAGCCTGTCATGAGCTCTGCCTGAAGCACCGTGGGGTGAGGTGACATTCTGAAAGGGGGCTGGCAGTGGGAGCTGGCCAGCAGGACTCAGCTGGCTAACTGTAAGTCAGGTGCAAAAGCGCAGGGCAGGTTTTGTTTGACAGTTTGGACAAGAAGGGTTACCAAGGTCTGATGTGCTTTTTAGACTCCTGAGGCTGATAGTGGATTCCAGGCTGCCTGATGGCCTGAAAGGCGGCTGGTGGAGTGCAGAGAACAGCAGGTGAGCATGACCAGCCGCCAGGTTGGCTGAGAAGTGGCCAAGGCTAGAGCTAAGAGATTGGCATTAGTAGCATAGGCTAGAAGTGAGGTCACTTGGATATTTAGGAGATGGACTCAAGAGGTGAGATGACAGATAGGGTGGAATGTTCTGGGTGGAGTTTAAGATGATTTCTGCTAGGGTGGTTAGTTGGGTTCGGAGGCCAAGTAGTAGCCAGGGAAGCAAGCGGCTCACCGATGGTTTCAGGAAGGCCTTCAGGTGGTGAGAGATTCAATCTGACTTAGTGGACGTGTTGGCATCTTACCAGTACAGGGAACCCAGGGAGAATCCTAGGCATGGGAAGTAGGCAGTGGGTGAACTCCGAGTCTTCTAGTTAGGAAAAAGCCCAGGTGTCTGGACACTGGGGAATCAGGTGGGCATCTGTTTATCCCTAACATACTGTTAGGGCTCATCATAACTGTAATAGTGACCTTAAGGGCAGTTTAACACTGGACGGTGCTGTGAGAATCCCTGCCTCAAGTCTTGGTAGCTTGGACAACCTCAGCGCAATGAGGATGTGGGTACGCCAAGGACGTGGTGGTAAAGGAGGACTGTGTGTGGACAGGTCACGTGACATGCAGACGGGCAGCTTTCTGTGTCTTGTCAGCTGAGCTGACTCCCTGGAGTCACACTCTTGCCCGGAGGTGGCCCTGCTGCTGCTTCGTGCAGATCCCGCCTTGGCTTGGCCCCCTGCTCCTTCCATATCTGGACTGGGGATGACCCTTGGAGAAGATCATCTGGGTGCCATGGATTCGGCTTTCAGGGCTGTCTGGCTGCCCTTCTTCGTTGGGCTCTGCCTGCCTTTTGGGATTTCTGCCCTTGGTCTTCAGGCAACTCCTTCCTCTCTCTCCCATTCTTTTCAGTGATCCCTGCACACTATTTTGCTCTCTCATTGCATATGTGCCCACTACTCTTGGTAAGTGACTTCCAAGGCTACCTCAAGAATTCCCATCCCACCCCAAAATTAAACAACATGGGGAAACCAAAGCTAAAACCAGCTCCTCTCCCTCTGTTCTCTTCTCCTTCTTACCTCAGGGTTCTCAATGCTCATAGGGCAGCAGGAGCACCTGGGGAGAGGCATTCGATACTGACGGAAGTAGAATCAGAATCTATGGGTGAGGCTTAGGCATCAGCATTTAAAGCCTTCCTGGGGGGGTGAGGGGGGCGGGCGCGGTGGCTCACACCTGTAATCCCAGCACTTTGGGAGGCTGAGGCGGGCGGATCACTTGAGGTCAGAAGTTCGAGACCAGCCTGACCAACATGGTGAAACCCTGTCTCTACTAAAAATACAAAAATTAGCTGGGCTTGGCCTGTGCCTGTAATCCCAACTACTTGGGAGGCTGAGGCAGGAGAACTGCTTGAACCTGGGAGGTGGAGGTTGCAGTGAGCCAAGATCATGCCACTGCACTCCAGCCTGGGCGACAGAGTGAGACTCTGTCTCAAAAACAACGACAACAAAAAAAACCTTCCCGGGGGGATCATAGTGAGCAGCAGAGTTGAGAGTTGCCATCCTGGTCCCTGGTCTCAAACTCAAGTGAGCACCAGAATTGCCAGGGGCTCCTTAAAACACCAGTTGCCGGGCTCCTTCCCCCGCATTCTGATTCAGCAGGTCTGGGATGAGGCCTGAGAATGTGCATGTCCAATAGTCCCCGGGGCTGCTGCTGGGCAGACCCACTGTTCTGATCTGATGCCTCCCAGAGGGGCTGGGTGGTTGGTGTGGGAGAGTGGGAAGGAACTGTAGTATAGGGGCTGTTCCCCATCCTCTGTGGGGACCTCTACTGGAGATGCTGGACGAGGTGCCCCCTCTGTGTATGCTGGCACCCCACCTGTGCCCTTGAGGCCAACTTCTTCCACCCTGGGGACCTTGCTCCATTAATTACCCTGTCTGCTCCCGTGTCTCACTCTTCCCTTAGGAACATGTTCAGGCATCTCCCATCCTAAAAAGCCTGTGTGTCCTTGTGTCCCCTCTCAGCTGCCCTCTCCTTTGGTTGACATTCATTTTGCTCTGTGTTGACTCTCTGTGGTTCTTAGTCTAGCTTCTGCCATCATCACTTCTCAGTGACCTAATTCCCACTCTTGCCACCGACTTCTTCCCAGGATTTGACACTGTTGACCTCCGCACCCTGGAGAGCTCCTCTAAGATGTGAGCCTGTTGCATTTGCTGCATACTCTAGATCAAGCCCAGAATCAACTGATCCAGTCAATACATCCCACTGAACAGCCGACCGATCCACCCTCTGTCAGGATCTCTACTGTAGACACTGAAAGAGGTGCCCCCTCAGTATAGGATCCTGGCCTCAAATAATCTTCTCGCCTTGGCCTCCCAAAGCATTGGGATTACAGGTGTGAGCCACTGTGCCTGGCCTCCAGGACAATCTTTTAAGGCAAGAAACCAGAATCTAATCATTCCCCAACATAAGGTTTCTCACTCCTGTTCAGAGAAAATAGTCTCCTCTATTTTGTGATCCAGATCCCCCCTGCCTCTTCAGCCTTCCACAGCCCCCTAGAGGCCTCTGGGCAGCTGTCCAGCCCGTTGTTCTGGGATCTCAGAAAGCACTCCAGGCATTGAGGAAATTGCCCTGTGAGAGGGGCCTGAGATTAAAAATGTGCTTGTTCTTAGCAGAATCTGTACCAAACTGTTGCTTCAAGTTGCTTTCTCAAGGGGAAACTGCTGTATATTTTTGCTGCTTTAAAGGGATTAAAGTAGGGTCAGGCTGGAGTCAGGTTTGAATCATGACTTCCTATAAAAAGAAGGCCAGGGCCGGGCACGGTGGCTCATGCCTGTAATCCCAGCACTTTGGGAGGCCTAGGCGGGGCGGATCACCTGAGGTCAGGACACAACATGGAGAAACCCCGTCTCTACTAAAAATACAAAATCAGCCGGGCATGGTGGTGCATGCCTGTAATCCCAGCTACTTGGGAGGGTGAGGCAGGAGAATCGCTTGAACCCGGGAGGTGGAGGTTGCGGTGAGCCGAGATCGCACCATTGCATTCCAGCCTGGGCAACAACAGCGAAACTCCAGCTAAAAAAAAAAAAAAAAAAAAAAAGAAGGCCAGATTGGGAATCAAGACCTGTGTTCTAAGGGGTCTGCCATGAGTTAGCATCATGAATTTGCTTTTCTCCTCTAAAATGCAAAGGTTAGATTCAAATTATCATGATTGTCAGCTGTCACTCTCACGATACATGTCTTGCATGCGTGTTTTCATTGGTTTTCTCCCTTACTGCTTCATTTAGGAGGGTGTTGATTAGAGGAAGCAACAGGACATGGCTGCCAAATATCCATTAGACATTGAGTGAGAAACAGGTCACAAGATTGCCACTCCCTTAAGCAGGATCTAGGTATTTAGGTAGCTTCTTACCATCATGAGACCAGATTTCAACACACAGTCTAAGTACATGGCAAATACTTGCTGCGAAATGTGTGTAGGAAATTCAAGTTCTTTTACATAAACCAGTGATTTTTTTAAGGCCATTTTAAAATGAATGTGTTGGCCGGGCGCAGTGGCTCATGCTTGTAATTCCAGCACTTCAGGAGGCTGAGATGAGAGGATTGCTTGAGCCCAAGATGTCGAGACCAGCCAAAAAAGGCCAGGCATGGTGGCTTGTACCTGTAGTCCCAGCTCTTTGGGAGGCCACGGCAGACAGATCACAAGGTCAGGAGTTCAAAACCAGCCTGGCTAACATAGTGAAACCCTGTCTCTACTAAAAATAAAAAAAAATTAGCCGGGCCTCGTGGCACACGCCTGTAGTCCCAGCTACTCGGGAGGCTGAGGCAGGAGAATCACTTGAACCCAGGAGGTGGAGGTTGCAGTGAGCTGAGACCGCGCCATTGTGCTCCAGCCTGGGTGACAGAGTGAGACTCTGTCTTTAAAAAAAAAGAAAAAGAAAAAGAAACCATATCTCCACTAAAAATACAAAAATTAGCCAGGCGTGGTGGTGGGTGCCTGTAATCCCAGCTATTCAGGGAGGCTGAGGCAGAGGAGTCACTTGAACCTGGAAAGCCGAGGTTGCAGTGAGCTGAGATCGCGCTATTGCACTCCAGCCTGGATGACAGAGCGAGACTTCGTCTCAAAAAAAAAAAAAAGGTATTATTCTGCCATTTTTCTGTCTTATGTGGCTACAGTTCTCTTGGCAAGGCCTAGCACTTACCAGCCACCCGGTAAATATTTGTTGAATGAGTGAACTGGAGCAGCTGCTGAAGGCAGCATACTTTGTGACTGCATTCGGACCCTGCTCAGAAAACAGCCAGCCCACCGTCCATCAAAGTCAGTGGCTCCGCAGTCCACACTGCACTAATTCCCCTTCACATTGCCTTCCCTGAGCCCTACCCGCACCCCCTTTGTTTTTCTGCGTAAGTGAAAACATTTTGGTGAAGTCTAGCAGGAACTAGAGCACTAGCTCCTCTATTTGAAGTGAACGCCCAAACCGTGGCACGTGGCCAGCTGTCTTTTGGGTGGCACAGGGAACAGTTGGTGACAGCTGGATACAATCAAGTTCCATTACAAACAGATTTTAAGTGTCATTTACACACAGAAGAAATTGCAAGCTTTAGCAAAATAAAATCTGGGGGTTTTCAAAGCAAGACAATGCCCCAATCCAAGCCTGTGTGAGCAGTTCGCTTTGCAGCCTCTTGCGGGGATTAACACCCCTTCTTCACCAGGCTCCACCCTCTCTGCAAGGTCTATGCTGCAAAATTAGCAAGTCCAGGAGGCTTGCTCCCTGGCAGAGCTGCTGAGTCCTCTGTCTTCTATTTATTCACTTTTTGAAGAACCCTGAATTAAAGGCCTGTCTAACCACTGTTCAGCCTACTCCTTCTGGGTGGGAGGGGTCAGAGGCTGGCTTCTAGAAAAGCTGCTACCTCTAGATCATACCTTTCGCTTGGTCTCAGGGCGTACAAATCACTCACACAGTGATTGGGCAAGTGAAGGCTGGCATGCCCAGCTAAACCTCATCTCCTTTTTTTTTTTTTTTTTTTTTTTGGGACCAAGTTTCTCTCTTGTTGCCCAGGCTGGGGTGCAATGGCGCAATCTCGACTCACTGCAACCTCTGCCTCCCAGGTTCAAGTGATTCTTCTGCCTCAGCCTCCCAAGTTGCTGGGACTACAGGTGCATGCCATCACGCCCGGCTAATTTTCATATTTTAATAGAGACGGAGTTTCACCATATAGGCCAGGCTGGTCTCGAACTCCTGACCTCGTGATCTGCCTGCCTCAGCCTCCCAAAGTGCTGGGATTACAGGCGTGAGTCACCGCACCTGGCCTCATCTCTCTTTCGTGAAGCCAGCATTGTCCCCAGACATCTCAGTCCTCAGTGTCCCTCCCGTCCCCACCTCTGGCAAGAGGCAGCATTCTGGCCTTGGTGGAGGGGAATGACATCAGGCAGTGGCTGACAATTCTCCCCTTGGTGGAGGGGAGGCCGTAGATGATGTCCTGGTGTCTGGTGTTCTGATGGCCTCAGCAATACCTACCCCATGGACCCGAGTCCCTCCACATCTCGTCCTTGGCCCTTCCTTCCTTCATGCCTTCTAGCAGATGCGGGTGGGCTGTCTGTTGTTCCTGTAGCACACAGGGTCAGGGTGGGCATCAGTCCTGCCTTTCTTCTGAGACCCTCCAGCTTGCACCTTCTGGAAGCTGGGCACCCCCACTGCCCCACCAACCAGCTGGGAGAACATAAAGGTAACGAAATAGAATTACTTGTTTTAGAAAAAGGAACCAGGGCCGGGTGCGGTGGCTCACGCCTGTAATCCCAGCACTTTGGGAGGCCGAGGCAGGCAGATCACGAGGTCAAGAGATTGAGACCATCCTGGCCAACATGGTGAAACCCTGTCTCTACTAAAAATACAAAAATCAGCTGGGCGTGGTGGCGCATACCTGTAGTCCCAGCTACTTGGGAGGCTGAGGCAGGAGAATTGCTTGAACCTGGGAGGCGGAGGTTGCAGTGAGCCGAGATTGCACCACTGCGCTCCAGCCTGGCGACAGAGTGAGGCTCTGTCTCAAAAAAAAAAATAAATAAATAAAATAACCTATGCATATGCAATTTTAAACACAACTTGCAGAGCTTCATGTACTCGCTTCCTGAGGCTGCCATAACAAAGGACTACAAACTGGGTGGCTTAAGACAATGGGAATGTTCTCTCACAGTGCCAGAGAGAGACCAGAGTCTGGAATCAAGGTGTCCTCAGGGCTGTGGGGGAGAATCCAGCCTCTCCCAGGAATTCCTTGGCTTGTGGCCACATCACTCCACTGTGCTTCCATCTTCACGTAGCCATCTTTCCGTTCTGTGTCCAAATCTCCCTCTTTTTGTAAGGACACAAGTCCTGTTTGATTAGGTCCCACCCTAATGATCTCATGTTAACTTGATTACATCTGCAAAGACCCCACTTCCAAATAAGGTCACCATTCACAGGTACTGGGGCTTAGGACTTCAACATATCTTTTGTTGGGACATGACTCAACCCATAACAGTATGGAAAGGTTCTCTTCTCAGAGTTAAATGTGGCTCCCAATCTCTACCTCACAGATGATCAAGCGGTGCTGATTCACGAGAGTGGAAGCCTCCAGAGCTTGGGGCTTTCTGGCTGCTCTTCATTGACCTGTGTGTTCCCAGCACACGAACAGTGCCCCTAACGGAGATTTGTTCAGCGACTGAATATACACCTGTAAACGAGTAGCATGTATACATTGATTTTGATTACAAATGGTTCTGTATTATATACCACCGTTCTGACTGCTTTTTTCACTTATAGCTTGGAAATTGTCTTCTGTTGGTAATACAGAAATCTGTTTCAGTCTTTTGAAGCCTGTGGGTGCTTCCTTGTATGAAAGTATCCTAATATAGTTAACCTGTTTGCTATTGATAAACTTTGAGGTGGTTCCTGAAGACATTTTAAAACCATGGTATAGGGCCGGGCATGGTGACTCACGCCTGTAATCCCAGCACTTTGGGAGGCTGAGGTGGGTAGATCACCTGAGGTCAGGAGTTCAAGACCAGCCTGGGCAACATGGTGAAACCCCGTCTCTACTAAAAATACAAAAATTAGCAGGGCGTGGTAGCGCGTGCGTGTAATCCCAGCTACTCGGGAGGCCGAGACATGAGAATCGCTTGAACCTGGGAGGCAGAGGTTGCAGTGAGCCTGAGATCATGCACCACTGCACTCCAGCCTGAGCAACAGAGCGAGACTCAGTCTCAAAAAATAAATAAATAAATAAAATAAAACCATGGTATAAGCATAGGAAAAACATATTTTGGGTTACCTCTGCTTAAAACCTTTCTAATTCTTTTTATTAGGCAAAGCAGGGAAGCTGAAGGGGGAATGTTTCGGGAAAAACTCTCAAACTATGGTCTGCTCTCACCTCACAACAATCTTCACAGAAGACTGCTCTGCCCAGAGGCGTGGGGGTTTATCCCCACACACCAAGCAGCAGACACTACCTGGGGGTCCTCTCATCCAGTCCAACTTGGACTCTTATCTGGAGTGAGGTCAGATCTCACAGGCTGAGGGCTCAGTCCCCAAGACTGCATTTGTGACAGCAGTCACAAGCCTGGGCCTCTGGAAGTTCTGAGCGACCACCTTAAACTTGGGATTTCTATGACCCCCGCTCTTTGGGTTTGATTAATTTGTTGGAGCCACTCACAGAACTTAGGGAAACACTTACATTTAGTATTTTGTTTGTTTTTAATTTTTTTGAGACGAAGTCTCGCTCTTGTCCCCCAGTGTGATGGCGCGATCTCAGCTCACTGCAACCTCCACCTCCCGGGTTCAAGCGATTCTCCTGCCTCAGCCCCCCGAGTAGCTGGGATTACAGGCACCCGCCACCAAGCCCGGCTAATTTTGGTATTTTTAGTAGAGACGGGGTTTCACTATGTTGGCCAGGCTGGTCTCGAACTCCTGACCTCAGGTGATACAACAGCCTCCCAAAGTGCTGGGATTATAGGCATGAGCCACCACGCCTGGCCATTTAGTGGTTTATTATAAAGGATATTGCAAAGGATAAAGATGAAGAGATGGGGAAGGGCCCTTGCACAGAGCTTCCAAGCCCTCCCTAGGCATCACCCTCCAGGAACCTCCACATGTTCAGCTATCCTAGCCCAGTCTTTTTTTTTTTTTTTTTTTAATGGAAATTTTTATGGAAGCTTCCTTCCATAGGGCACAGGGCAGGACCCTCTCTGGGGAGGGTCTTAAGACCCACAATCAGAAAGGTGGGCAAGATTAAAGTCCTGCCTTGGGGCAGGTGAAAGAACAAGAGAAGGCCAGAGAGATTGTTTCCTGAGGCCTAAACCAACATTATAACAAAAGACTGTAACAAGAGCTAAGGGAGGTATGTGCCAGGAACAGTGGAAAATACCAGAGGGTGGCCAGGAGCAGGCTCATGCCTGTAATCCTAGCACTTTGGGAGACTAAGGTGGGTGGATCACTTGAGCCCAGGATTTCACAACCAGCCTGGACAACATGGAAAGACCCTGTCTCTAAAATAAATAAATAAATAAAATATTAGCTGGGTGTGGTGGCGTGCAACTGTAGTCCCAGCTACTTGGGAGGCTGAAGTGGGAAGATCGATGGAGTCTGGGAGGTGGAGTCTGCAGTGAGCCATGAGCCACTGCACTCCAGCCTGGCCAACAGAGTGAGACCCTGTCTCAAAAACAAAACCAAACCAAAAACTGTCAAATACCGCAGGGAGCTACCAACTTAAAAAAATTAGTTGTCAAGTGGATCAACCACTAAGGACTTAGAAACCACAGCGAAACTTGCAGAGAGCCCACACCCAGTTTAAAGGTTCTGTGAAGAATTAGTGGATGTGGGGGAAGAGGTCTGGGTTAGAATCCACAGCTGGAGTGGAGTCCTGTGGTTCCTGTCTCCCTGCCGCCGGCTCCTTCTCATTACGCTCCAAGGGCTGGGGGCACAAATACAAGATACGAGAGTGAAACTGACTTAACTCCTGCTTGCAAGTAGGCTGCATTTGGATGTCTATTAGCCTCGGCTTCCAAATGTCATGCAAAGATAACAGCTAAAGGACCTCTCTGGCTGGGCGCAGTGGCTCACGCCTGTAATCCCAGTGCTTTGAGAGGCAGAGGTGGGCGGATCACCTGAGGTCAGGATGTCAAGACCAGCCTGGCCAACATGGCGAAACCCTGTCTCTACTAAAAACACAAAAATTAGCTGGGCTTGGTGGCACATGGTGGTAATCCCAGCTACGTGGAGGCTGCAGTGAGCCGAGATGTGCAACTGCACTCCAGCCTGGATGACACAGTAAGACCCTATCTCAAAAAAAAAAAAAAAAATCTCTGATCATGAATGTGATCTAATGGAGTAGCTTCTGTGTTTCTTTGACAGTCATCCATGGTCAGGGATAGCCCTACCCAGTGGACACATGCATGCATTCATTTGCAACCAGAACAAACACTGTCTCTGTATTATGTGTGATAGACTACAATTTTTTAAAAATTCTATTTTCTTTTCATCTAATAAGTATTTGTTTCATAACCATTAAGAGTCATGACCCGCTGTTTGAAAAACACTGTTCTTTTTTTTTTTTTTGGAAACAGGGTCTCACTCTGTCCCCCAGGCTGGAGCACAGTGGTGCAATCATAGCTTACTGAAGCCTCAACTTCCCAGGCCCAGAGGATCCCTCCCACTTCAGCTTCCAGAGTGGCTAGGACTACAGGCGTGTGCCGCTATGCTCGACAATTTTTAATTTTTTGTAGA
This sequence comes from Homo sapiens, assembly GCF_000001405.40. Classification (NCBI taxonomy): domain Eukaryota; kingdom Metazoa; phylum Chordata; class Mammalia; order Primates; family Hominidae; genus Homo; species Homo sapiens. The sequence goes on along the minus strand of NC_000017.11, from coordinate 78,784,474 downwards.
GACAGGGTCTCTCTATGTTACTCGCGCTGGTCTTGAACTCCTGCCCTGAAGCAGTTTTCCTAGCTTGGCCTCCCAAAGTACTGGGGTTATAGGCATGAACCACTTCACCCAGCTGAAAAACACCAGTCTAATGGAACAATATAAGGGAACAGAATTTGTAAACAGTCATGTTCTCTGCTAATCTGTGATTAGCAGTAATACCAGTATCCCTCCCTCTCCAAATCTATTCAGTTGGTGAGTTCAGCTAAGAGGTCTAGAGTGCTGATAGTAAGAATTAACATGCCATCTGAATCGCTTTTCTTCTGGAGTTCTGGTCTTTGAGCAAGAGCTGAGGTGGTCTGGGACTTGCATACTGATAAGGGAAGAAAGCCAGCTCGAAGATACCTTGAACCTTCTGGTGAGTCTGGGGTTAGAAGTGAAGTAGGGAGTGAAACAGAGGATGGCAAATACTGGGGGAGAGGCTCAGTGCTCCATTAGCCCATGTGACAGATGGTTTGAGAAGATTTGCCAGGTCAATGTGGGGTCAATTCTAAAAGTGTCCTAAGTCTAGGCCAAGAGGAACAAAATGCAGCTGGGTCTCTGACCTCACACGCCGAAGCCCAAGGACACGTTAGGGCCAAAATGTGACTCTCTAAGGTCACCTGTAAAACTGGACAATCTGGTAAAGTCAGTGAAGGTTAAGATCATGAATCCAGCCAGGCGTGGTGGCTCACGCCTGTAATTCCAGTACTTTGGGAGGCCAAGGAAGGAGACCAAAGAGAAAGGATCACTTGAGCCTAGGAGTTCGAGACCAGCCTGGGCAACCTAGCAACCTCCGTCTCTACAAAAAATACAAAAATTAACCAGGTATGGTGGCCGGTGCCTGCAGTCTCAGCTACTCAGGAGGCTGAGGTGGGAGAACTGCTTGAGCCTGGGAAGCAGAGGTTGCAGGGAGTCATGATGGTGCCACCGTACTCTAGCCTGAGCAACACAGCGAGTGAGACTCTGTCTCAAAATGAATAAATAAATAAAAGAAAAAGAAAAATAGTAAAACTCAGGACAGGTGGGCCCACAAGGAAAGAGTTCTGTGGCTTTTACTCCCGTTTTTTGGTTGGTCCAAAAAATTCCCAGCAGTCCAGGGATCTCTGTGGAGTTCTCAGTGAGTGTTCTGTGTAGGGTGCAGGAGCCACAAGTGACTGCAGGGGGAAAGGGGGGTTCTGGTGCTGGCATTCTGCAGCAGTGGGATTGTCCTCTGTCATAAAGAAAGAGAAGGCCGAGCGCGGTGGCTCATACCTGTAATCCCAGCACTTTGGGAGGCCGAGGCAGGCGGATTATTTGAGGTCAGGAGTTCGAGACCAGCCTGGCCAACATGGCGAAACCCCGTCTCTACTAAAAATACAATTAGTCGGGCCTGGTGGCACATGCCTGTAATCACAGCTACTCAGGAGGCTGAGGCAGGACAATCGCTTGAACCCGGGAGGCGGAGGTTTCAGTGAGCCGAGATCGGGCCACTGCACTCCAGCCTGGGCAACAAGAGCGAAACTCGTCTCCAATAAATAAATAAAATCCAAAACGCTGGGACTTGAAGTGCCCTCCTTTCAATCTTGACCCAGGTAAAACTCAGGACAAATAAAAAGAAGTAGAAGCAGTAAACTTAGGACATACAGCATGTAAAGGTTCTGAACGCAGGAGTAAATGACTTCAAATAGCTTTTGTGGCCTTTCGCCAAGGACCGGGCCCTCCCTGGCAAGCTGGGGCCGGGTCTGACCTTCCAGGTTGGCGTCAGCAAGGACCACCCTGCCCTTCAGTGGCCGGACACGACCTTGGGCTTTCGTGCAGTAGCCTGGCTGCAGGCCAGGTCGAGTCCGCCACCCCGGGGACTTGCACCGCCCTTCAGAAACCGAAACCTGCTCGGCCCCAGGAGGCGGACCGGGAGAAGGGGGGGGGGTGTGTGTGTCTCGGGACGGGGGCGTGGTCTAGAGGCGGGGGCAGGGGAGGAGCCTCGGGTGGACGCGCGTGCGCAGGCCGGAGCCTCGGGAGGAGGCCGGGTACCCGGGGTGCGGCGCGCGCGGGAGGAAGGCGGGGCCTCGGGCGAGGGGCGGGGCCTCGGGCCGGGGGCAGGGGGCGGGCGCAGGCGCAGGCGCGGGCGGGCGGGGCGCGGGGCGCGGGGCGCCGGGGGCGGGGCTCCGAGCCGGGCTGAGGCGAGCGGGGGCGCGGGTGGCGCGGCGGGACGCGAGCGGCGAGCCGGAGCGCGGAGCCCGGCTCCCGCACCATGGAGGAGGACGACAGCTACGGTCAGTGCGCCCCGGCGGCGGACGCTTCCCCCTCGCTGTCCCCCAGTCCCCTCCGGGCCCGGCCGTCCGGCAGCGCTTGCGGCGGCTGGCGTTTCCCGGGGACACTGGTGCGGGACGCGGAGCCCGGGGCGACCGGCGGGCGAGCGGTGCGCGGGGCCCTCGCGGGGCGGGGGTCGCAGGGGGTTTTGAGGGATGAGGGTCGCCGGGGCCGGGGTCGCTGGCGGCGCTGAGGGATGTGGGTGGCTGGGGCGGGGGTCACAGGCCGGGCTCGCGGTCTCGCGGGGCCAGGGGTCGCCGCGAGCTCTGAGGAATGAGGGTCGTTGGGGTCGCGGGGCAGGATCTCAGGGGCTCTGAGGGATGAGAGTCGTTGGGGTCGCTGGGGTCCCCGGGGCAGGGGTCGCAGTCCGGGTCCCGGGGGGCCGAGGGGTGGAGGTCGCTGGCCCTGCCGCCCCTCTGCGGGGCTCGGGGCGGACGCGCGGATGGCCGGGCCCGCGTTCCCCGCAGTTTCCGGCCGCTCTCGGCGTCAGCGAGTTGTGCCCGGTCCACGTCTTTGTTCAGAAATGAGAACGGGGAGCGGCGCCGCCGGCGAGGCGCGGGCTCCGGGACGGCCCTGCCCGCGGGAGTCTGGGCCCGGTAGCCGCCGGTCCGGTGCGTCGCCGCCTGCCGAGACGCGGGTGTGGAGCCCGAGGGGCACCGCGGTGGGGACGCCGCTCCTCCCCTGACTGGGGACTTGGCAAGCGGAGCCGCTGTCCCGCTCCCTTCGCTCCCGCGCGTTGAGGCTGCTGGCCCAGGCCAGGGGTGCCTCCCTCCAAGAGTTTGAAATTGCAAGGGTTGCAAAAGGTTGTTTGACATGCTGTAGTTAATTTATTAAGTTTGTTCATGAGGAATTAAAAGGAAGAATGGCAAATAGAACAAGTGGTGAACTTTTGTGGTTTGGTAGCAAAGTACAAATAAAGCAGAACTCTGTGGCCAAATGGAACCCAATTCTAGTTTAATAACTAATGGGACATTTTTCTTTTTTTTTTTTTTTTAAGAGACGAGATCTCGCTCTGTCACCCAGGCTGGAGCACAGTGGCGTGATCGTAGCTCACGTCAGCCTCTTGAGTGGCTGGAACCATACGCACGCCACCATGCCCGGCTAATTTTTTATTTTATTTTATTTTATTATTTTATTTTATTTTATTTTATTTTTGAAACGGAGTCTCACTCTGTCGCCCAGGCTGTAGTGCAGTGGCGCCATCTCGGCTCACTGCAACCTCGGCCTCCTGGGTGAGCTGAGCGATTCTCCTGCCTCAGGCTCCTGAGTAGCTGGGACTACAGGCGCGTGCCACCACGCCTGTCTAATTGTTGTATTTTTAGTAGAGACAGGGTTTTGCCATGTTGGCCAGGCTGGTCTTGAACTTCTGACCTCAGGTGATCCACCCGCCTCGGCCTCCCAAAGTGCTGGGATTACAGGCATGAGCCACCGCGCCCAGCCCTAATTTTTTACTTTTTTAAAAGATGGGGTCTTGCCATGTTACCCAGGCTGGTCTTGAACTCCTAGACCCAAGCAGTCCTCCCACCTCTGCCTCGCACAGTGTTGGGATTACAGGCCTGAGCCACCACACCCAGCCCACTTGTTACCTTATAAGTAAACAAGTAAAAGCAGCTTGTGCATTTTTTTGTTGTTTGTTTTGTTGTGTTTTTGAGACAGGGTCTAGCTCTCTTGCGCAGGCTGGAGTGCAGGGGCGCTCTCATAGCTCACTGCACGCTCTGCTTCCTTGGCTCAAGCAATCCTCTCACCTCTCTTCTCAGCCCCTCCTGTAACCTGGACTACAGGCCTGGGCTACCACGCCCTGCTAATTATTTTTATTTCTTTTTGTAGAGAGGGAGGTCTCCCTATGTTGCCTAGGCTGGTGTGAACTCCAGTTCCTATCTTGGCCTCCCAAAGTGTTGGGATTACAGGCATGAGCCACTGCTCCCAGCCTCCTTTTGTGATTAAAAGAAAAATCACCCACTGGCTGGCCCCAAAAGATTGTTCAGCCCCTCCAGATTTCACTCCTGCCCACTGCTGAGAAGCCGACAGCAGTTTTGCCTGCTGCTCTTTTCTCTGCCTCCTCTTGCCATTTAATTTCCCTCAGATCCCAGTGTCCTGCCTACCAGGCTTTTGTGGCCTCTCTTGTGTTCTTGCCTGCTGCCGTGGGCAGGAAGCTATTGGTCTGGTTGCTTTTAATACAGTGACTGCTTTGCCACCAGGCATGACATGAACTTGTACTTGAAAGAGGTAAGTGGAAGCAGGGCGTGTTAGTTTCCTATACCTGTTATATTACCACAAGCCTGGTGGCTCAAAACAACATAACATTTGTTTTAGGGTTCTGCTGTCAGAAGTCCAAAATAGGTCTCACTGGGCTAAAGCCAAGGTGTCGGACAGGCTGGTTCTTTCTGGAGGCTCAGGGGAGAACCCATTTCCTTACCTTTTCCAGCTTCTAGAGGCCACCTGTGTTCCATGGTTCATAGTCCCCTTTCCATCTTCAAAGCCAGCAGGTAGCATCTTCTCATTTCTCTCGACCTCCTACCTCCCTCTTATTAAGATCCTTGTGATTATAGTGGGACCCACCTGGATAATCAAGGCTAAGGATTAGCAACCTTAATTCCATCTGTTACCTTAATTCCCCTTCTGCCATGTAAGGTAACCTATTCACAAGTTCTGGGGATTAGTACCCGGACTTCTTTAGGGGCTGTTATTCTGTCTGCCACACACGAAGATGAGAAAGTTTGTAAGTTTATTCTTCCCCTTTCTTTTTTTTTTTTTTTTTTTTTTTGAGATGGAGTTTCACTCTTGTTGCCCAGGCTGGAGTGCAATGGCGCAATCTCGGCTCACTGCAACCTCTGCCTCCCAGCTTCAAGCGATTCTCCTGCCTCAGCCTCCTGAGTAGCTGGGATTACAGGCATGCGCCACCACGCCTGGCTAATTTTGTATTTTTAGTAGAGACAGGGTTTCTCTGTGTTGTCCAGGCTGGTCTCAAACTCTTGACCTCAGGTGATCTGCCTGCCTAAGCCTCCCAAAGTGCTGGGATTACAGGCATGAACCACCCCGCCTGGCCTGTTCCCCTTTCTACAGTTTTAAATATCATCCTTTTATTTTGGAGGAACTAAAAAGATTGAAGATTCCCCACCCAGAGGGTCACCACACAAAAAGTACCTGATGGTGTAAGATGATCATATGAAGAATAAGACTCCCAAGTTCTTTAAGGTTTGTGTTAGTCTCCAGAACTGTCCATTTCCCTCATAGGTTTCACAGAGAATTTACCTTGACCAGATCCCACATTGTAAAAGGAAATGTGTGTGATGGATTCATAAAGCATATAACATGACGTGTTCAGACGTCACCTCAGAACTTCCATTGTTTTCTTTTAAACAAACTTTTTATTATTATTATTTTTTAAATAGTTGCAGAGTCTCACTATGTTGCGCAGGCTGGTCTAAAACCATCCTCCCGCCTTGGCCTCTGAAAGTGTTGGGTTGAGTCACTGTGCCAGGCCTAATTAAACTTTTTCTTTCTTTTTTTTTTTTTTTTTTTTTTTTGAGATGGAGTCTCACTGTGTTGCCCAGGCTGGAATGCAGTGACGCAATCTTGGTTCACTGCAACCTCTGCCTGCTGGGTTCAAGTGATTCTTCTGCCTCAGCCTCCCAAGTAGCTGGGATTACAGGCACCTGCCACCACACCCGGCTGATTTTTGTGTTTTTAGTAGAAATGGGGTTTCACCATATTGGCCAGGCTGGTCTTAAACTCCTGACCTCAAGTGATCCACCTGCCTTGGCCTCCCAAAGTGCTGGGATTACAGGCGTGAGCCACCACGCCCGGCCCTAAATAAACTTTTTAAACCTTAATTTTTTTTCCCTTTTTTTTTTTTTTTTTTTTTTTGAGACAGTCTTGTTCTGTCACCCAGGCTGGAGTGTGGTGGCACAGTCTTAGCTCCCTGCAGCTTCCACCTCCTGGGTTCATGCGATTCTCCCTCAGCTTTCTGAGTAGGGGTTACTACAGGCACATGCTATCATGTCTGGCTAATTTTTGTATTTTTAGTAAAGATGGGGTTTCCCCATGTTGGCCAGGCTGGTCTTGAACTCCTGACCTCAATTGATCTGCCTGCTTCAGCCTCTCAAAGTGCTAGGATTACAGGCCTGAGCCACCAAGCCCAGCCTAAACCTTAATATTTGATTTTCAGAATAATGAGAAACATTTCTTGTGGTGTTAACTTTGTGTGTGCGCTGTTTTCAACAGTGCTTCCTCTGTCCCTGTCCCTGTCCCTGCTGCGTAAGTTGGTAACGTTTTGTGAATCAGCCTAGGACAGGTACCACTGTTTTTAGAATTCTTTCTTTTTTTTTTTTTTTGTATTTTTAATAGAGATGGGGTTTCACCATGTTAGCTAGGATGGTCTCGATCTCCTGACCTCGTGATCTGCCCGCCTCAGCCTCCCAAAGTGCTGGGATTACAGGTGTGAGCCACCGCGCCCGGCTTTAGAATTCTTTCTGGAGGGAAATGCATTGTAATTTCCTGGCTACCTTTTAGTATTAAAAAACTTTTGGAACATAGCTCATTGATAATATGCTATAGAAAGAGAGTCTTAGAGTTTCTCTGTCCAATTAAAGACAATTTCAAAAACCAACAAAAAGGCTTTCTCAGTTCCAGTACTCTTTTGTATTCATTAGATAGGGACAGTTTGGTTCAGACTACACCTGTGTGGGATATATCTTTACTGGTTTGTTTATTTATTTAATTTATTTATTTTTATTTATTTATTTTTGAGACGGAGTCTTGCTCTGTTGCCCAGGCTAGAGTGCAGTGGCGCAATCTCGGCTCACTGCCAGCTCTGCCTCCTGGGTTCACACCATCTCCTGCCTCAGCCTCCTGAGTAGCTGGGACTACAGGCACCCGCCACCACACCCGGCTAAATTTTTGTATTTTTAGTAGAGACGGCGTTTCACCATGTTAGCCAGGATGGTCTCGATCTCCTGACCTCGTGATCCATCCGCCTCCCAAAGTGCTGGGATTACAGGCGTGAGCCACCGCGCCCGGCCTTATTTTTTTTTTTTTGTGAGACAGAGTTTCACTCTTGTTGCCCAGGCTAGAGTGCAATGGGGCGATCTCGGCTCACCGCAACCTCCGCCTCCCAGATTCAAGCAATTCTCCTGCCTCAGCCTCCCAAGTAGCTGGGATTACAGGCATGCGTCACCACGCCTGGCTAATTTTGTATTTTTACTGGAGACAGGGTTTCTCCATGTTGGTCAGGCTGGTCTCGAACTCCCGACCTCAGGTGATCCCCCTGCCTAGGCCTCCCAAAGTGCTGGGATTACAGGTGTGAGCCACTGCACCTGGCCTATTGGTTTCTTTTTTTAAAAAAAAAAAAACTGTTTATGGCACTGTGGAGTCCCACCAGACAAACCATTAACTTAAGAAAATACTATTCTGCTCAGGAAAAAGAAAAAAATCGTAAAAATTAAATTTTGCATACATTTTCTTTATAACATGCATACTGTGTGTACTTTTTTTTTTTTTTTTTTTTGAGACAGAGTCTCGCTCTGTTGTCCAGCCTGGAGTCCAGTGGCACGATCTTGGCTTACTGCACCCTCTGCCTCCCGGGTTCAAGCGATTCTCGTGCCTCAGCCTCCTGAGTAGCTGGGACAACAGGCGTGTGCTACCACGCTCAGCTAATTGTTTTGTATTTTTAGTAGAGATGGGGTTTCATCATGTTGGCCAGGCTGGTCTCGAACTCCTGACCTCAAATGATCTGCCCGCCTCAGCCTCCCAAAGTGCCGGGATTACAGGTGTGAGCCATTGCGCCTGGCTTGTGTGTACTGTTGCCAGTATATATTTCTGTGTAATAATGTTCAGGGTTGTAAACAGAAAACCACATATAATGCACTTTAAGGGAGTATTTGCGGGATTTTCCAGAGAGTATGTTCATCCTGTTGCTCTGTAATGGTCATCATTTTGGGGCTAATGACTGCAGTTGCCGTGATTCAATTATGAACTTCCTTTTTAAGCATAATTTCTTTTTTTTGTTGTTGAGACAGAGTTTTACTCTGTTTCCCAGGCTGAAGTGCAGTGGCGTGATCTTAGCTCACTGCAACTTCTGCCTCCTGGGTTCAAGTGATTCTCCTGTCTCAGCTTCCCAAGTAGCTGGGATTACAGGCATGTGCCACCACACCCGGCTGATTTTTGTATTTTTAGTAGAGACGAGGTTTCACCATGTTGGCCAGGCTGATCTCAAACTCCTGACCTCAGGTGATTTGCCCACTTCAGCCTCCCAAAGTGCTGGGATTACAGGTATGAGCCACCGTGCCTGGCCTTTAAGCATAATTTCTATATAAACATTTAAAATGAAAGTTGCTGGAGTCTATCATGTTCATTATAGCAAATGCATGTCTTATTTTTGTTCCTTTCAAGAAGTTAGCTTCAATTAGGGAAGTTGTCAACAGAGAATTTTAAAATAATTTTTAGGTGAGTTTTCAAATGAAAAGGAAGAGACGTCTGCAAATGTCCTTTACTTATTCAGCTTCTGAAATACCTTACTTTTTATTTGCCTTTGATGTAATTTTTACATTGAGTTCCCAGATTGATTATCTAAAGCAGGAAAGGTAGAACTAATTCATTATCTAAAACAAGAAAGAACAAATTTCAAGTTAAAATAGCAGTGTTTTCAGCAAGAATTAAAAAAACGAGGTTTCACTTTCTCTGTAGAGGAAGAGTGGTGGGGTAAGACATTCAAGAAAGTTGTTCATTCGCATATTTCGAGAAGCATTGAGGTCCAATTGCATAAAAACGTATCTGCTGTCTCTAGCTTTGGCCTTTGAGGGAAGGATATAAGGGAATACTCAGGACAGGGGTAAAAAGAAAAAAGACCCTTAGCACCCGAGGCTTTCAAGATCACTCTTAATTAGTAACTTCCTTCCATCTCTCCTCTTCCCCTAACCCCCAGCGGCCCCCCCAATCTTCATGGGCCACAGGAGACTGTCAGGGTGTTCAGCCTGGTTTCTGTGCCGGGTTAGGTGTGGTGTCATAACACACAGAGGGACCTCAGGAGGACTAACCCTGTGGTCTGTGGATGGTGTGATGCCTCGGGAGCTGGGGTGACTGCAGGGGTGGGTGCCTAGTGGCACAGAGGGAAAGCAGGCAGCAAGTCCAGGGCCGTTATGCCAGCCACAGGTGGTGGGCTGTCTGAGGGAGCAGTGCCTTGCGGCAGTTCTAACCCGATTTCCCATGCCGAATGCCCTGGTGGGTACTTCGGGGGTTTGATAAGAAAAGAGAGTAGTTTCTTCTGTGTTTTCATGGAAAGGAGTTTTCTCACAGGCATAATCTTGAGTGTCTACTCAAGATTTGGGAACATTTCACATGTATGTATTACGGTTTGTGACCAAAGACTCTGGATAAAAGGAGGATTTATATCAGAATTATAGGAAGAGCTGTCATGCTGTACCATGGAGACCTGTGTGTGGGTGGTGAGAAGATTCAACAAGAAAAATAAGGTCTGGGCACTGGCATGTCTGGGTGCTGCTGCGGGCTGGGGAGAGGAGCCTGTTGCATTTAAGAAAGATTTGCCTTTTCATCACCATGTCTCCAGAATAGGCATGGTGCCTGGGGCCCTACAGAGGCAGCTCAGCAACTGTGGAGGGAATAATGGATTGAACCAAGTTCCATCTTGTAAAAAGTTAATATGTGGTGAGTTTGAGTTTTTTTCCTCAACTCTCCATTTCAAACAGAAACCAGAACACTTCTGTGCATGTTTGACCCCATGCAGAACCCGTTTTCTTTGTTTTTCTATGATATGGATGACTTCCATTATTCTCAAACTTAGTTACTAACTTACTGATTTGCCTTTATTGAAAAGAACACAATTATTTACAGTGAACACCTTCTTAGAAAATCTGGAACATAAGGTTGCCATAATTATACACACTTTGTGGTCTTTAAGATATATTCTCAGGGTGACATGAACATGTCAGAGTATAAACATTTTTAGAATTCTTGATGTCTGGTGCCAACTTTTTCCAAAAGGGCTGCACCAATTTACTCTTTTCTTAGCAATGTATCAGTACACGTACCTGTAATAGTGCAAATGTGCCCTCAGTGAGGATCAACATTTTAAAAGTTTTTTTTTAAAACAAACAAGCAAACAAACTGAATTTGGTGGTTACAAAATGGTGACTTATTAAATCTACTGATCACTAGCTGGATTGAAAAAAATTTTTATTTTGCATATTTGTGTATTATGAACTGGCTACATCATAAGAAATGATGGTTTATTTACTTAACTTAGGTTAACTCTTTTCTATCAAATAAAGTGATTTACAGGTTTTTGTCACTGTTTTAAGCATGGGGAAAATGTGTATCAGTTTTGACTGGGGTTTAGGTTAGATTTTGGCTAATTGTAACAGTCGTTTACCTTTCTTTTAATTTTTCTTTTAAAGATGAAAGATCTCTCAACCCATATATTGTCTTCTGGCCAACTACAAAATGTTTCCTTACGAGAAGAAATTGTGAATTAAATAGATTTTTAGAAAATTTAATTTAATTTAATTTTTTTTTTTTTTTTGAGATGGAGTCTTGCTCTGTCGCCCAGGCTGCAGTGCAGTGGCACAATCTCGGCTCACTGCAACATCTGCCTCCCGGGTTCAAGCAATTCTTGTGCCTCAGCCTCCTGAGTAGCGGAATTACAGGCGCACGCCACCATGCCCTGCTGATTTTTGTATTTTTAGTAGAGATGGGGTTTCACCATGTTGGTAAGGCTGGCCTCAAACTCCTGACCTCAGGTGATCCGTCCGCCTCGGCCTCCCAAAGTGCTGGGATTACAGGCGTGAGCCACCGCTCCTGGCCAGTAGATTTTTTTTTTGAAACTATAATTTTTCTTTTAATTAAATAGAGCAGGGTCTCACTGTGTTACCCAGGCTGGTCTTGAACTCCTGGCCTCAAGTGATTCTCCTGCCTTGGCTTCCTAAAGTACTAGGATTACAGGCATGAGCCACCACACCTTCCTGTGAATTAAACAGATTGTATTGGTCTGGGTTATAATGATAAACTGTTCAGTTTCAGGCTGGGCATGGTGGCTCATGCTTGTAATCCCAGCACTTTGGGAGGTCGAGGTGGGCAGATCGCTTAAGCTCAGGAGTACAAGAGCAGCTTGGGCAACATGGTGAAAACCCATCTCTACTAAAATACAAAAAAAAATTAGCCGGGTGTGGTGGTGCCTGCCTGTGATCCCAGCTACTCAAGAGGCTGAGTCACTAGAATCGCTTGAACCTGGGAGGCGGAGGTTGCAGTGAGCTGAGATCGTGCCACTGTACTCCTGCCTGGGCAACAGAGTGAGACCATGTCTCAAAAACAAAACAGGCCAGGTGTGGTGGCTCACGCCTGTAATCCCAACACTTTGGGAGGCCAAGGTGGCCGGATCATGAGGTCAAGAGATCGAGACCATCCTGGCCAACATTGTGAAACTCTGTCTCTAATAAAAATAAAAAAATCAGCTGGGTGTGGTGGTGCACGCCTGTAGTCTCAGCTATTCAGGAGGCTAAGGCAGGAGAATTGCTTGAACCTGGGAGGCGGAGGTTGCAGTGAGCCGAGATCGCGCCACTGCACTCCAGCCTGGCGACAGAGTGAGACTCCATCTCAAAAAACAAAAACAAAAACGAAACAAAACAAAACACTTCAGTTTCTGGAATCTTATGGCTCATACCTGCTCCTTTCTAAATGTTCCATGTGTTAATCAAAAGAGATTATGTCAAACAGATTTTTTCTTCAGTATTTCTTGCATTCACGATCAGTTAGGACACTTATTCTATAGTAAGAATTAGAAGATTGCCTTCTTATTTCAAGTATGGGGGGCACACATCATAGGTCATTTGGAACAGGAGAGATGAAAGGGATGAAACATCTCTGTGTATTGTGCTGGACCGGTGGAAGACTTCAACTTGAGAGCCGTGTCGAGTCTGGTCGAGTCTGCTTTCCTGTTATTGTTCCACACCTTTCCTGCTCTCCTCTCCAAGATGAAAGTCTTCAGAGTGGGCTTCTAAAGAAAAGAACTTTGCCTGAACCTGTCCATTTGCTCCGTTGCCACACTACTTGATTGTCTCTAATTATTGTTGCAATTTAGTTTCAGTTGCAATCATAGAGGCATGGAGGAGGTGGAAAATTATTTAGAAATGATCAAGAAGTGAATCCCACATCCTCTGAAACTGCTGGTAATGTTGTTTTGCTTCTCTGTTTGCATTAACTTCAGAAAAACACAAAAGCAGTGAAGGGTATGTAGGGGATTTCTATGACTCCTCATTATCCAGGATAGCGTGACATTGTATATTTCTGCTTTTATGGTAGTGAGATGGTTATTAGCTGCTTTCTTTAGTGACTGAATTTTATAGTAAGGGCCAGGATAATACCTTCCTTATCCAAGTCTTTATATTTTCCACCTTTTCTTTTCTTTCTTTTTTTTTTTTTTTTTAAGATGGAATCTCGCTCTGTCACCAGGCTGGAGTGCAATGGCGCAATCTCAGCTCACTACAACCTCCAACTCCCTGGTTCAAGCAAATCTCCTGCCTCAGCCTCCCAAGTAGCTGGGATTACAGGTGCATGCCACCATGCCCAGCTAATTTTTGTATTTTTGTTAGAGACAGGGTTTCACCGTGTTGGCCAGGATGGTGTCTATCTCCTGACCTTGTGATCTGCCTGCCTCGGCCTCCCAAAGTGCTGGGATTACAGGTGTGAGCCACCGCACCTGGCCTTCTTTTTTCTTTGAGACAGTCTTGCTGTGTCGTCCAGGTTGGAGGGCAGTGGCGTGATCTTGGCTCACTGCAACCTCTGCCTCCTGGGTTCAGGCATTTCTCATGCTTCATCCACCTGAGTAGCTGGGATTATAGGCATGTGCCACTGTACCTGGCTTATTTTTACATTTTTATTTTATTTTATTTTTCAGACAGGGTCTTGCTCTATTGCCCAGGCTGGCATGCAATGGCATAATCTCAGCTCTCTTAACCTCTGCCTCCCAGGTTCAGGCAGTTTACCTGCCTCAGCCTCCTGAGTAGCTGGGATTACAGGCGGGCACCACCATGCCTGGCTAATTTTTGTATTTTTAGTAGAGATGGGATTTTGCCATGTTGGGCAGGCTGGTCCCAAACTCCTGGCCTCATGTGATCTGTCCACCTCGGCCTCCCAAAGTGCTGGGATTACCGATGTGAGCTACTGCGCCTGGCCAGTTTTTGTATTTTTAGGAGAGACGGTGTTTCACCATGTTGGCCATGCTGGTCTTGAACCCCTGAGCTCAAGGAATATGCCTGCCTTGGCCTCCCAAACTGCTGGGATTACAGGTATGAGCTCCCGCACTTGGCCATTTTCTACCTTTTCTTGAGTCTTCAAGGCTTCTATTTCAGAAGCGTGCCCTTACCTGGCATTGTTAAATCTATGTTGTAATTAGTAGTGTTAGGTATGAATGATGGAATTGGCTAAGGCTATTAAAAAAACCTATTTTCAGTCGGGCTCTGTGGCTCACACCTGTAATCCCAGGCCGAGGCAGGCGGATCACAAAGTCAAGAGATCGAGACCATCCTGGCCAACATGGTGAAACCCCATCTCTACTAAAAATATAAAAATTAGCCAGGCGTGATGGCGCACGCCTGTAGTCCCAGCTACTTGGGAGGCTGAACAAGGAGAATCGCTTGAACCCGGGAAGTGGAGATTGCAGTGAGCCGAGGTCACACCACTGCACTCCCGCCTGGGTGACAGAGTGAGGCTCCGTCTCAAACAAAACAAAACAAAACAAAACAAAAAAAACCCGCCTATTTTGTAGTAATATCACAGATTTCTTTGTTTTTTTTTTTTTCTTTTCTTTTCTTTTCTTTTTTTTTTTTTTGGAGATGGGAATTTTGCTCTTGTTGCCCAGGCTGGAGTGCAGTGGCACAATTTCGACTCACTGCATCCTCCACCTCCCGGGTCAAGCAATTATTCTGCCTCAGCCTCCCAAGTAGCTGGGATTACAGACACCCGCCACCATGCCTGGCTAATTTTTGTATTTTTCTTTTTTTTTTTTGAGACGAAGTCTTGCTGTGTCGTCAGGCTGGAGTGCAGTGGTGCGATCTCGGCTCACTGCAACCTCTGACTCCCTGGCTTAGGTGATTCTCCTGCCTCAGCTTCCCGAGTAACTAGGATTACAGGTACACGCCACCATGCCCAGCTCAGTTTTGTATGTTTAGTACAGACGGGGTTTCACCATGTTGGCCAGGATGGCGTCTATCTCCTGACCTCGTGATCCACCCACCTCGGCCTCCCAAAGTGCTGGGATTACAGGCATGAGCCACTGTGCCTGGCCAATTTTTGTATTTTTAGTAGAGACGGAGTTTCACTATGTTGGCCAGGCTGGTTTAGAACTCCGAACCTCAGGGGATCCACCTGCCTCGGCCTCCCAAAGTGTCAGAATTACAGGTGTGAGCCACTGCATCCGGCTCGCAGATTGGTTTCTATGAGTAGTTTGTAATGGTTTATTCAGTCAACAAGCATGAGTGATCATTTCATACCATGTAGTCCCTGTTGTCACCGATGCTTTGAGTCTAGAAGGAGGAGACAAACATGGCAGCAAGCTGTGAAGGAGCGTGTCACAGTAGATGTGGCAGGTGTGTGCATGAAAAATGTAGGTAAACCAAGGAGAGCAGTGCCAGTTCCACTGGCGCTGGGATGGCACTGGATTGGCCAGGGGAGAGTTTGTAGAGGAGCTGGCCCTTGGGCTGGATTGTGAAAGATGAGTTAGTGCCAAGTAGGAGAACATTGCAAAGAAGTATATATCAAAGCAAAGAGAATGAGAGGACAGGAGGTGTGAAGCAGTTTCGCCACTTGGGGAGCTACAAATGGTTCTTTGTGCCTGGAGAGTAGGCTGTGAGCAGAGGGAGGAGGCCAGAGGCAGGGTTAGAGAAATGGGGGACAGTTATGGGGGGCTTCAGTATGTGTTGTTACACAGGACTTATTCTGTGGGACACGGAGCTATGAGAGGGTTTAAACCAGGGATATTTTATGCTGATTATTTTGCTTTTTTTTTTTTTGAGACATAGTCTTGCTCTGTTGCCTAGGCTGGAGTGCAGTGGCGTGATGTCAGCTCACTGCAACTTCTGCCTCCTGGGTTCAAGTGATTCTCGTGCCTCAGCCTCCTGAGTAGCTGTGATTACAGGCATGTGCCACCACACCTGGCTAGTTTTTGTATTTTTAGTAGAGACTGGGTTTTGCCATGTTGGCCAGGCTGGTCTTGATCTCCTGGCCTCAAGTGATTTGCCAACCTCCATCTCCCAAGGTGCTGGTGTGAGGCACTGCGCCCGTTCTTTTTTTTATTTTTATTTTTTATTTTTGCCAAGAGGGGGAAGGGAGAGAGAAAGGAAGCAGGTGGAGGCAAGGAGAGGGAGAAGCAGAGCATTCTGTTGCATTTTAGAAAGATTCTTCTGACTTAGTGTGGCTCAGATTGGCAGTGGAGAGACCCTTAAGGAATTTTTGGAGATAGGTGAGCTAGGTGATGAGGGCTTGAATTCAGGCTGTGGGAGTAGGAGGTAGGAGAGAAAAAATACAGGACCAGTGAAGGACATGAAATTGATGGATTTGGTTGCCAGTGTTTGGGAGGGACATAGCATTGAAAGGAGATGAAAGAGACAGGGTGACGAAGGTGAGCACCAGGTTTCTGTCTTTGGATGACTGCTTGGAGAGTTTCCATACTGAGAATAGGACTTCGGTTTTGGACGTAATCTCTGGAGTTTTGTGGTACTTGTACAGTGTCCACTTTGAGAGACCCATTTAAATAGTTGAATTTGAACCTGCAACTCCAGAGATGATCAACGCAGGAGTGGGAGTGGAACCCAGGGAGTGGGTGATGCCACGGGCTGATTGAGGAGTCCAAGGATGTCGTCTTGGAATACCACCACTGAAGGGCTGGGTAGAGGAAGAGATCTGAAAGGGAAACTTTGAAGGCAAATGTATATAACTCTTCAGGTAACTAGATGGTAAATGGAAAGAGAGAGAGGGCAGGAGCTGGAAGTTGCAGAGTGGAGAGCTTTTTGTATTTTTCTGGGGGATATTAAGAGTATTTATAGACTCCTTTTTATACCTTTGGACAATGATTCCGAGCCAGTCTTGAATGAAAACATTCATATGTGATGTGTTGTAAACCTCCAGGACGATCGGTCTCACATTTCATTTTGTCTGTTCTGGCTTCTGTACACAGCAGCTGCAGACTATATGTGTTTTTGAAACCTGTTTAACTTCCTTTCTTTTGTGTTCTCTAATTCTCTGAAATATTATTTCCAACAGCCCTAAGATTGAAATTAAGAGAACGTTTGAATCTTAGCTGCATTCTGGCATTTTCAAGTGCTTCCTGCACATTTCCCCTTGGATATCCCATCATTGTCCAAGATTCAGCATGTCCGAGACTTGCTCCTGGCCCTTTCATTCTGGTGTTACCTCTAGACCTCTCTAATTTTTAAACTTTTATCACCATTCACTTATCACTGCAATCATTATGGCTTGAAAAAAACACTGGATTCTTTTTCTTGCCATTTAAATTGTTTCCCATCTATCCAACCATCCGTTTGTTCATCTATTCAACCATCCGTTTATTCATCTATTCAACCATCCATTTGTTCATCTATTCATCCATTTGTTCATCTATTCATCCGTTTGTTCAGACTTTTTAAATTCTTTGTGTCAGGGTATTTGCTTTATGCTCAGGCTGTGAAGAATTTTAAGATATAGGCCCTGCTTTCCAGAAGCTCACAGTGTAGGGCGGTTCACGTGGAAATTTGCTATGGTGGAAATACCAACAAATGCTATGGGAGCCTGGGGACTTTCAGCTTTCACTGTGTTCTGAGTGAGATGTACTTTAAAAAAAATGGTTTTAAAAAATTTAGACATGGGGATTCACTATGTTGATCAGGCTGGTCTTGAATTCCTGGCCTCAAGCAGTCTTCCCATCTCGGACTCCCAAAGTGCTGGGATTACAGGCGTGAGACACCATGCCCGGCTGAGACGTACTTTTGAGCAAACCCAACAGGCAGTTACCTACTGGGATGAAGTGAGATGGGAACATGCCAGAGTAGGTGTCACTGCTCTAGCTGTTCCCACACTAGCAGTTAACTGCTTGCTGCACATGAAGTTCATTGCTGAACATTTTTCGTAAGTTCTCATTGAACCCTCACAGTTACCCTGTGGGTGGCAACAAATACTGTACTGATTTTATAGGTGAGGAAATGGAGAAGTAGAGAGATTCTAAAGGGACATAGCTGCTGAGTGGTTGAGCTGGCACCACAAGCTAGATTTCTCAGGCTCCATGCACAGGCCATGCTTTGAATGGGCTTTTTCTATACTGGCTGCTCATTCACACCCCCCTCTTCATTTTTATGTCTTGTACTTTTACATACCTTATATGCTATTTATGTCTTTTCATTGTTTTTTCTTTTTCTCAGACCTCTCAGAGATGAATTTATGTACTTTCTAAACGTTCTTTCTTCTGGGAGTGGATACAGAGTTTTGTATCTTGATATAGTTTGGACAGAGTTTTGGTTAAACCTGTGTTGCTGGTTATTAAACACATTTACATTGAAAGAGCCATTGTTAATCTTAGGGTTGAAATTTGAGGAGTTTGTAGGATCATGCAGTAAAGGCAGTATCTTTTTCCTTAATCCCCCGGGTAGCATTTAGTTTAGGGGCTGCTGTTTCCTTCCAGGGACTCTGGTAAACTGGGTTTGATGTTGTGGCAACAAGAATTACTCAGCCTGGCCTTTGATGATTCCCTGGAGCCAGAACATGTTTTGTGGTTGGGCCACTAGAATTTATGAGAAATCCAGGTAACCAGGTAAAGGTTAACGAATCTTACTGAGCTTGTCTCTCAGCCATTTTCAGGGGTCTTTTCATGGCTTCTCTTAGCCTTTTTGCCCTTTATGACTAAATAAAAAGGCTGCTGAAAGAACTCATTTAACAGTGAGACAGGAGAACACTAGCAGAATAATGTTTCTTCCAGGGAGTTACAGAGCAGCTCCCAGAGTCTTCCTGCCCGAAGTCCTGACTTGGAAGCTTTGTCTCCTGCTAGAGGAGGGGCTGGCTTTTTTTTTTTTTTTTTTTTTTCTGTAGAGATGGGATCTCACTATGTTGCCCTGGCTGGTCTCAAACTCCTGGGCTCAGACGATCCTCCCACCCCCAAAGTGCTGGGATTACAGGTTTGAGCCACCGTGCACAGCCTAAGGCTGGTTTTTGACAGGGCCTCATTGGAATGTGAGTACTGTGGTAGGGTCACCAAGGATCTCAAGACAAGACCCTCTAGCTTTGCAGGTTCAAAAATAGACTTTAGGACTTGGATTTGTGCCACTTTATTCATGCTATTGCAGGATTTAAAAAAAATCAAGTTGTGATCATTTGCCTGCTCTCAGCTCAGCTGTGGACTCTGGTTCTTGGGGAGCACATCCAGGGAGCCCTGGAAACACCACTGTCTTGTGCTGTGGCACCTCTTGGTGTTTGTCTTCTGGGGGACCATCTGGGGGACCATCCTGACTAAACCTTCTGTTTAGTCAGGACAGCAAACTGACAATAAAATAGAGTCAGATACAGCTTTTGAGGGCTTGCCATTTGTTTTGCTTGGCATTGAAACCCTCTTGGACTTCTGAATAGCCCACTTCAGGCTTGTCTCCTCTACTCCACACTGGCTTTTACTGATTTATTGAAGACGGAGACTTCTTCAACTTGTTCTCTAACTTTGACAAAGACTTCTGCGATTTCTCTGTGTCCAGACTGCAGTGACAAAGCATGGAGGAAATTAAATTCTAAAAAGATTTTTAGAATTATAATTGAAATATTTATTTTATGGGTTTATGATATCCCAAAAGAAATAGGGATTCCAACCTAGACTTTGGGGTCTACCTTTAGAAGGAGCCCCGTTTTCTGGGTGTGTTCCATGGTCCACTGAGGAAGGCTTCTCTTTGAGTCTACTGATGCCTCAGGGAGGGCCTCCCGGTGATCCTGCTCCTGTTCCTTGGGACCCATCAGGGATACCCATGCCCCTCTGCTCATGCACTCAGCAAACTCCTTGCGGTGCTTGGTACACACCAGGCACGCTCCCCAGCTCGGGCCTTTCTCCAGCTATTCACTGTGCTAGGGATGCTTTTCCTCCAAATAACCTCATGCTCAGTTCCCGCACTCTCTCGACAAGACTTCCCCTGTTTGCTTGAGCAGCCAGTGCCCCCCTCCTCTCTGCTTGCCACCCTTACCCTGCTTGACTCCCAATAATGCTCATCCCCCGGGAACCTACTCATTATGTTTATTACGCATGGTCAGTCTTCTCCAGCTGAAGTGGAAACTCCACAAGGCAGGAATCTTCATCCCTTTTGTTACTCTCCCCTATCCCATGTGCATGCCAGAAACAGGGCCTGGCACATTGTAGGCTCTCAGAGCTTGTTGACTGAATCATTAAATCCATGCTCCCCCACTCCCTCTGCTTTTGATATAGAAACAAAGGTCACTGAAATTGCTCATGGAAACTTGGGAGTTGCAGTTAAAATAGATCCCTCTTACCTCGTGCATACATCTAATTTCATTCTTCCATTATTTTGGGGTTTATATATAAGCCTGGTTCTTGCTGAAACTGCTTATGTTGATAACCAGTTAGTGAGTTCCTCACTGTTGACTTGCTGGGAAGTTTATAGAGACATTTTTTATGCATTCAGAGATTTCAGTACAAATCTTGAAAAAGGGACATTTAGGCCGGGCGCGGTGGCTCACATCTGTAACCCTAGCACTCTGGGAGGCTGAGGTGGGTGGATCATGAAGTCAAGAGATAGAGACCATCCTGGCAAAAATTAGCTGGGCGTGGTGGGGTGCGCCCGTAGTCCCAGCTACTCAGGAGGCTGAGGCAGGAGAATTGCTTGAACCCAGGAGGCGGAGGTTTCATTGAGCCGAGATAGTGCCACTGCACTCCAGCCTGGACAACAGAGCAAGACTGTGTCTTAAAAAAAAAAAAAAAAGACATTTAGATGGAAATATTATTTTATGGTATTAGTTGTGAGCTTATAAAAAGAAGAAAATGATTATTCTATGTTTTGTTTTTTCTTTGAGACAGACTCTCGCTCTGTCACCCAGGCTGGAGTGCAGTGATGGGATCTTGGCTCACTGCAACCTCTGCCTCCCGGGTTCAAGCGATTCTCCTGCCTGAGCCTCCCGAGTAGCTGGGACTGCAGGCGCACACCACTGTGCCTGGCTAATTTTTTTATTTTTGGTAGAGACAGGGTTTGGCCATGTTGGCCAGACTGGTCTCAAACTCCTGACCTCAAGTGATGTGCCTATCTCAGCCTTCCAAAGTGTTGGGATTACAGGCGTGAGCCACTGCGCCTGGCCTATTCTATGTTTGAAAGATGAGTGTAGCAAATAAATTCTTTAAGAGGAGGCTAGCATACTTTCCCCCTTATCCATGGTTTCACCTTCCATGGTTTCAATTATCTGCAGTTAGCTGTGGTTTGAAAATATGTGAGTATAGTACAAGGAAATATTTTGAGAGACTACATTCACGTAACTCTTATTACAGCATATTTTATAGAACAACTTATTGTTCTTTATTATTTATTATAATGTTCTTTATTATTAGTTTATTATTAATCTCTGCCTACTTTATAAATTTTATCATAGGTATGTATGTATAGGAACAAACATGTTGTATATAGGGTTCACTACTATTTGTGGTCTAGGCATCCGTGGGGGGTCTTGGAAAGTATCCCCTGTGGATAAGGAGGGACTACTCTATAACCTACAGTAAGGTGATTTGTGGTGTGAATCCACTTTATTCTAGGAAGTATTAAGGTGTTTGACAAATGTGTATATAAATGTGTGTATCTTGAGAGGGATTAAAAGTCTTTTTTTTTTTTTTGGCACGGCCTCGGCTCACTGCAACCTCTGCCTCCTAGGTTTAAGCGATTCTCCTGCCTCAGCCTCCCAAGTAGCTGGGACTACAGGCATATGCCACCACTCCTGGCTAATTTTGTATTTTTAGTAGAGACAGGGTTTTACCACGTTGGCCAGGCTGGTCTCGAACCCCTGACCTCAGGTGATCCACATACCTCTTCCTCCCAAAGTGCTGGGATTACAGGCGTGAGCCACCGTGCCTGGCCAAAAGTCTTTTTTTGAGATTAAAAACATCCAGAAAGCAGCCGGACGGACATTTCCATTGTATTAGTTTCCTGTTGCTGCCATAACAAATTATCACAAATTTAGTGGCTTAAGACAATATACATTATTATCTTACAGTTTGGAGGCCAGAAGTCTGGAATGGGTCTCACTGGGCCAAAATGTATTTCAGCAGGGTTGTGTTTCTTTCTGGAGGCTCTAGGGAAAGATCTACTTCCTTACCTTTCCAGCTTCTAAAGGCTGCCCACACTCCTTGGCTCTTAGCTCCTTCCTGCATCTTCAAAGCCAGCAGTGGCTGATTGAGTCTCACCTCTCATCACTCTGACACTGATTGTCCTGCCTCCCTCTTCCATTTGGAAGAATCCGTGTGCCCACTTGGATACTCTAGGATAATCTCCCTCTTCTAAAGTTGGCTGATTAGGAGATGTAATTCCATCTGCAATCTTAATCCCCTTTTGCCATGGAATTTAACATGTTCACAGGTTCCAGTGATTAGGACATGTATATCTTTGGGACCATTATCCTGCCGACTACATCTATACATCTACCTTAGTGCCTTTGCCCATGGAATGTTTCTTGTGAGAATGGGCAGTTTAATCCTTCCTGCATATCATTTTCTTCTTATGGAAGTGTGCCTCATGGGTATTAAGTATTGCAGTACTTTGTAGACTTTGTCTGACTTCGTGAAGCATTTCTAGTTTTAGAAGAGTGCTCCTAATTCAAAGGTAGGGGAAGGCATGTGCAAAAAAGCCGCCCTTTCCACTCTATATTCTGCTGATCAGCAACACTATTTGTCATCAAATTACCGGAACAGAGACTATCTTGAGTCAGAAGGTTATGTTGTTGCTCTCTGTTCTTAGGAATGTTTTTGTACTCTGAGAGTAAAGATAATTTTTCCTGTTGTCAGGTAATGGAAATGTCCCTGAACAATGGACCTTGATAGGAAAAAGAAGTTTATTATTCTAGAAGATGTTGGCACAACATTATTTGGTAATTATTTTTCCAGAAATCTGCTGTTTTCCCCCATGTCACATGATGGACACCTCATTGTATGGAGGAAGCAGGCCAGATGCTGTTACTCTTTCAAACGTTTATGTTAAAGGCTCATTTGGTTTAATTTCCACTCAGAATAGATGTTAAGGATACAAAACCAAATGTCTAGCTGACTACTACTGTTCTTTCCCTTTCCTGCTCTTGCTTTGGACTACTGTTTTCTCAAACGTATAAATGTGTGTGTATAGCATTCTAATAAGAGGAATTTAAGCTTTAAAAAGTTTTTAAAAATAACACTCTTTTTTTTTTGTTTTTGAGACGGAGTCTCGCTCTGTCCCCCAGGCTGGAGTGCAGTGGCGTGATCTCGTCTCACTGCAAGCTCCGCCTCCCGGGTTCACGTCATTCTCCTGCCTCAGCCTCCCAAGTAGCTGGGACTACAGGTGCCCGCCACCACGCCCGGCTGATTTTTTGTGTTTTTAGTAGAGACGGGGTTTCACCGTGTTAGCCAGGCTGGTCTGGATCTCCTGATCTCGTGATCCGCCCGCCTCGGCCTCCCAAAGTGTTGGGATTACAGGCGTGAGCCACCGCGCCTGGCCCCTGCCTCTTGATTTTTAAAGAGGTTTTAATAAGCTTTGAGTAGTGTGAGTGCTTTTAGTTCCCTGTATTATCACGTTCCCAAGGTCAATTGATTTTAACACAAAAATAGGTTACACATCACCCCATTCCAGCCTAGAGCAGGACTAGAAAAAGCAGTTCCTGTGAGAATTAGTTCCCCTTGGAGATCTGAAACTTGAAATCTGAAAACAAGAACCTCTTGAGTTGGGACTCAGAAGGTGGGGAACTGCTGTTGTGTACCAGAATGTGTGCACAAGGGTGTTTATTGTAGCATTGCTATGTGACTGAAAACTTGGAAATCGCGAGGCTGGGCGCGGTGGCTCACACCTGTAATCCAGCACTTTGGGAGGCCGAGGTGGGTGGATCACAAGGTCGGGAGTTCGAGACCAGCCTGACCAACATGTTGAAACTCTGTCTCTACAAAAAATACAAAAATTAGCCGGGTGTGGTGGTGCATGCCTGTAGTCCCAGCTACTCAGGAGGCTGAGGCAGGAGAATCACTTGAACCCGGGAGGTGGGTATCCCATTTATCAAGAAAATATATAGAGACTGTCTCTGACTTATGGTTGACTTTACGATGGGTTTATTGGGAAGTAACCCCATTGTAAGTTGAGGAGCATCTGGGATATATTTTGATTTTGAGAAGTGATGTCATCAGACTTACTTGATACCTGTAACTTTTAGAAAGATAAGTATATGATGCTTTTTGTGTAAAATTACTTTTTCACTTCTATTTAAAAGTCTTAAGTTCTGTTGTAATGCGATTTTTGATTTTCTAGTGTTTAGAAAAGAGGGTTTTAAGATAGTAGAATGTTGTTGCTTTCTTTTAAACTATATATATACATATATATACATATATATGTATGTGTATATATATATACATATATATATACATATATATGTATGTATATATATATATACATATATATACATATATATGTATATATATATACATACATATATATACATATATATATGTATGTATATATATATACATATATATATGTATGTGTATATATATATATATACACATATATATATGTATGTGTGTGTATATATATATATATATATATATATATATAAACCTGCTATTTGGATAGAGGCCAGAATTAAAACATCAGTAGTCAAAAGAGGGAATTCAGTGTTTCTTGAGTTTTTAGCTTTATATGTCTAAATTTGTAAAATTCAACCATGTATTTTCCGTTCCACATGGGCACCTTTTGCAATTGTGGTAGCAGATGTCCTAGGCAGATGAACATGCAGAAGTGGTTTGTTTAGCCTTCCCTTTTAAAGTTCGTAATCTAGTAAATTTGGGTTAGAATGGTGGTTCCCATACTTGACTAACCCGCAGAATCCCTGGAGGAATCTTTCAAAAAAGCCATTTATTCTGGTTCCTTACTCTAGCCATACCAAACGTACCAGGGCAGATCCAGGAATGAGTGAATGAATAAATACGTACATACATGCACATGCTTGTACACACATGCACACAAATATACTTCTAATGCCCCTAAATTTGGGGACCCCAGGTGTGGAAACTCACGCTTCAGAACCTCTAACTGTTCTCTCCAAGGTCACATCACACAGGCAGGCTCTGGCTTGAGTTGGCCTGGCCAGAGATGCTTCCCTTCATTTCCCGTGTTGAGTGTATAAAATGATTTCACAAGAATTTGTGCGTCCATGATTGTAGGAAGGGATGGCTGAGTGTTGAATGCATTTCCTCAGCTGTAACTATCTAATTTATGTGGTTTTGCTTTAAGCCATTCAGTATTCCGCTTGGAGGGTTTTGAACTTACAGAGGTTTTTAAGAAGAGGCTCAACAGATGAAAGAAGCAAGAATAACCAACCTTGGATTTTTGTTTTTACTCCTTTATTATAGCTACCAAGTATATAGCTACCTACCCACTTTAGCTTCCCCATGTGTCTTTGTGTGGTTTTCTGTTTTGTTCCTTTTAAGAGATACCGTCTCTTTATGTTGCAGCTGTTGCTAGGCAGCCAGTGGCCAGGTGCCAGTTTTAGAGCCCTGATCTGTACAACAGTGAGGAAGCAACCTAAAAAGACCCCTTTGCCTACCCCGTTGGATGAAAGAGAGGCTTGGCGCTGGGATGTAGACTGCTAGGCGCATGAGACCTACGAAGAACTGAGGCTGCGTCCACTTACCCAGAGTGTCTTTGGAGAGTACCTTTTAGTCCTTCCTCGGGGCAGTTGCCATATAGTCTGAAAATGAAGCCACCTCAGGCAGTGGGCTTCGATTGGCTACAATTGTGCCCTTCTTACTTTAGCACTTTGGCAAACATTGAGAAAATTATTATTATGGAAATTTTCTTTCTGTTTTGAGACAGGATCTCACTCTGTTGACCAGGCTGGAGTGCAGTGGTGTTGTCATAGCCCACTGCAACCTCGATCTCCTATGCTTAAGCAATCCTCCCACCTCAGCTTCCTGAGTAGCTAGGGCCACAAGCACATGCCATAACTCCGTGGATGCCGAAAGTAGATAACGAGACCTACTGGATCAGAATGAGGCAGATTAGTACACATCGCACAGCAAATAGCAGGAATATCAGCATGAAAGTGCTGGTGCCCCTGACCTCAAGTCTCGTGGGGTGACATGATGGGCCCAGATGATGTCTATGCATGAATTGGGTTTGCCTACAGCTGAGGAACCAAGGACCACCAAGGACTTAGCACTTTCCTTTCTTTTTTTCTTTCTTTTTTGTTTTTTTGAGATGGAGTTTCGAGTTTCACTCTTGTTGCCCAGGCTGGAATACAATGGTGCAATCTCGGCCCACTGCAACCTCCTCCGCCTCCTGGGTTCAAGCAATTCTCTTGCCTCAGCCTAGCGAGTAGCTGGGATTACAGGCATGCACCACCATGCCCGGCTAATTTTTTATTTTTAGTAGAGACGGGGTTTCTCCATGTTTGTCAGGCTGGTCTCGAACTCCTGACCTCGGGTGATCTGCCTGCCTCGGCCTCCCAAAGTGCTGGGATTACAGGCGTGAGCCACCACACCGGGCCTGGGCTTAGCACTTTTTATAGCAAGTGATAGACAGGCCAGGCTTCTTCTCCTCAATGGGGGCATGTCATGCTACAGTCTCCTTGACCAACTTCATGTCGCCAGCTACAAGAAGACAGACCTTGCAGTTTGGCACTCTCAGCAAGGACATGCAGGGATGCTTGGGGCCTCGGCCAAAGGCAGCATGATATAGATGGAGCATAGTTTAATTAATCATCCTGTCTTGTTATTTAGAAGTTTCCACTTTGTTCCTGTAAGAAAGAATCCTGTAACATTCTTGTGGATAAAGTTTTGCTCACATTTCCAGTGATTTTCTTAGGCTAGATTCCTGTAAGTGGACTTACTGGGTTAGGGAGTTTAACTTTGTAGTCTCTTGATATGTACTGCCAAATGGGTTTTCAGAAAGTGTGAATCAGTTTACACCTCATACCAGTATATGATGATACTTGTTAATTTATCCTTCCTGACATTGAATTACTATTTTTTTAAACTTTTTTTTGAATTTTTTTTTTTGAGGCAGAGTCTTGCTCTGTCACCCATGCTGGAGTGCAGTGGTGCGATCTTGGCTCACTGCAACCTCCACCTCCCTGGTTCAAGCAATTCCCCTGCCTCAGCCTCCCAAGTAGCCATGCCTGGCTAATTTTTTTTGTATTTTTAGTAGAGAAGGGGTTTCACCATGTTGGCCGGACTGGTCTTAAACTCCTGACCTCAGGCAGTCTGCCCGCCTCAGCCTCCCAAAGTGCTGAGATTCAGGCATGAGCTACTGCACCCGGCTGAATATTTTTTTAATCTTTTGGGTTGCTGATATAATTAAAATTTTTTCCTGCCTCTCTCAGCATTGGCAGAATGAACTTTGTTCTAAGAACCTCGGCTAGTGTTTACATGTATTAGAATGGGAAAATTATAGCAGCTTCTTTCCCAGGTCGTTTTTTATTCATCTATTCAACAGATACTTATTGAACACCTATAATGAGCTGGACACTCTATGGGCCTTGCAATTTAGACATGAATAGAGTTCTCAGGTACCTTACATTCTAATTAGAAGGAGAACTTTGACCTCTAACCAAGACCTGTTTAATTCATAGGAGGGTTTCTTTTCTTTTTTTTAAACTGCACTCACGGTCATCCCCCCAAAGGATGAGGGTTTCTTAAGTTATGTTGAAAATTCAAACCTTGAGTCCGGGCATGGTGGCTCACGCCTGTAATCCCAGCACTTTGGGAGGCCAAGGCAGGTGGATCACGAGGTCAGGAGATCAAAACCATCCTGGCTAACACAGTGAAACCTTGTCTCTACTAAAAGTATGAAAAAATTAGCTGGGTATGGTGGCGGGCGTCTGTAGTCCCATCTACTCAGGAGGCTGAGGCAGGAGAATGGCGTGAACCCAGGAAGCCTGGGCGACAGAGCGAGACTCCATCTCAAAAAAAAAAAAAAAAAAGAAAAAAAAGAAAAAAATTCAAACCTTGAAATTCCGCCTTGTGAATAATCTTAGTCTAATTTTTGCCATGTTTATTGGAATATAGGCCAGTGGTTGAACTTTGTGTTCCTAACCTCTCAGCATCCTTGTGTCTCCTGGTGATTATGAAGGCTTTTTTTTTTTTAAATGAGATCTTGCTCTGTCACCGAGGCTGGAGTGCAGTGGCATGATCATAGCTCACTGCAGCCTTGACTTCCTCGGCTCAAGTGATCCTCTCACCCCAGTGGTATTTTCTAATAGACATCTGTGTCCCCAAAATGTGTTAAAGACTTTTGAAGATGAGTCCACTCAAATAATGATTTAGTTCTGAATAGACAGATTTTTAAATTCTTTTTTGTTTTTTAGATGGGGTCTCACTGTGTCACTCAGTTCTCTGAAGGACTTCAAATAGCCTCATTAGCAAACTAGGGGTACTAACTGACATTTTCAGCACCTTTAATTGGTGATGATGAGCACATTAATTTCCATTTGTCTATTTGCTGCAGACTTTTCAGGTTCCTTCTCCTTGTTTTAAAAAAATTATTGAGGTATAATTTACATGGAATAAATGGTATCCATTTAAAGTGTACAGTTTGGCTGGGCGCGGTGGCTCATGCCTGTAATCCCAGCACTTCGAGAGGCCGAGGCGAGTGGATCACTTGAGATCAGGTGTTCAAGACCAGCCTGGCCAACATGGTGAAACCCTGTCTCTACTAAAAATACAAAAATTAGCTGGGTGTGGTGGTGGGCGCCTGTAATCCCAGCTACTAGAGTGGCCGTGGCACAAGAATCGCTTGAACCCAGGGTGTGACGGTTGCAGTGAGCTGAGATCACGCTGCTGCACTCCAGCCTAGGTGACACAGCAAGACTCTGTCTCAAAAAAAAAAAAAATAAAAATAAATAAATAAATAAATAGTGTACAATTTGATGGGATATATTCAGCAGTTTTGTACACCAGTGAAACCACTATCACAATAAAGCACAATATTTTCTTGACCTGAAAAAGATGCTTCATGGCCCTTTTTGTTTTGTTTTTCTTTTTTTGTTTTGTTTTTTTTTTGAGGCAGTGTCTTGCTCTTTCTCCCAGGCTGGAGTGTGGTGGCATGAACACAGCTCACTGCAACCTCAACCTCTTGGGCTCAAGCAGTCCTTCCACCTCAGCCTCCCAAGTAGCTGGGACTACAGGCTTGCACCACCATGCCCAGCTAATTGTTTATTTATGTTGCCCAGACTGGTCTTGAGCTTCTGGGCTTAAGCAGTCCCCCTGCCTCAGCCTCCCAAAGTGCTGCCACCGAGCCTGGCCGCCGCTTCATGTCCTTTTGCTGTCCATTCCTCCCTCTACCCCGGCCCCAGGCAACCACTGATCTGGTTTTTGTGACTACAGATGAGTTTGTATTTCCTAGAATTTTATGTAAGTGAAATCATACAATGTTACAATGTATATTCTGTGTCTGGCTTTCTTTCCTTTTTTTTTTTTTTAAATAAACCCACTGCCAACATCATACATGTCTGGCTTTTACTCAGAATGATGTGTTTGAGGCTGGGCGTGGTGGCTCACGCCTGTAATCCCAGCACTTGGGAGGCCGAGGCGAGCGGATCACTTGAGATCAGGAGTTCGAGACCAGCCTGGCCAACATGGCTGTCTCTGCTAAAAATACAGAAAGCTACTCTGGAGGTGGAGGCAGGAGAATTGCTTGAACCCGGGAGGCGGAGGCTGCAGTGAGCTGAGATTGCGCTATTGCACTCCAGCCTGGGTGACAGAGCTAGACTCTGTCTCAAAACAAATAAATAAATAAATAATATTATGTTTGAGATTCATTGTTGGGGGTATCAGTTGTTCCTTTTCATTGCTGAGTAATGTTCCACTGTATGGCTGCACCACGTTTTTGGTCTCTTCACCTGTTGATGAACATATGAGTTGTTTCCAGATTTGGGCTATTGTGTATAAAACTGCTGGGAACATTCATGTATGAGTCATTATGTGGATATGTTTTCACTTCTCTTGTGTTATACCTACACATGGAATGGCTGGATTGTGTGACAGACCATTTTCCCCTTAAAAATGTTTTATTATATATAAAATATAATAGAGGTTAGTTAGGAATGGAATGTACAAATGATATGTAACTAGTTTCAAAATAAGGCTTAGAAGAGCTTTTATTTAACATAAGTATAATATGCAAAGCAGTTAAAGATTTTTATAAGTATGTTATTTTGCATAAATTTAAAAATGGATTTACCTTAAAAAAGTGACATAAAACTTCAGTCACAAACTAAATGCAAAAATTTATTTTATATTCTTGTACTAAAAATCACAATTTTGGGCTGGGCATGATGGCTCACACCTGTAATTGTAGCATTTTTTGAGGTTGAGGTAGGAGGATTGCTTGAGCCCAGGAATTTGAGACCAGCCTGGGCAACATAGTGACACTCTGTCTCTACAAATAAAAAAGAAAAAAATTAGTTTGGCACGTTGGTGCACACCTGTGGTCCCAGCTACTTGGGAGGCTAAGGTGGGAGGATTGCTTAAACCAGGGAGGTTGAGGCTGCAGTGAGCCAAGATTGCACCACTGCACTCCAGCCTGGGCAACACAGTGAGACCCTGTCTCAGAAAAAAAAAAGAAAACAAAAAACCCCACAATTTTCTATTTCCTTAAAATTGAGGGAAAGTCACGTAAAAACTAGAAGTATAAATTCTTATGGGTGGGCAAATCTGCGTAAGAGGGTTTGTTTTTGAAGCATGGCAGATCAGAGAAGACAGTTGCTCTTGGAAAGTTCTGTCAGCATCACACGCATGCCTTTCCTTTCCGAGTTTATCTAGATGCGCTGCTTCTCAGTAGCCGGTCGCTTTGTCCACGACGGTCCTGACACACAATGTGACATAGCTTCACACAACGGCCACTTTGACCCTCCCTCCCTACTCCACGTGTATCTAGAGGAGAGGATCCTAGCATGCCATCAGCCAGGTGTTTGCAGTACGCTGGATTGATGATGTCATTACCACTCAGTGGTGAATCATTTTAAAAAAGGGGTGAGGTGGGGGACTTCTTATATTTTTTAAGGGATTATTTTAAAAATCATTTTAGAACAATTCTGCAAGGGTTTTTTGGTGTTTGAAGTACTAGACTAGACAACATACTTTGGAACTAAGATTTTAATTAAAGGTTACTCTAAAGAATCAGTGATTGATGTCCCCAGATGAGATAGATGGCAGGAGTTAAAAGTAATTAAAGTTTGCAGAAGTTGGTGTTTTCATAATTGGAGTATGGCAAATCACCTATTTAGTCCATTTAGTACCTTATTATACACTGTCTTCTGTCCTAACTGTTATTACTGCTCAGTTAATGTTTATAATCTACTGTTAGATTCCCTAAGGGCAGTGCACAAACCCCATGTAATTAGGGATGTCAGCAGCCCTCCGATTCTTTGTTGTTATCTTTATTTATTTATTTATTTATTTATTTATTTATTAAGTAGAGATAAGGTCTGACCATGTTGCTCAGGCTGGTCTCAAACTTCTGGGCTCAAGTGATCCTCCCGAAAGTGTTGAGCTAACAGGCATGAGCCACTGCCTGGCCAAGAGCATGAGTCTTCTGGGGAGGTTTGGCACTTGCCTGTGGCACCGGCCTTGTGACTTGTTTTTATTTTTTCTTTCTTTTTTCCTTATAATTAAATTAGAGATAGGGTCTCACTATATTGCCCAGGCTGGTCTAGAACTCCTGGCCTCAAGCAATTCTCCCACCTCAGCCTCCCAACGTGCTAGGATTGAAGGCATGAGCAACCACGCCCAGCCTGACCATTTATTGACAGTCTGTTAGCTGTGCTGGGGTGGCATGAGAGGCTTGCCTCTGATTGTCCTCATGTTCCTGGTGACTCTGGTGCCCCTCTCCCACCCTGCCCTACACTCACTCATACATGTGCCTTAAGACTTTGGGAAAAGGAAGAGTAAACCTTTGGGGGAGATTTGGTAATCCTGAGTGTACTTTTTCTTGCTTTATGTGTTCTTGTGTGTCCTGTTTCCCAAGATTATGAATGTCTTGGCAGGACTAGTCTTGAACTAAACAACAACAAAATTCATGCGTTATAGTACTACCTATGGCTTTGTATTTAATTAGGCATTTTAACATTTTCAGTATCGTATTTAATCTGTATAATCACATTGTGATATGAGGTGTGTGACCTTACTTATATTTACATGGTTAAGATTATAAACTGAAATACGTTGTTGAAGTTCTCTCTCTTGGCCAGGTGCAGTGGCTCACGCCTGTAATCTCAGCACATTGGGAGGCTGAGGCGGGTGGATCATGAGCTCAGGAGTTTGCGGCCAGCCTGGCCAATAATGAAACCCTGTCTCTACTAAAAATACAAAAATTAGCTGTGCGTGGTGGCGCGCACCTGTAGTCTCAGTTACTCGGGAAGCTGAGGCAGAAGAATCACTTGAACCCAGGAGACGGAGGTTGTGGTGAGCTGAGATCACACCACTACACTCCAGCCTGGGTGACGGAGCAAGACTCTGTCTCAAAAAAAAGAAGTTCTCTGTCCTGTCTGAGATGATCGGCAGCATTGTTTATCCCTGTAGCCCTGGTACTCTTTATTGATAGTAGAGATTTTACTCCAATTAGGTACTTTTTAAAGGTAATTTCTATGAAAATCTCTATAAAAATGCTTATTAAAAAACTCCTTTACAGTGGAAAAGAGTAATAACTAACATTTCCCTTTTTCCTCACAAGCTCTAAACCTACTAGAAATAGAAAAAGAAATCTGAACATGGAGATCATATGATCAGCCTTGTAACTGGCGAAGAGAGGGAGATGGAGGAGTCCTTATTTCAAACATCTAGGAAATATGTTGCAAATTAGTAAAATAGGTTAAATTTCTCCGTTTCTTTCCCAGTAATAGGATCTTTGAACTAGACTATTTGAAATTATCATTTGAGGCCGGGCGCGGTGGCTCACGCCTGTTATCCCAGCACTTTGGGAGGCCGTGGCAGGCAGATCATTCGAGGTCAGGGTTTCGAAACCAGCCTGGCCAACATGGTGAAACCCTGTCTCTACTAAAAATACAAAACAATTAGCCGGGTTTGCAGTGAGCCGAGATCATGCCACTGCACTCCAGCCTGGGTGACACAGTGAGACTCCGTCTCAAAACAAAACAAAAAACAAAAAAGATGAAATTATCATTTGATATAACCAATAGCAGAGAGATACCTGTACTCTGATTCCTTCTTCGTTTATGCAGTCAATCCTTGTTATTTGTGGATTTTGTATTCATGAATTTTCCTACTCACTAAAGCTTATTTGTAACCCGCAAATCAGTCCAAAGGTAGTCCTTTCGTGGTCATTTCTGGACATTCACAGAGCAGTGAAAAATGCAGTTTGCTCAGTGTACACATTTCCAGCCACTGTGAAACAAGGTGACTGATTTCTTGTTTCAGCCCTCATACTGTAAACAAATGACCTTTATGTGGTCTATTTAGCATTACATTTTTTTTTTTTTGTATTTTTGTGCCTTTGCTGGTGACTTGCTCTTTAAAATAGCCCCTAATCATAATGCTGAATTTCTGTCTATTGTTCCTAAGTACAAGAGGCCATGATGTGCCTTATGGAGAAAATATAGTATGTTAGCGAAGCTTTGCTCAGGAATGAGTTACAGTGCTGTTGGCCATGAGTTCAATGTTAATGAATCAACAGTTGGCTGGGCATGGTGGCTCACATCTGTAATCCCAGCACTGTGGGAGGCTGAGGCAGGTGGATTGCTTGAGCCCAGGGGTTTGAGACCAGCCTGGGCAACACGACGAAACCCTGTGTCTACTAAAAATAGAGCCCATGTCCCCCCGCCATGCGCCCATGGTTCCAGCTATTCAGGTGGCTAAGGTGGGAGGATTGCTTGAGTCTGGGAGGTAGAGGTTGCAGTGAGCCAGGATGTCACCACTGGACTCCAGCCTGGGTGACAGAGTGAGACCCTGTCTTAAACAAAACAAAACACAACAATATATATTAAATAAGCCATCTTTAAACAGAAACCCATATAAACAAGGTTATGTATTGTTCAGTTGACAAAAGTGTGACCAGAGGTCTGTAGGAACCTAACCTGTATTTCCCCTAGGAGCAACGGTTTAGTCTTTTCCAATTCAGTGTTAGCAATGACTATTTTTGTTTTTTTTTTTTTTGAGATGGAGTCTCGCTCTCTCGCCCAGTCTGGAGCGCATTGGTGTGATCTCGGCTCACTGCAACCTCCACCTCCCGGGTTCAAGCAATACTCCCTGCCTGTAGCTGTAGCTGGGATTACAGGCGCCCACCACCTCACCCATCTAATTTTTGTATTTTTCATAGAGATGGGGTTTCACCATGCTGGCCAGGCTGGTCTCGAACTCTGACCTCGTGATCCACCCGCCTAGGCCTCCCAAAGTGCTGGGATTACAGGCATGAGCCACTGTGCCCGGCAACAGCAACAACTTTTTAAACAATAACTACTTTGAATAGCAAGAATCAGCTATAGCTTAGCCCTCTTCCTACCCCTAAACTTCAGGCTGTGACATCCCAGTGCCACATTTGACATCTCCTGGGGGATACCTACAGGGTCTCTCACAGTTGGCATGGCCACAGCAGAGCCCCTGGTGCTGTGTCCCTCTTTATTCACCCCACCTGAGAAATAGCATATCCGCTCACATAGGTGTTCCCATCAAATGTTTTGAATGTTTTGATATCAGCCTTCCCTTTCTCTTGTTCTGCCTATCCAGTTCATTAGTAGTATGGTTTATTCTACTTCCAAAACGCATCTTGAAGTAATCTGTTTTTCTGCATCTCTGCTGCTGATGTGCTAGTGGAGGCCACTGAATTACTTGCCTGGATGCCACATGAGCTTCCCGTAGCTGATGCCACTCTGTGCACCCATATCTCATGTTCCCTTCCTTCTGGGCACGTGGAGAAGCATATTCTCACCCCCTGGCCATTGATTTGCTATCCTTTTCAGACCCAGAGGGAGCAGGCTAAGAAATATTTTGTGGAATAAGTATGTGGTATTATTTTAGGAGCACTTGGTATTTCTTTGGGTAATAGTAGTTTCTGCAATTTGAGGACTGCTTCTAAACCTGTTAGGAATATTTTTTGAACTGTAAGGGAATTTTTTTTTTAGGGCAGAGAAACATCTGAACAATGTATTAAGTAAAAGCTTGGAGAAAATCTTGGGAAAAAAACACTTCAAAAATAGATTGTTTTAGAGTTCTTTTTTTCTGAAACCACCTGCCTTCTAAAGCAAGATAATTAGATTTTAAACAATGGTTTCTGCTTAGTTAGGTTTTTTTTTATTTTTTTATTTTTATTTGTTATTATTATTTTTTTGAGACAGGGATCTCAATTTGTCACCCAGGCTGGAATATAATGGCATGATCATAGCTTACTGCAGCCTTGACCTGTGGGCTCAAGCAATCCTCCCACCTCAATCTCCTGAGTAGCTGGGACCACAGGCACACCCACCAAACTTGGCTAATTTTTAAATTTTTTTTTGTAGGGGGGATGGAGTCTCAATCTGTCACCCAGACTGGGGTGCAATGGCACAATCTCTGCTCACTGCAACCTCTGACTCCTGGGTTCAAGCAATTCTCCTGTCTCAGCCTCCCGAGTAGCTGGGATTACAGGTGCCTACCACCATGCCTGGCTAATTTTTATATTTTTAGTGGAGACGGGGTTTCGCCATGTTGACCAGGCTGGTCTTGAACTCCTGACCACAGGTGATCTGCCTGCCTTCGCCTCCCAAAGTGCTGGCTGGTCTCAGACTTTTGGGCTCAAGTGATCCTCCCACCTTGGCCTCCCAAAGTGCTGGGATTACAGGTCTGAGCCACTATGCCTGGCCTAGTTTGTTTTTAAATCAATAACAGGTATCAAGAAGTTTGGACTGGCTGACCTTGGTGGTCTTACTGCTGCCACCTTTGCTCTGCCTCACACAGTATGTGGGTGTGTTGGGCCCTTCTCGCAAGCTCCTCTGTCATGTGATGGTTCCGTCTTCAGGGCTGTGGCAGGACCGCGCTGGTTCAGTTTGCTCTGTGTCAGCTGAGTAAAGGATGGGTGGAGTACACCAATTTTGTAACTTGTAACATTTGGTCTTGTGGTTTTGCAAGGAAGGGGTGATATATAATTAGTAAGGCAGGAGAGCAAAGGAAACAGGAAGGGGATCTGCAGTGCTCCTGTATCAAAGTAGATCTCCAAAGCAACAAGGGACAAAAGCAAGCACACTCCTCCCGCCCACCCGTTTTTACTTACTCTTATTTGATCAGAGAACTTTGCTTTCATAAACATCCTTGAATTAAGGCTGGAATTTTTTGGTAAAAATTCCTAACTGAATTTGGTTTAGAAGTATACAGAAAACCCAATGAATTAATTGAATAATCTCCCTTACCCCCTTCTTCAGACAATTCTCCTGTATTCTCTCAAGTAATAAAAGTACTAGAAAGATCAATTGTATTTATCATTAAATGGCTGGTGCTTATAATTTATTCCTTGAATCCAGTTAAACAGTGAGCTTTCCTGATAACCTAGGCATTGTTGTCCCCTACAGTAACCTGGGCCTGTTGGATGTGTAAACATTTTCCTTTGACCCAGGACTGTGTTGAAACTATTTGTTAATCACACAGCAGGATGATCAATACTTACACCAGCTGACGGGACACCTGGCATGACTACTCAGTGATCCAGTAAAACCACGCCAAGCTGGTTCCATAGAGTTTTCATTTTTGATGATAGGACTCGTAGCTCTCAGAATCAGAGAATGTTTAGAGGTGAAACTTACCACAAATGTGGGTCAGCATCTTTAGTTTGTTTCCGGTGTGTGGGGTGCAGTGGCGGACAGTGAGAGAGCCATGTGATGGGAGGAGGCTGCAGAGCTGGACTTTGAATAATGGGTAGGGTTCAGAAAAGTAGAAAATATTGTGAAATTTATTTTATTTTGTTTTTTTGAATGAAGCAACAAAAACAGAGATTTATTGAAAATGAAAGTACACTCCACAGTGTGAGAGTGGACCCGAGCATAGGGGCTCAAGGGCCAAAAATACTGTGAAATTTATTTTAATCAAAGTGGAACATAGATATAGTTTTAAAGATCCTATACAACACAAAATTTTACGTGCTTATAGCAGCAGTTTTCATAAGAACCCCAAAGTGGAAACAACCAGATGCCATCAGCTCATGAGTGGGTAAAGAAGATGAAGTCTGTCCCTACAAGGGAAGATTCTTTAGTCATAAAAAGGAATGAAGTTCTGACACATGCTGCAACATGGCTGAACATAGAAAACATTGTGCCAGGTGAAAGAAACCAGTCACACAAGGCCATGTATTAGGCAAATCTGTAGAGGCAGAAAGTAGATTAGTGGTTGTCAGGGGTTTGGGGATGCGGGAATGGGGGTGACTCCTATGGGGTATGGGGTTTTCTTTTGGGGATGATGAAAATGTTCTAGAATTAGATAGTGGTGGTGGTTGCATAACTTTGTGAACATGCTAAAATCACTGAATAGTATTCTCTAAAAATGTCCTGCCTCTCCCAGACAGTGCCTCCTCCCCGCAGATGTTGACCTCTAGATCCTTCAAGATTGGGACCGCAGTGCAGTATTTGAGTCTCCCCAGATCTCTTCCTAAATACCAGAGAATGCTGCTGAGAGTGTGCATTTTCTTAAAAGTCACTCCCCTCGTTAGTATACCTGTGCCACTATCTTCCCACCCCTCCCAGGGACTTTTTCTATTCTTACTCTACGAGCCTGGCATACTCTGGGCCTTCAGAGCCTGATCCTTAGCATGCCATGTAGTTTTTTCTTTTTTTTTTTTTTTTTTTTTTTTTGGCGCTGCCATTACCTGTGTCCTCCAATGAACTCTTGTGTTTTGAAGAGGGAGATACTTTGTTTTCTTGACCTTTGTAGGTCTAGCTCTTGGCTAACATAGTGCTTGGCACAGTTCAACAGACATCATTTAGAATGAACACATGGTAAAGAGTCAAATCTTTTTTTAATAAATCAGTGTACACTTTTATTATTATTATTTTTGAGACAGAGTCTGACTCTGTCACGAAGACTGGAGTGCAGTGGGGTGATGACAGCTCACTGCAGCCTTGACCTCCTGAGCCCAGATGGTCATCACCTGCCTCGCCCTCTGAAGTAGCTGAGACTACAGGCACGCACCACCACAGCCAGCTAATTTTTTAGTTTTCTGTAGAGACGGAGTCTGTTTATGTTGTCTAGGCTAGTCTTGAACTCCTGGGCTCAAGTGATCCTCTCACCTCGGCCTTCCAAAGTGCTGAGATTATAGGCACGAGCCATCACACCTGGCCTTTCAAATTATTACTCTGATGAGTAAATCAATATGTGAAGAGCAGCTAGAAAATGGGAGAGTCGGCATTCTAAAAGTGTTAGGCTCTTTCAGATGGAAAGTAAGAGAATCTCAGGTTACCATGTAGTGATACTTTTACCCTAGGAAGACAGAGGAAGTAGGAAACTCGGTCGCCGCACTGTCACTGTGGGTCTTGGAGCTCGGGTCTCCTTGTGGGAAAGTGGCCTTTGTAATAAAATCTTGCAGGTGTTGCGTAATTTCATTAGTCTACATGGTGAGGAATAGAGGAGGTTCAGAGAAGAATATACATGTATTTTGTATACCTCAGAATTTTAGAAAAGAGAATCCTGAATATTTTTTTGGAGGAGTTGAGGAAGAAGTAACTGAGGTTTAAATTTTATCTTTGCAGTGATGCCTGTTCTGACCGTCTTATTTAAAACTTAACAATACCTGACCCCACCCCCTGCCACATACTTCTCTTTTCCCCATAGCACCCATCACTTTCTAGCATGTTACTTATTATTTATTGTGTATATAGTTTTTTGCCTATGTCTGCCTGTATAGTAGAAGCCTATTATCACTATCCCTCAAATTAGCCAGTGTGTGTGGACAAAGGGCAAACCAATGTTGATATTAACAAAGCCCTTTCAGGAAATCAGTACTGGTGAATATACACATAGGAACTGGCACATGCGCTGGGTAGAACATGAATTGCCTCTCCTCTCCCTATATATGTTCAAAAGGTAATGAAATTTTTTTTTCTTTTTTTTGAGACAGAGTCTCGCTCTGTTGGCAGGCTGGAGTGCAGTAGCACAATGTCGGCTCACTGCAACCTCTGCCTCCTGGATTGAAGCAATTCTCTTGCCTCAGCCTCCCGAGTAGCTGGGACTACAAGTGTGTGCCACCATGCCTGGCTAATTTTTGTATTTTCAGTAGAGACGGGGTTTCACCATGTTGGCCAAGATGGTCTAGATCTCTTGACCTTGTGATCCACCCGCCTCGGCCTCCCAAAGCGCCGGGATTACAGGGGTGAGCCACTGCGCCCAGCCAGGTAATGGAATTTTTTGGTGCAATTTCTATGTCAATCTTTTAACAATCTTTTCATGTAGCCAGCAGAGGGCAGCACAGATGGAATTTATGACATTCAGTATTTTTGACTTTATTTTAAAGGGCGTTTAAAACTACTGTAGCAACCACTTCTAGGAGTAGTGTGAAGTTTATTTCAATTTCAGGTTTCTTCTTATTCTTTCTCGCTTGTAAATTGTGCTGTTTCTGCTTTGTCTTTATGGAGGAGGTTATTTCTGTTTACCTTATCATCATGAATATGTCAAATTAATACTTTCCAAAGTCTTTTTGACATGTTTCCAGATGCCTCCGAGGGCTGTGGTGAGGTTGGCGATGGTGGGTCCTGAAGGGGCACTGTTCTTTTGCCTCCAGAAAGTAGCAATTACTTGAACCAGAGTTCTTCGAGGTCTTCCCAATGCTCCCAGGCTCCACGGTGCACAGGAGACTGCAGTCCTGGCTCAAGGGTCCTCTCTGAGCATCTGACCAATGCTCTTGACCCCCTTCTCAGAAAGAAAAATCCCCAAAATGTACATACTCAAAACCACACAGTTTTTCAGTTTTGTGGCAAGTTATGGAACTGGTCATGGATTTTCTTGATAGAAACTAAATAAGATCAGTCTTTGTGATGCATACCTCTCTTATTTTTTTTCTTGCAAGAGTTACTGGTCCTTAGGCAAAAATTGAAGTAAATGCAAATTGTGTACATAAAACAAAGGATATGGTTTAGGTTTTCTTTTTTTTTTTTTTTTTGACATCTAATCGGTTTTGAGTTTTTCTTTTGATAACAAAAGTGCTAAAAAGTCTGTGTCATGAAGGTATGTACTAGCAAATGTGATCAGAAATCCCATAGCTTGCTTTGCTAGGTACAAGGTAAGCCTATGTCAAGGAATGGCAAGTTCTTTGAATTCTTGTTGACACATTACATATATCCTTTGCCATCAACTCTTTTTTCCCCCAAGGTCTAATAGATGCATTTATGTCAATACACAAAAATAGTATACCTCTATGTTTTTTAGGTAACCAAAGTAGAAGGAACCTTTGAAAGAATTGTGCAGTGTGTCCAGGTGTCTGGATTTCTGCCTGCAGAGGCTGGACAAGTCTTTGTTATGCTCCACCCCACCTTGCAGATGTTCTTCGGGACTTTGGAGGACACTTGCGTGATTGTATGCCCTAAGCTGTCTCCCATTTGGCAGCTTGTTAGGAAAGGTCTAAGCTGCAGAGAGAGGATACCAGGAAGCAAAATGATTTACCCCCAAATTCCAGAAAGGCTGCAGGGTACCCAGCACCTCTGAGAATGGAGATAAGGAAACGAGGGTGGTTTGAAAGTGTTCATTGTTGGCAGTTAAGATTTCCAGGTCTCCTCTCCATCTCCTGCAGCAAGGCAGTTTCTCTTGCACTTCTGGTAAACATGAAGGTTTAATTTCTGAAGAAGGCTGTGAAGATACAGAGAGCGAGTGAAAATCTATATTTATTTTAAAAAATACCAACCAAGAAGCAGCACCGAAAAAGCCCGTATATTTAACTGTGAGATTCCCATCCTTTCTTCCTCAGTGTAGCCCCCACAAATACTGGTGGTCAGTTTTACACTCCACACAGCCCAGGTAGGGGATTGGAGAATACTTCTTTGGGTAACTAGTCTAAGCAAAAATAAGCTACCGAGCCCCACATGTGGGGTCTCTACACATTACTGCCTTATCATATTACATTGCCACACATCAATCTATAGGCCATGCCTACCACACGGCTTTTAACCAGGTTATTAGTGTGTCACTCTT
Source organism: Homo sapiens (assembly GCF_000001405.40). Lineage (NCBI taxonomy): Eukaryota > Metazoa > Chordata > Mammalia > Primates > Hominidae > Homo > Homo sapiens. Next base: position 78,743,820 of record NC_000017.11, on the reverse strand, counting down.
AAATGAGAAGAAGTAGACTATGCTTGCTAGAGACTTAAGGAAAATCTTCAGTGTTAGCAAGCAAAAGAGCAAATAGTTTAAGGAAACAGGTCATGGGACATGTAGAAGAAAGCCTTAAAAAGTATATACTTAAGAGTCTCAGATATTAAATGAATGAAACAAGAATAGGCTGCTATCAAAAAGGACTATGGGTTGAGTATTTCTTATCTGAAATGCTTGGAACCAGACAAGTTCTAGATTTCAGTATTTTTTTGGATTTTGGAGTACCTGCATTGTACTTGCCAGAGCATCCCTAACCTGAAAACTGGAAATCCAAAATGCTCCAGTGAGCATTTCCTTTGAGTGTCATGTTGGCACTCACAACGTTTAGGATTTGGGCATGTTTCAGGGATTTGAGATTTGGGATTTGTGTTAGGTAGACAGCTTCAGAGGCCATGACACGGGAGCGAAGCTGGAAAGTAAGACTGCTGGCTGGAGACCAGTGTGGAGTCTGGTGTACTGTGGACGAGAACAGAGAAGGAGGGGCTGGTGAGTGGACGGAGATGATGGGAGAATTCTCTACCATCCCACCGCCCAGAGATAATGATTGTTAATGTGTTTAGTATATATTCTTCCTGGCTTATTTCTTTTTTCATTTTTATAGTCTATGCATTTTTGTTACATGATTTTTTCATTTAACAGTATAACATAGACATCTTTCTGTCTCTACAAAAATAGTTACGCAACATTTTCCAATTACTTTTTTTAAGTGCCAAGGAATACTTTTAAGTAACTCACAGGACAAATGCCCACACTAAATAAATACAACAGAAGCTCTGACACCACCACACCACAGAAGCGTAGACATTAAAATACTACATTATGTCTGTCTAGTTGGCGTGTGTTTTAAATGATAATCCACACTGTGCATTTAGCTGTGGCTAGGCTAGCACTTTATTTTTTATTTTACTTATTTATTTATTTATTGAGATGGAGTCTTGCTCTGTCTCCCAGGCTGGAGTGCAGTGGCACCATCTCAGCTCACTGCAACCTCTGCCTCCCAGGTTCAAGTGATTCTCCTGCCTCAGCCTCCCGAGTAGCTGGGATTACAGGTGCGCCCACCACCACGCCCAGCTAACGTTTGTATTTTTAGTAGAGACAGGGTTTCACCATGTCGGCTAGGCTGGCCTCAAACTCCTGACTTCAAGTGATCCACCCACCTTGTCCTCCCAAAGTGCTGGAATTACAGGCGTGAGCCAGCACACCCGGCCTATTTATTTTTGAGACAGGGTCTCACTCTTGCCTAGGCTGGAGTGCAACAGCACAATCATAGCTCACTGTGGCTTCAACCTTGCAGATTCAAGCGATCTTCCTGTCTCAGCCTCCCAAGTAGCTGGGACCACAGACATGTGCCACCACGCCCAGCTAATTTTTACATTTTTTGTAGAGACAGGGTCCCACCTTCTCTCCCAGGCTAGTCTCAAACTCCTGGGCTCAGTCAGTCCTCTCACCTCAGCCTCCTAAAGGCCTGGGATTATAGGCATGAGCCACTGGCCCAGCAGGGCAGCATGTTAGAAGACAGCTGGTAAATGAAAACAGTTATTTTGGAAATCAGTTTCATAGCAGTGTATAGTGAGCCTTAAAGTAGTTCGTATCTTTTGACCAGCTCTTAAGCCCACTTAGAGAAATTTAGCCTAAGGAACTAGTAGGAGCTGAGGAGGCAAAGGTTACAAGGATGTTGCAGCATTTTACAGGATATAAGGAAAGAAAAAGATTAATGCCCAACAGTAGAAGTGGTTAAGTAAGTTACAACATATACATAATGCAACCATTAAACATACCAGCTCCTTCAATTCCATTCCAACCTTAGGGTTCTTTCTAGCCTTCCCCCTTTTCATGTTTCCAAATTCCTTTTCCTGACAGTGGGAAACCTGGCCCCCAGGATCTGGCTTGAGGGTTGCACCCGACACCTTCCTTTTGCCTCCAGCTCTACTTCCTGTCCGGCTCCATCCTGCTGTCTGCCGGAGGCTGTCCTGGAGGGAGTGTGGTTCCTGGTTGGGTTTGACCAGGAGACGCAAGGGTGAGAGAAGAGTGAAGTCAAGGTGATTCTCTCCTGCTGGTAACTGAGGCTTGCTGAATCCTCTACTGACACTCTTGCCAGAGAGCTCCCATTTGCCACTTTTAGCAGCAGTATGATGCCCTCGCACCCCGTCTTGACTTAGCAGTGATGGGGGCTGCCCCTGTTGCTAGTCTGGGGGGCTTTATTACTCCTTGGTGTCCTCTCTAAACTCTGCCCTCACTTTTATAGGTGGTGCCTATCTTACCTTTCTGCACACTCCCACTCTAGGAATGTTTCTGTCTCTGGGATAATGATTGATATGGGTATTATGCTTTCAAAAAACAAACCTTCCCTAGAATATTATATAAATATTCACGTTTTTTTTTCTACTGTCATTTATTTAATTTTTTTGTAGAAATAGGATCTTGCTTTGTTGCCCAGGTTGGTCTTGAACTCCTGGCTTCAAGCAGTCCTCCCACCTTGGCCTCCCAAAGTGCTGGGATTACAGACATGAACCACAACTCCCAGCCTAGTTTTGAAACATTTTAGACCATTACATGCTTGTGTATTCCCACCTAATCTATTGCTGGAGGGGGTGAGGCTAAAATCTATTTAAGGGATTTATTAATTAAAAATATAAAATGTCTTGAATCAACAACACTTGCATCAAAATGGCCTAATGTGTGCTTTTTAATGTGAATGACGAACGAGTGTTTTCTTCTACTTTGTTGATTTATTGCTTTTCATAGGGCCTGTGCTAGCTCCTGTATGTTTCCGATATCATTTGTTCAGACACTGCTCTGAGGCCCTAGATTATTGTTCTGGTTTTGTAATGTGCCATTATTTTTTTAGTTATTTTAAAGTGTACTTTGAAACTTTTTAAAAGCTTCCATTTAAATAAATACGTAGTAATCTAACACTCTGTTTGGGATTGATGTTATAGATATGCCTCATGAGTTGGGTTATTATATGTTTTAGTTTCCCAGAGACAATCCCAGTTTATGCTGACTGCCTGATGTAATTATTAATAGTACCCATTTGCAATCTCAAAAATATCTCAATATGGATGATAAATTATATGGTCACTTATGAGTGAGTGAAACATACAATTTGGTGATGCAGTGGTTAAATGTCTATTTTAAGGAATTGGAGACATGAGATTCATTATTTCCTTTTTTAACAAACAGTGGTAATTGTTGTACTAGAGATGACAGTGTGGTGTTGAGCCAGGTATGCCTTGCCATGCTTCCAGCTTTAAGGGACGCTGCCTGGCCAGGAGCCTATGAGGTGGCCTGCTGTGCCCAATAGGGATGATGGCTATTAAACGAGCCAGTCAGAGTCCCTCTTTTGAGAATGTGAACTGGAAGTATAACAAGAATGAGGCATTGAATAGTGGGAGCAGAAGCTCAAAGTCAAAAGGTCTGGAGGAGCAGGGGACCTGTGAGGCCATGGGTGGGTGGAAGGAATGATGGGGCCTTTAAGGCAGAGGCTGTGGGGAGTGGAGATGGGGGACCTGGTTGGCAGCATATCAGAAGATAGCAGCTCCAGGCCTGGTGCAATGGCTCACGCCTGTAATCTCAGCACTTTGGGAGGCCAAGGTGGGTGGATCATTTGAGGTTAGGAGTTCGAGACCAGCCTGGCCAACATGGTGAAACCCCGCCTCTACTAAAAATACAAAAATTAGCTCAGCATGGTGGCAGGCACCTGTAATCCCAGCCACTCGGGAGGCTGAGGCAGGAGAATTGCTTGAACCCAGTAGGCAGAGGTTGCAGTGAGCCGAGATCGCGCCACTGCGCTTCAGCCTGGGCAACAGAGCGAGACTCAGTCTCAGAAAAAAAAAAGAAAAGATAGCAGCTCCATTCTTTCACTTGCCAGGCCAGAAAGCTCGGAGTCACCCTTGACTTCTCTCTTTTACACCTCACGTGGACTCCATTGGGACATCCTTGGCTGTACCCTGAAAGTAAATATAGCAAGAATATGGCCACTTTTATCAAGTAAGCCGCCAACCCGTCTCACCTGGATGACTATAGCAGCCCCCCAACTGGTCTCCAGCTCCTGTGCTGGCTGTCTCCAGTCTGTTCTTCCCCACAGCCAGAGTGGTCTTGTTACAAAGGAAGCCACAAAATGCTCTGTTGCTCAGAACCCTGGCAGCAGCTATGCATCTCACCCAGAATGGAAACCAGAGTCCTTAAAATAGCTGCCAAGGCCCCATGCAGTTCGCCTACCACCCTCCTCACCTCTGCGACCATATCTTCCACTCCTCCCTACACTGTTCTTCCTGCTCCAGCCACAGTAGCCTCCTGGCCCTTCTCAGCAGAGGCCTTCCCTGACTGCACTTCCACTTCCCCCACTCCACAGTACTTATTTTCTGACATACTGCATATTTTACTTACTTGTTTCCCCACCTTTCCCATCTCGTTAGAGTGGAGACGCCACGAGGGCAGGCATTTTGTCTCTTTAGTCCTCTGATGTCTCACTAGTGGCTGGCACTTAATGTGCTCAGTGAATGTTGAACGAAACAGATAAGACAAAAGATACAACTATCTTTGTAAAAACTTTTTAAAAACAAGTGACTGGTTATGACAAAATATTTGTAACATTTCATACAAAGGATTTGTAATCTACAAATCATTTAAAAAATGATAAGCAATAGAAAGGTGGGCAAAGGCTTTGAAAAAGCAATTCATGAAAGAGGAAATACCTCAAACTTACGAAAAGATAATCAGCATCATCAGTAATCAGGTCAGTGCAAATGACCAACAACAACGAGAAACCGTTTCCCACTGTCTGACTGGCAGAAGTTAAGTTTGGTCCCATCAGGGACGTGGCAAGCACTTTGGCAGCATCTGTGAAAGCTTTAAGTACTCAGGCCTCATGACCAGCTTTTCTGCCTTTGGGTGTCTATTCCAGAGAAACGCTATACCATTTGACAGTAGGGAGAAAATAGAAGTGACCTGCCCTCTTACAAGTTGGGATCACTGGCTGTGAATCAGACCTGATACCAGAAGATAGAAATGCTGTTTGGGAATCATTAAACATAGGTTTTGAAATGGTGCAGGCTGGGACTTACAACTGTGATTTTGACATACTAAACCAAAAGGTGACACGTTGGGTTTATATTAATTGCCTCTACAAAACAAAGTGTTTTTTTTTTTTAAATATATGCATATGTATTTATTCAACTGTTATTAGGCAAGAAAGAAGAGAATGTGATGAAGTCTTTGCCCTGGAGTCATGTCAGCACCTTCAGAGTCTGACTGGAGACAGCGCCCCGTTGTCTTGCTGTAGATGTGTGTGTTCCCAGCTCCCCAGTGAGACTTGGCCAAAGTCTAGCACTTCCTG